>NC_000010.11:90597640-90900671 GCF_000001405.40 Homo sapiens | reverse complement strand
CACACTTGGCTTTCTTGGAAGCTGGAAGACAATCTTCATCTCCTTCTGATGGCCGAGGTTTCTTCACTGTAGAGATAATTCCAAAAGCAGTTTTTCTAGTTTCTGTAAAACAAACAGGGAAACCACTGTGCTTGAAGTTAAGACATAATTTAAAATGAGGTGGTTTAACATATTACTTTGGCTTACAGCAATAGCAAATGATAAGCCATAATGAACTGCTATGGCTGCTAGTGCCATTTACCGTCATTATCTTTTTTTCCCAACAGACACAAATATCAGTATATTATTAACATCTAATTCATTCCTAAAGATTACCTCATGGGTAAAACTGCAGGACAGTGTTATCTCTAATGGTCTGTCCATGGCATCTTATGTAGCCAGAACCCAGTCACAGACATTGATGTAGCAGACACTTTATATATGGTAGACAGACAAATCAAGAGAGCAAACACAGCAATCAAGTGTATGGCTCCCATGTGGAGCACATGCTTGCCTCATTTTACAGCATGTACCCTATCTCTCTTATTAGAACATCAAGGTACCTCTGAAGAATCAATTGCATTATATTGCCAACACTCAACAATGGCCTGGTTATGCAAAATGTGTTCAGTAAATACTAGTTGAGTTAATGAATAAAATCACTCATAAATTTATTGATCTCTTTAACTGGTGACAATGAACAAAGAATAAATAGAAATTATTAAATGCTTAGATTAGGCTGGCAGCAGAGTTCAACTTAAATTTAACCAATTTTTCCTAGAAACCTACTAATAGGCTAGGCACTGTGTCCATACAGAGGGTATTAAGATTCCTAACAGACAGTGCTTTTCCCTATACTACATGCATGCGAGAAGCACAATAAGAGCAAATATAATAGGAATGGAGGCATCCACAAGAATTAACTGCCTGGTTAAAGCAATGAGGTATTATATAAAGGTGACACTACTCAGAATAGGGTAAACGGAGTAAGAAAAAGAGAAATATTCCTTTACAAAGGCATGGAGAGAAAGATAAGAAGAACCTAGGTAAAATAGTTTAGGGGACAATATGGCTGATGTGAAGTAGGAATACAAAAAAATTAGGAGAAAATAGAGTTTGGAAGGGTAACTTATGAAAGGCCATAGTGTCATGAAAACAGACCCAAACTCTGTCCTTAGAAATGGAAAGGGATTATGGAGAAAGAGAGAGATACCCATTAGCTACAAAGGTGGCAGAATCAAAAGAACTTGAACAGAAATTTAGCTATGAATTATTCCTTATTTCAAGTAATAAACGTAAAGTCAACCATAAAGTGTTAAGCATTATTTTCCCATTTATCAAGATTAACTTAGTAAATCTACTCTGCCAATTATTTTAAAACACTTTTATTTGTAAAAGGGATAAAACTGCTCTCAAGGTCATTAAAATGCCAACATAATAAGAACCTCAAAATAAAAACTGTCAATGATTTCCATTTCACCAAATGAAAAACGTCACACTTATAGCTATTAATTTATGTCACTGATTCTGTACCCATAGTCTAAAAATCAACTGAAATATAAACATTATGAAAATCAGCACTTTTTAACAAAATGCATTAATTTCTTTAGTGTCTTTTAAAAATAAATGCATTTCTTGGTAACAGCAAGACGTTACATTTGTGTATGCTTTAGTTTATAAAATGTTTTCACATATAGTATTTCCTTTAATCATCTTGCCAAGGAAAATCTAAAGGATTATCTACGAGTGAATAATTTTGTTCACAAGGGGCTAAGGCAGGTGTCCCCAACAGGTTCATTTTGGTCCAGGGGCTGATTGAGGGCATGAACTTTATCAATCACAGGCCAAAGACCCTGACCTTGGGCCTCTTTCCTCTGTCCTTTCCCCACAACCTCCTCAGAATTGCTATTCATTGGTTTCTAGATTTCTGGACCCCCAAAGAACCTAATTCTGATTTCCTGTGGCAAGCCTTCCAAGTTGAAAGCTAACTACCATGTGTCCCAACTCTTCTGCTTGCCAGGTATCCATGTCTGCACCACCCTCGTGATTCCTCTCATCATGAGGCTTCCAGACCCTTTAAGGACTGAGTAGACATTTTCCAATAGTGTTTCAGTGCACTGCTGTCCTTCTTAAATGTGGCACTCAGAATGATACAGATGCCGGCTGAGATTTCATCAATGAGAGTATAATAACGAGGCTTTGAATTTCCTTGTCTCAGAATCCTTTATTTCTTCTAATATTACCTAGGCTGAATTAGCAATCTTAAGAACACATCATACTACCGTCTCATACTGATCCCAATGGCAACGAAAACCAGGGTAACCATATTTTATCATCTAGTTTAGGACTCTCTTCAGGGAATAGAAGTGCTAATAAGGTCACAGAAACAGCAGGCATAAACTAGAACTGTCCTGGGTACACTGGGGTGAATGGTAATGCCACCCAAAGTTCACAAGTCTTCTTTAAGTTTAGCTTCTATAAAAGCCTGATTTTAGACACAGAAAGACAAACATCACATGTTCTCACTTGTTTGTGGGATCTAAAAATCAAAGCAACTGAACTCCTGGAGACAGAAAGTAGAAGGATGGTTACCAGAGGCTGGGAAGGGTAGTGGGGGGCTGAGAGGGAGGTGAAGATGGTTAATGGGTACAAAAAAAATAGAATGAACAAGGTCTAGTATATGATAGCACAAGAGGGTGACCATAGTCAATACAATTTAATTGTATATTTAAAAATAACTAAAAAAGCATAATTGGATTGTTTATAACACAAGACATATGCTTGAGGGGATGGACACCCCATTTTCCATGATGTAATTATTATGCATTGCATGCCTATATCAAAATATCTCAGTACCCCATAAATATATACACATACTATGTACCCACAAAAAGAAATTCTAAAAAAAAATACTTTACATATTATGTGTTATATGCTGAATAGCTGAGTTCTTAAAGTCAAATGCAGGACTTCCTATTTTCCTATATATAAAATTATGTATGTATTTATATTTTAGTTTCTGTTTCTTGTTTAGTCCATTTTGGAACCCCAACTGTTACTCAAAATCCTGATGAATGTTTATTTAAAATAGATCAAAATAATGACAGAACTATCAAAGTGTGAACCAACTGTTCCCTAATTTCAAGAAAATCATTATTCAAAATCTCCATTAATTTGACCACTCCCAAAGCTTATGTGATGAGTTCTAGGCTACATAATACAAAAATCTCAAACTAAAAATGTTGAAACTAAAAGCAAAATCATCTAATTTACGGCAAGCCAATACATAAGCAGTTCTCTCAAGTGGAAATCAGATCAATAAAGCCCAACACACAAGCCCTCAATAACCTAGCTATTCATATGACAAATAACTCAGTCTATATGTAGCAATCTACTTTGAAGTTTAAAATTCACTTGGGTGATATCAATGAAATTGCTTCTTAACCACTACAACTAGTCCTAAGAATTATAAAGATAACGAAGACAAAACAGTGATCAAAAGCTTAAATTGTTTTAATAAAATTTCACTTTCATTTTCCAAAGTTTCAGCATACTTTCAATTTTTAACATCTGATGAGCAGGAAACTCAGTCAGTGAAAAGGTACATATACAAAATGTGAGTAAAAAATGTACAGTCTGGCCGGGCATGGTGGCTCATGTCTGTAATCCTAGCACTTTGGGAGGCTGAGGTAGGAGGATTGCTTGAGCCCAGGAGTTCAAGACCAGCCTGGGCAACATAGTGAGACTCTGTCTCTATTTAGAAAAAGAAAAAAAAATAAAAAAGGTACAGTCTGGACACAACTTGACCATGTAAGCAAACATGAGAAAAGAAACATTCTGAGTTATAATAAATGTAAAAGTTACAGTCTATGTTTTGTTAGTTGGATTTTTAAAAATGTATTTGCTGGTTTTGTTTTCCTAATAAATAGTTTAACACATATTTTTAACATATCCGTTCTCTAAAACAGAGATTTTCAACAGGGAAAGCATGGCCTTCTGGTGAGGGAGAAGAAGGAAGGGAGATTAGAAGCCTATCAAAATGTCGGCAGGAGCACACATGTATAGCTGGAAGAACTATTCAATACTTATTTCTGTAATGAAAACTATATTCATTCTACAAACTTTAGAAAGTAAAGCCTGAAGTGAGGGTGAGAAAACACTGATGACTGTGTTTAGAACAGGTTGAGAAAAGATGATCCCAAAGGAACTCTGTAGGGTAGGGCAATAAAAATAGGTATGGCTGTAAAAATGACTTGCTTTTAACATGACCATTCAGTTTGTACTGGAAGAACTTGCTTACCTCCATGGAGAAGCGCTGCTCGGCAGTTGGTGGACACCGCAGCCTTGGCGTCACTTTCAGAGAGCCCAAACAGCAAGCCTCTTGGGGGAGCATTAAAGATTTCAACCCAGAGTCACCCAAGGACACGAGACTAACACAAACATAACAGAAAGTGCCAGCTAACCTGGTCATCTTGAGAGGCTAATTAATTCAACAGCAGTTCTTAGTCCAACTGGAACATGCATCTGAGAAAAGACTCATTTAACTCTAAGCTTTTATCATATGAAGTCCCTCATTCCCTCTTTTCTATCTCATGATTAATTAAAAAACAGAAGCATAAAGCTCTCTATAATGTTATATAATTTATTTTTGAAGTTATTAATTGGTAAACTTACAGTAAAAGGTTGAGAAAAATACATGTTCAACTATAATACGACTTCAAATTCAAAATTTCCTGAAAGACAATGTCAACAACTTTTTACTCAGAAAAGGATACAGATTTGCCACGTCATATGGCCCTCTTATTTCTAAAGGCTGAAATAAAATGAACAAAGAGTAGATATGAGAAAATTATTTATAACATTTCAATGACTTATAGCAAATTAATAGAAAATTTAAGTATCCAAAAATAAAAAAATTACATAAATTTAAGTCCTTATAATTTTGATGGGTTTCATAGCTTTTGAAAATATAAGAGAAGCTTGAAAGGCATTTTGTAACAGTATAAAAGAAAAACTGATTATATAAACAAAAGTTGAAGCCTAAAGAAAGTGGGGATAAATTTTACTATTTAGCAATTACAATGAGCAAATGCAGTTAAAATAGAAAAAAATGCAACAAATATTCATTTACTATTTTAATTTATCCCCTAGAAACTGAAAAGTTTTATAACCTGAAAGATGAAAACAAAGTACTTCATGCTAGACTTACCCTTTCTGCAGCACTAGATATAATTACATTCTACAAAATAGAAAGTGACTAATATTAATCTTAGATAAATGTAAAAAAAGGAGTTTCATAATATAAATAGCCAGTAATCATATTTTAACATTTAAGGCTCAAATACCAACTTCTTTTAAAGATAAGGTAAATAATTAAGGTGAAAAAAATGAAAAGACTTCATGTCAAACTAAAGGCAATCTGTAATAAAAAACAAAATATGTTTTCCTAACAGATCTTAGTAAAGGTGAATTAAGTTTAAAAAACAAGATGAAAAGGTCACATATCTTAATTCAACTCAGTGAGGACCATTGTTATTCTAGACTTTTCTTTCACAGTATGTAAATTGCAAATTTTTATCAAAAGATATGGCTTCCAACACATCTTTTTCTCCCTTACATTATTCTTCCCTTGGTATTTTTCTTTCCCTTAAAATTTGCAGAGCTCACTGAAATGGCAGAATTTGTTCCTATGCTATGAGAACATTCTGCTTTAAGGAAAAGGAGTCAGTTTGACAATTCCAGTGTACTACTAATAATAAACTGCCAGATGCGAAAAACATCCTAAAATTATAGAACCATACCTTTCCTTTGCAGATTTGCATCAAATTGAGGGCACTGGAAATTGTATACCTTCTCATTGTGGAGTCTTTGATAGCAGGGCTATAGACAAGTTCAAAAGCCAGGCCTCGGTCAATCGCCTTCACAGGAAATAAAGAGAACTGTCAGAGATAAGCATGCACTGGCCTACTTCATTTTCACTGATTCTCTCTTCACATCCCTCCTCACTCCCTACTACTGACCCCTTACATGTCAAGGTACAGCTTTATGAAAGACAGATCAACACTCAAATGGCACCACCCACAAGGAGAAGAAAATAAATCCGTGGCTCTACTTGATTAAGAGAGTTTAACTTGGCTGTGGGGAAGCTGACTTTACATAAACAGGAATTATGAAGAGGCTAAGAAGAACAAAGTCCCAATGGCGTGAGAGAGGGGCTACTACTCCATGAACTATCAAAAGGAAAACAGAAATGTACTCCCTACATTTACAGTAAACTGTATACAAACATAGTAAACCAAGTAATCTGACCTATGAATGCACAAAGAGACAAAGAAATGAAGAGCTGAAAAAAGCCCAAAGAACCAAGGGCAGGAAGGTCTTTCAGGTAAGTAATTTATTCTCTATATGTTGAAGAGAGAATAACAGCCATAGTTAATTGAGTGCTGACTATATGCTAAGAGAGTCTTATATATAATATTTAATCCTTACTACAATACCTTTATAAAGCATTACTGCAAAGCCTGCAAATTGCCCAGATATCTGTCCTCTCCTTTTTCTTTAGTAATAAAGCCCCTGATTTTTCACTGGGCTTATAGCCGCACAGCAAAAAAGATGGAAGTGCCCTTGAAGATTTTGCCCAGCTCACCATACAAGCTTGGCTTTTTTCATGAGAAACAGAAACTTCTTTATTTAATGTACTCTTACTACAGAGGGATCCACAGGTAAGTAGATGAGTGGAAATGATATTGAAATTAACCACCATACTGTTCAGCTTTCCTAATGAGCACCTAAATGTCTGCATCCATTCACAAAAGATGTTTTAAGCCCACTACGTGCAAAAGCTGAGATGGTTTCTCCCTTCTAAAAGCTTACATTTTAGTGGGGGAGATGATCAATAACCACACAAAAATACAAAACTTCAACTGTGTTAAGTGCTATCAAGGAGAAGTTTAGGGTTGAGGAAGAAATTAAGCAGTTAAATAGTAGAGGAAGGTGCACTTTCAGAGGGAGGTCAGAGCATGCAAAAGTCTTCAAGGTTGCAGCATGGCAGCACGTAGGGAAGGTCAAATGCTGGAGAAAAATAATGAGGAAGACAGGCTAAAGAGGATGGGAAGGGCCAACTGTGCAGGCCTTTAGAGCTGGTGATGAGGATTATTCCTAATGGAGAAAACATCTGAAGGATTTTCAGCATAGAGATGATAATCAGACTCTCAATTGCAAAAGTCACTTGAGTGGCAGTACTCTTTCAAAAGAATAAAGAAAGAATGGTAGGCATGTTCTAGGCAGTATGGTCCAAGTCTCTGCTTGGCAAATGAGTTTCGATTGCCCAGAGTATAAGTTGGGACTGGCCCAGCTGTGACTACTGGGGTTTACTCCTGAGCATTTACGGGGAATGGAGAAACTTGTCTTTTTCTAGAACTGGCAGTCCATCTTGATTTAATTCAGTTGTACTTGAAGGCCCCTTCTGCTTTTCCCTCCCGAACACAGATTTCCTTAATTCTTCCTCCGGCTTCAAGGCTCCCAGATTTTATTTTAGATTTTCCTATATGTCTGATTCTAGTTTGGTTAGAATTTAAATGCTATTTTCCACACTGCAACCTTTCCCTCTCTCATTTTTTGACTTTTCCCCATCTCTAATTCTTTCACCTGTGTTGATTATTTCTGGGAATGACATTTGTTAAGATAGTATTTCTGTCCTAGTTGAACGTGTATCTCATTGGCTCTGCCAAGCTTGCACACTTCTTGAGAGCTAGACTGCCTTTTACATAAAAGGTGTATAATATATTTATATTTTGAGTGAATAAATAGCAGCTTATGGAGAAGATGTCCTGTGATAACGTTGTTCATTATAGATGATCCATCATCAAAGGAACCTCGGTGCACCTGGCTAACCAAAAACCACAGATAAGTAAAAACATCCCTTTTAGCCATATTATCAGCCATCTCCTTGGCTATATATTTTACCAAAACTACTAATTAGCTGAAGAGGCTGACCTGTATTTCTTTTCCTTATCCTTCTAGTTGTGGAACGATAATACAAGGCAACAGGATGATGAAGAGGGGAAATA
The DNA here is from genome assembly GCF_000001405.40 of Homo sapiens. Classification (NCBI taxonomy): domain Eukaryota; kingdom Metazoa; phylum Chordata; class Mammalia; order Primates; family Hominidae; genus Homo; species Homo sapiens. The sequence goes on along the minus strand of NC_000010.11, from coordinate 90,892,623 downwards.
AATGAAAGAGGTGAATGATATATAGAGTTGGATGCTTAGATCTCGAAATATTCCTAATTGACTGAATCTAAATTTCTAGACCCTTGTGGGTACCAAATCAAAATAAAAACAACTTTTGCGGGGGGAGGGGAGAAAAAAAGGATATTATCAGCATAATTATTTTTTAAGGAAAAAGTTCTGATTTTCATCTTGGTACATTAATCAAGTTCACTTTAAAACTGCTATAGGAATTCTTGAAAAAGAAAAATTAAAAATAATGTGCTATTGAAGGTTGTGAATATTTCTTTCATAGCATCTTATTTTAAATTTTTAGATGGATAAAATACAGACTCATTACCTGGGATCTTGCTGTAAGACCATTTTGATGCAAATTGCCTAAAGCTCATCAAATGATTGTTCCTAACAGCCTCTTCCTAACAGTGCCTGCCTGATTAGCTTTTGTTCTCATGTCTGACCAAAGGTTCTGGCATGGGTGGATGATCACATTTCTTTACTAATGAAAAATAATGGTCATAAAGATGCTACTAAGGACAGGTGTGTGACAGTTGAATCAAGATACATTGGTACTAAAATTCCAAGTATTAAGCAAAGCCTTAGAGAAAGACGAGAAGAAAGTAAGGAGCTGATTACTGGGACAATATACTGATTCCCTGTTAATTTCATAAAAATTAGTTCTTTATTCAATTCAAATGAATGAAACCCTTTCAGTGTTTAAGACAGGTAATTTGTCCACATGACTCACAAAGCAACATAAGAAAACAATAAAAAGTACTACTTGCATCTCCAATCCTATCTGCCCTATCCCTTCCTCCAATAATCACTTTTATTAATTTCTTGTGTCTTCTTCCAGAGTTTCTTCATACAACTATAAGCAAATACGAAGAGATACTATTTTTCTTTCCTATCCAAAAGGTAGTCTGCTGCATTGTTGTCCTGACATGAAAGCTCTTCCAAGTCAGCTCATAACTTCCTCTGTTTTACAGTTGTAGAGTATCATATTGTAGAGGTATAGCATGTATTTAACCAAACCTCTACTGAGAGCCTTTGGGTGGTTTCAGTGTATCTGTAGAATAACACTAAAGTGGGATTGCTAGGCATAATGGGTTGAATTGCGTCCTCATCCACAAAAGATACAATGAAGCCCTAAACCTCAGTACCTCAGAATGTAATCTTATATTTGGAAATAGGGTCACTGTAGATGTAATTAGTTAAGATGAAGTCAGATTGGAATAGGGTAGGCCCCTAATCCAATATGACTGGTGTCTTATGAGACGATGGCCATGTGAAGACATAGAGACAAACAGGGAGAACACACTGAAGACAAAGGCAGAGACTGGAGTTACGTAGCTGCAAGCCCAGGATTACCAAAGATTGCCAGAAAATCACCAAAAGCTAAAAAGAGGCAAGGAAGGTGGTCCTATAGATTTCAGAGGGAACAAGACCATGCTGACACCTTGATTTCAGACTTGCAGGCTTCAGAACTGTGAGATCATACAGTTTAAAACTGTTGTTTAAATCAGTAAACGTATTTGTAATTTGAATAGTTGTTGCCAAATTACCCACTCTCCGCATAGGGACTGTTCTCATTTACACAGTTACGAGCAAAATATGAGAATGTCTGCTTTCCTGCAGCCTTACAACAGAGTGTATCTCTAATCACACAGGTGATTTTAATGTGAAATCTCTTACTATGATAAATTTAATCATCTTTTCATATGTCTAAGGCCTGTTTGCATTTCCTTTACTGTGAAATGCCTTTTTCATATTCTTAATCCATTTTTTGGTATTGTTCATCTTTTTTTTTAACTTATTAATTTCTAGGCACTCTTTGGTCTTTATGTGTTAAGGGAATAAGCATTTTGTCTATGACATGAGTGAAAATTTTCCATCAGTTTGTCATCTGTCTTTTAACCTTGTTTCTGGTGTTGTTTGCATTTTTTTTTTCCACAGAAATTTTTAATACTGGCACAATTTGCTGGCACTGAATGGACACAGTACTTAACACATTAGATTCATGTGTGATAAAACAAAGTTTACAGAACACTCACATCCAAATCAAGTATTTATAGCATGATTCATGGAACTACCTCACTGTTTAGATACTACTTACTAAACATCTCTCAGTGGGGAGTAATCGGACCACGAAGACAGAAATGGATTAGGGTTAAAGGAAGGACTGAGGGGAAAACATCAGAGAGAGTGTAAAACATATAAGATCCCTTAAAATAACTCAATAAGCTTGAAGTCATTGTTAAGTGACAATAACATTGAAATGGAAATAACATTGTAAAAAAATCAAAGGGAAAGTAAAGAGATACGTGCTGTTTTAAGAACATCCTTCTTCTCACAACCTGAATTCATAAAGCTCATGTTTTAAAATATGAAATTACTCTGTGCTTAACAAAGAGTTCTGCTGTAAAGTAACTTTAAAAAGCATTTCCCAGTAGGAAATAACAGCAGATTTGGAATCAAAGCTTGAGTACAAATCCCTTGTCAACCCCTTGAGAGAGTCATTTAACTGTGTGAACCATGAACTACCTAAGATTCTACTGTATTACCTGCATATGGAGATAATTAACATCTACCCCATCCCAAAACTGCTGGGCCAAAGCAGGTATCAAACTGCTTATGTCATAAAATGCTAAATAATCTGAAGTCATGTGATTATTCAAGAAAAGGAGTGGAATCCAATTTTTTAGAAACACATCTATCACATGACAGAAATGCGATGACAAGTTACTTAGACTCCAGAAGAGGTTTGTGGGAGATTTTAGAGGAAATTGCATAATTGAAATTATGGTGCCCTAAGCATACAGTGAAGATGACAAAAGGGAAAAGAGCTGCAAAGTACACAAATGGAGTGTTTGGTATGCTATAGAGCTCCTGGGCCCTCCTTCACAATCCCAACCTTCCAAGCTGATGATTCTCACATGGCATCTGGCCTATTGGTAAAAGATGAATGATTTACCTTTCTTAATACTGCTTTTCACCACAACCAAAGAAAAGGGCCCACATCGTGACAAAATTAAGATCTGTGCTTAATTTAAAGTATCCTGGCCGAGGCGGGTGGATCACTTGAGGTCAGGAGTTCAAAACCAGCCTGGCCAACATGATGAAACCCCAACTCTATTAAAAATAAAAAAAAAATTAGCCAGCTGTGGTGGCGGATGTCTGTAATCCCAGCTACTTGGGAGGCTGAGACAGGAGAATTGCTTGAACTGAGGAGGCGGAGGCTGCAGTGAGCCGAGATCACACCACTGCACTCCAGCGTGGGTGGACAGAGCGAGACTCTGTCTCAAAAAAAAAAAAAAAAAAAAAAGTAATCCTTATAAAGTGATCCTTTTAAAGCCAATCTATGAACTTCTCAAGGCCAAAAACAAGTTTACACTCAAAGCCAAGGGAACATGCAAGGACCAAGACTGTGCTCTCACAATGTATACATTTCCATACTTTATGTAGACAAACAGCTCCACAGCCAGACTGGATATTATGTTACAAATAATACATACATACCTATGCCACAACTATTATTTACTCTGAACAACAAGCTAGACACCTGTATGTTTCCAACTTTCTCTCTTTAATAAAAAATAGGTGAATAAATTAACAGGGACTCTTCTGCTTCCTGACCAATTCACAGTGCAGCCTACTCTTCTACTAGATGAAGACTAAAAATAATCTTGTGCAGCCTTTCTTTCCACTCCATCATCTAGTTTTTATTAAACAACATATGCAAAATGTTCACACCAGATTTTTTTTAAAGCAGACACCATGTTAAACTGCATATCCCTCTCACTTGACAGAATTTTTTACTTTTCAGAATTCTTAAATTGAAAAATGTAGGAATTAAGCGAAAAATGCCCATCAAACGAAAGGAGCTTTCCTGAACTTCCCAATGGAATCAGGGGGTGGGGTGTCCTGGTGTCAACTGTCTTGAGTGCCACTGTCCTCCTCATGTTGCCCCACTGCCCCACTTCCCTCACGGCATATACTTCCTGATGAATGTGGACATCCAGCTGGTGACTAACAACGAGCAGAATTTGGCCAGGTCCCCTATGCTGTACCCTGATATGCTAAGTTCAACATGTACTTATTGACTCAACAAACTGTAAGGAGGACTCATTATACGCAAGATAGTGGAGTACTTAAAAAAGGACCATGACAGCCGGTGTTCTCTAGGAGCTCACACTCTGGTTTAAATAATAATACAAGTTCCTAAGAACCCCAATTAAAAGCTCTCACCAAAGCAGCCACTGGGAATCTTACCACTGTCGTGAGACATGAGGAATTATCTGTTGTGCATTGCTGTCCATTCCATGGACTTGGCCTTAACATCACATGCTAGCTCCTCCCATCAAAGGTCACAGTATCGTATGTGGGCTTATTCAGGCAAAGCCATCTAGAAAATGACCTTCCTAGTTCATTAAGATGAAGAAAAAGGTGAAAAAGTTGCAAGTTCACTAGCAATTTGCTGAGTAGCTATAGTGCCCAACTCTGGGGGTGCTACTTCCACAGAAACTGTATTGGCAGTTTGAGGCTGGTAAAAAGGTTAGGCAAACTTCTAAAGACAGAGATTGCTACCTCTGGAGAGAAACAATATGTGAGGCCAACAAGACTGCCATAACCTTGAGTACTGTATTAATTTGTGGCTTTTATCATAGGTACCTGGGGCACATCAGAGATCTTGACAGACAACCAATCAGAACTTTCCTAACCCTGTGTGACTACAGAACTGAATGACTTCTTGTAGTTTTTCATTTCCCCACATTTGACAAATGAACTGTTGCACAACATAGATTTCCAACTCGAAAATGTGGTGATTCAGTGGTTTTTCACTGTTTACTTATTTATTTATAAGTACTGGCAATAACACAAGGAACCAATGATTTGAGCTCAGCCAATATTGTTATGTTCACTAGTACTGTCAATATTTACCCTAGGCCGGGTGTGGTGGCTCACGCCTGTAATCCCAGCATTTGGCGAGGCTGAGGCGGGCGGATCACAAGGTCAGGAATTTGAGACCAGCCTGGCCAACATGGTAAAACCCCATCTCTACTAAAAAGAAATACAAAAATTAGCCGGACATGGTGGTGTGCACCTGTAATCCCAGCTACTCAGGAGGCTGGGGCAGGAGAATTGCTTGAACCAGGGAGGTGGAGGTGGAAGTGAGCCGAGATCGTGCCACTGTACTCCAGCCTGGGTGACAGCAAGACTCCGTCTCAAAAAAAAAAAAAAAATTTACCCAACAAGAGCTTTTATGTTTTTCCCTTGAAATATATGATGATATATTTTTAGTTTGAGTAGCATATTTTTAGGGGTAGAACATAAGCTAACTTAAACTTTTCCCCATTGGGTGGGTCAGGCATGGTGGCTCATGCCTGTAAGCTGAGCACTTTGGGAGGCTGAGGTGGGAGGATTGCTTGAGCCCAGGAGTTTGAGACCAGCCTGGGAAACATGGTGAGACCTCAACTTTACAAAACATAAAAAAATTAGCCAGGTGTGGTGGCATGCACCTGTAGTCCCAATTGCTCAGGAGGCTGAGGTAGGAGGATCACTTGATCCCAGGAAGTTGAGGCTGCAGTGAGCTATGATCATGCCACTGCACTCTAGCTTGGGCAATAGAGTGACACCCTGTCTCTACTACTACTACTACTACTACTAATAATTTTTGCCACACTGAATTTTCACATACTAATTTTCCATTTTCTCCTCTTACTGTCTCCCTCTAATTCTCAAGCCAATTCCTTAGCACCAAAGAGAATTAAAATTGAGAAAGTTATGATTCTACAGAGGCAAAAGAGCAAGGGAATTATCCTTTGAAAAACTTAAAAAAAATTAATCTTCTGATTCTGACAGGATTGGATATGTAATTTTGACTGTATTTGCTAAACTCTTTTTTTTCTCCTTGGATACCAGTTTTTGAGAACAGGAGACTAGGGTTTTGGAAGCCACTACTCTAAAATAGCATCTGAACTCCTCCTAGGATCTGACTGGCAAAGCAAATAGTTAACAGCTGTGCTGACCTTTTGCTACTAAAATAGTTACTGGTGTGAAATAATATTACCTTATGATGGAAATGGGAGGAAATTAAGACAGAAGAAGGAATGGACAGATAGAAGATGAAGGGTATGGGAAAACAAGAGAAAACTATGTAGAAGGGGAATGAGAAAAATTCTATAGCAGAGGGAGAAACAAAAAAGTTTTCTGAACACATGGCCATCCTATTAGGTTCATATAAAAGTAACTCTGGGCTCTTTGTGAATAAGCATGCTTCAACACAGATTTTAATTTTGCATAGACCACGTCTATGTGATGCCATGCCCTGTTCCCTCTTGACTCTCTTTAGCTTCCTGGTGCCTCAAGGATCCTCTGCTTTTTATTTTTTCCCTTCCTCTTCTTTTTTGACTGCTCTGTTCCCTTAATAATTGATGTTCAGGTTATAAGTACCCATGATTATTAGCTATCCTCTTAAGAAATATCCTTTATAAATTTTGGGTTCTATGGCCTTTTAAAAACATCTTAATAATTAACTGGATATTTTTAATTTTAAGCTTTCTTTCTCCCTTTGTTCAGCTTTCAAAACGAAAATTCTCTTTTCTAAAACTGCCTCCTATTCCCTAGCCTTTGTTTTTCCTTCTAAGAACACTGATTTCTTCTGCTTCTTTTCCAATTTGCTAATGTAAGTTTCTAAGATTCAAATACAGAATGGAAAGTACACTTACCACATTAATAGGAGGTCTTTTGAAGTAAAATGGTAGTTTCTCTGTTACAGTTATGCAGACTAAATCCACATCTAAATGTGTGCAAGCAATCTGTAAAGAAGAAAAAAATAGGTAAGGCCAAAAGGAAAATTGGCACAAGTAAGAATGGGAGATAGGGTCAAACTCGATATAAAGTATGGTTCACTCCATAGGTGTTTTGATGGTTCTGTGTTGAAATACATCTGACCTTTTACAAAGTCAACTGTTTTGCTACTCTTTTAGGTTTGGTTTAAATGGTTTAACTGTAATCCAGCAAAAGCGGAATATGTCCACAGACTTTCTCAAAAGATAGGGCCTGGAGACTCTCTAACTCATATGGTCTTCTACATAAGGATGGGTTGCAGAGCGAGGCTCAGTTTCTGGAAGGTTACTTCAGACTGTCCCAGAAAGAAGAAACTGACTATTCTAAAACCCAAGGAAAAAATAAGCCAAATGGAATGTATGCATAGTCCATTTATCCCACACACTATTTATTGAGCAACTCTGTGCCAAGAATTGTCCCAGGGCTGTGGCTCCTATCAAGTCTACTGAGTAGCTAAAGAAATATGAACACAGCACCTCATGACATTTGTTCAAATACTAATAGAAGGAATCTACATAAATAGTTAAAGCAGAGCTACTACAAAGCAAATGATAATGAATGCATTTTCTCAACTTTTAATTTCCCTTTCTGTTGTTTTAATTTTTGCTATGACTTGTTGAGTAATACTCTGCATTTTCTTCTCAAAGAGATTTGAAACTGTTTATGAAAACCACATACAAGATAAAATAAACAGATAAGAAAATCAGGATAAATGGAAAATCAGGGAAGAAAAATAAAGCTGGGAAAAGGTTACTAGTGTAGAGGGCAAGCCAGAAGACACTGCTGGAAGAAACATACCTGGCTCTGATTTTGCCATTATTTGATTTATAGTGATAAAAATATTTGGCTGTTATGTATTACATTAAAAACAAAGCTTACTGACAATGCTAGTGTGTACAGGCTTGACAGACAAATTCAAACTTCCAGGATGGCTACGCTGACAAACAACATCAGTGGCATGTACCAGGGGAAAGGGCAGAGTAAGGAAGAGTGGAGAAAATGACCTATAGGATTGGTGCCAACCTTCGGCAATGACAGGAATACCGTATCTTGCCCTTTTTCTTCAGAATCCCCACTTCAGTCACTCCTACTCCAACCCCAGGGCTTTAGGAAGTAGAGATCAGAGGCTGGCTAGCTTTAAGACAGTCATAGTAACTTAGTAAGCCTGGGAAGCAATGTTGTTTTGGCAGAAATACTTGGCTCATAAAGAATCTGCCCCATCCCAACTGCCACAGCTGTCCAACTCATAAAAGAGTCACTGAAAATTTAATAAGAGTGGATGAAGAAAAGCTCTGAATGATAGCTGAAACAAATTCAGCTCTGTTCACCATTTTTTATCGATCATACTGGCAAAGATAAAAAAGTTTGGTACTACCTTGCTGACATGAGAATGAATGAACAGGCACTCAAAAGGTCTTTAAATCAGTATAAGGTCTTGAAAAGCATTTTAGCAATGGCTACCAAAATTTTAAATGCACACACCAACAATTCTACTTATAGGTATGTAGTAGGTATAAGTGGAGTCTCCTATAGAGAAGTCTCTATAAGTGCAGAGACTCTAAAAATATATTACGTAGCTATATACCCTACAAAGGCTCAGGGGACATTAGTACAATGACAGTCATTGCAATACCAATCATGAAAGACTAGACACAATTAAACATCCCTCAATTTTACTTCAATTATGATCCCTTTATATGATGGAATATGCCAACTCATTAAAGGAAATGATGTACATCTCTAATGGATATTATGGAACAACCTCTAAGAAACTGTAAGGTAAAAGAAGCATGGTGTTAGGTAGGAAGGAAAGAGGAAGGGAGAAAGGGGAGAACAAAGGAAAAAAAGACGAGGTAAATAATATTTCTAAAAAGATACACAAAAACTATTACTAGTGGTTGCTTCTGGAAAAAATGGGGAAGGAATTTTAGGTGGAAGTAAGGCATACTTTTCAGTACCTTTGTACTGTTTAAATTAATCATTGTGAATGTAAATTATTTCTTCAGTTTAAAAAGGTGATTAATTCTTTAAAAGCCTGTTAAACATTCTCCCCAGAATAAAGCTAAATTAGGTTACTTTTTACTTACACATTGTTCCTTTCTTCCCTTTTCCTACATAAGAGTGGCCAATTAAACAATGGCTCTATGTTGGTTTAAGTACGTGCAAATACATGCATTATAATAAACTTTTAGTTACAAGGGACAGCTCCACATGGCTCCCTCTGACACTTCAACCTTAGAATGCCCCAAACTGAATTATTTTGTTATTTAGTTTTCTATTAACCAAAATGTTCAATCAATACTTTTAGATAACCACAAAATAAAAGTTAATGTTCACACTACAATGAAACGCTTTCTATATCATTTTAGAAGATTAAATTATGCCCAATAGAGCCTTGGGGTTAAGAATCTTATAATGGTTTTCTCTGAAAACTAGTAGGTTACATAATAATTCACATCAGTTGTCCATACCAATTTTTTTTTTTTTTTTTGGCCAGAGACTCCTATGACAATTTAAAGAAAACGTATTCCCATAAAAATGCACACATATATACACATCTTTGCCTCTATGGCACAAAAGGAATAGGACTGTAGGGGTTCATATTCCTCCCTGAATCCCTTTCAAAGGTATCAGTTTGATAAATTGTGAAGAGACAATCAGGCTTACCAAGGAAAAAGAGAGATGCCCATCAACAGTGGCACTCAACTTTAATGTGTACAAAACTCCCCTAAAGAATGTATCAAAAATGGAGACAACCAGGCCCTACCTCCATTGATTCATTAAGTATGGCCTAATGATCTGCATTTTAATAAATATCCCAGGTAATTCTAAAGCCAGTGGAGCCAGACCATACTGCAAGTAACACCAGGACACTCCCTTCCTCAAGACACTACAACAGTCCTCTGCAAAGGAAAGGCATGAATTTCAGGAGCAGGAAGAAAATAAAACTTTTATTTCCATTTACTTTTATTTTTTAAAAATAGAGACAGGGTCTCACTATGTTGCCCAGGCTGGTCTTGAACTCCTGGCCTCAAGTGGTCATCCTGCCTCGGCCTCCCAAAGTCCTGGAATTACAGGCACAAGGCACTGGATCCAGCCTCCATTTACTTTTTTCTTTGAGACGGAGTCTTGCTCTGTCATCCAGGTTGCAGTGCTGTGGTGCAATCTTGGCTCACTGCAAGCTCCGTCTCCCGGGTTCACACCATTCTCCTGCCTCAGCCTCCTGAGTAGCTGGGACTACAGGTGCCCGCCACCATGCCTGGCTAATTTTTTGAATTTTTAGTGGAGTCGGGGTTTCACCGTGTTAGCCAGGATGGCCTCTCGTGATCTGCCTGCCTCGGCCTCCCAAAGTGCTAGGATTACAGGCGTGAGCCACCATGCCTGGCCCATTTAATTTTTAATTCACTATCTTAAGATCTGTTTTGTGTGTATGTAGTTTTTATAAGGCACACTGGTATAATGAGAGATGCGAATAATTTATAAGAAACATATATATATTTGGAAGCAGGCTCAAAAATTTTTTAAACTGATAGGGTGCACAATCAAAGCAGGTTAGAGACCACTGGACTAAATAACCTGAATTCTCCTCAACCTGCTCAGCTGCTTTAAATCCTAAATGGGAATAATTAATTGGTCCAGAAGCTCCAGAAGCTTCTATGCAACTCTCTCTCTGTGTCATATTCCACAGCTGTCCCCCATCCCAAGGAGCCCTAACCAATGGACCCCCTCAAAATCTTTAATCTCTGCCTTATCTCCTTAAGTAGCTATGGAGAGGGAGTTTCTATGAGACATCTTCCGGATACTCTGAGTAGAAAATATAATGGTATATTATGTCCCATGGAAATGATGCTATTTAAGATGGTTCGATTTTATACTACTATTGACATAAACATGTGTCTGTCTGTGTGTGTATGCTTGATGACTCATCTTGGAGACCTAACTTAGTTTTAGAATACCATACCTACAGAGATAGATACCTGTTAGAATTCTAGATAATCAACTTACAAACAAAATAAATAAAATCACTTGTAGAATGTAACTTAAGACACAAACTGCTTGCATTTGACCTGATTCCAAACCATGATATACCTATAAAAGCTTTAAAAGAAAGATGTCTTTTAAAATTGATTTCCTATAGAAAACAAGGAGAACTCTAATTTCAATTTAATCTTAAGGAATGGGTAATATTTGGATAGAGAAGAGGAAGATGTTCCCATTTTTAAAACTGCGTTCTCATTTAACTTTTTGAGTATATGTGTAAAGTCAATACTTTGTGCTTTCTTCCATCTTCCAAAGTATTTTTGACAGGCCCATCTACTATCATCAAGCATGTGTTCACCAAATTCAAACTTTAAGTCTGAGAAAAACAGTAAGATAAACAAGTAAAACTATTATATGAAATTACAACATAGTCTAAAACCCAAAGTCCTATCTTTAGAACAAACTTGCTGGGAGATTTAGAGCAAATCACTCAGCCTGAATCTCAGTTTTCTCCATTATAGAATGAGGATAGTAATAAATATCTGTCCCAATTATCCTACGGGATTGTCGTAAAAGTTAAAGGAAATAAATATGTAAACGTTTTTGAAAGGTTTTACAAATGTATACCTTCTTTTGTTTCTCTAATCATCAGTAAAGGGATATGGAAATGTAAGTTGCATGATCTTCAAAATTAATCCAGAAATCAAATGTACAACAAAATACTTGGTACATCTGCAACTTTTATTCTAAATCACAACTGAGTTGCTATTATTTAATAAGCAAACTAAGTTGCTGTTGGTTTTGTAACAAACTTGGAAATGCCCATGGTCTTCCTTATATTAAACACTAGTGGTTTTGGCACTGAATTATACTTTCTTACAGAACATGAAAAAACAGATACCCAGAATCAACCCCAAATCTACTGGAACAAAGTCTCCAGTGGTGAGGGCTGAATGTGCCTGATTTTAAAAAGTTCTACAGGTGTCTTTTATGACTAAAAATCACTTGCTTCTACTTACCCCTTTAACTAAAACAAAATTCTTGAGAATATCTATAATTGCATTTAAAAAAAATTTTTTTGAGACACAGTCTTACTCTGTTGCCCAGGCTGGAGTGCAGTGGCACAGTCTCAGCTCACTGTAACCTCTGCCTCCTGGGTTCAAGCAATTCTCGTGCCTCAGCCTCCCGAGTAGCTGCGAGCGTGCCACCATGCCTGGATAATTTTTGTATTTTTAGTAGGGATGGGGTTTCACCATATTGGCCAGGCTGGTCTTGAACTCCTGACCTCAAGTGATCCACCTGCCTCGGCCTCCCAAAGTGCTAGGATTACAGGCATAAGCCACTGTGCCCGGCCTACAATTGCATTTTTTAAAGGAAGTAACAACAACAACAAAAAGAGTAGGCACTCATAAATAATTTGTGCTGTTTCTCTGTTAATATAAATAATTAAGAATTGACAGTATGTCTTGAAAACTATTAATGTTTATCGCACACGTTAGCATCCTTAGTCAACAGCTCCATCTACTGGATACATCTAGGAAAAACATCTTTCTGCAATTTTAGAATGAATTTTGCTTAAAAAAAAAAAAAACTGATGTAACATTAAAACCTCAAAGACCAGGCTGCTCTGAAGGTAGTCAGTTATCTTAATTGACTGTTCACAGTCAGTTATCTTAATTGACTATTCACAATCAGTTACAGGTTGAATTCCTTGTTCTACTCTTTCCCCTTTTCTTAATAGGACACTTGACTAGTCTTTAAAAAAAAAATCAAAGAGTAGTACCTTTGGTGGTTATATTTTTGGCAGATGGACATTTTAATGAACCTAGAAAAAGGCAACTTTCAGAAGTTTCTAAAAGTAGCTATACCTCATTTTATACTTTTGGCGGATGGACACTTTAGTGAACCTAGATAAAGGTAACTTTTGAACTTTCTAAAAGTAGCTATACCTCATTTTACACAGTAAAATGCATTACAGTTGTTTTTTCCTTACTGTAATCATTTAAAATGCCCAGGGTGTTCTGTCTCAAGGTGACAAACAAGCATACACGTTAAGCTCCTTTCCCTTCTGCAAAGGCAATGAAATGGCAATTTTACAAGTACAAAAGAAATTCAATTCATAAAGGCTCTCAAGATAAGAAGAGGGATTATACTAGCAAATGGCTGATTTTGAAGAATTTCTGAAAGACTAAAAGCTGAGACAATCATGCTGGCATATGGGCTATACCACAGAGCATGCAAAGGAGGAAGCCGAAACAGAGGTAGAAACTTTTATGCTACAATAGAACCTTGCTCCTTTCCCTCCCAAGGAGCAGCAAATGGTAAGAAGGGCAGAAACTGAAGTGATTTTAGAGCTAGAAAGAGATGGATCAACACTTAGCTAAGAGAAGTTTTGAATGAATGAAGCAGAGATAAAGAAACAGAAGAAAACGGGCTCTTTCAAACTGAGCCTATCAAAGGTTAGCAGCATGAAAAAAACAAAACAAAACAAAAAAACCACAAATACCAGTTATATATACCCTTATGGGGTTCTAGAAACTCCAAGTATAAATAACAAATCCTAAAAGTTTCCAGATGAGTCAAAACAGGTCATCTACAAAGTCAGAACATCAGACTTCTTATATAACATATATACACTACTTTCTTTTACTTATCTGTTACTCACATGAAAAAGCTTTTCTGTCTTTGGAAAAACTGCAACAACATCATAGAGCCGGGCCCTTGAAGAAGTTGCTCTCTAGGAATACAAAAAGAATGTTATCATACAATAACAAAATCCATACACATGAAATTCTGTCTAGTGATTGACTCACACTTATATTTCAATCATGGAACACTTCTAATATACTGACATTTCTGCTTTGCTTTGTATGTTGGCAGAAAAGACATAAGCACATGAGAATTTAGATACAAATATCCATCTCACCAATCATTCTCCTTCCTTCCTACATTTGTTATACTTTAACCATGTACCAAACATTGTGTCTGAGATGTAAAAATCAAATTAGGCTAGGTATGATGGCTTATGCCTGTAAACCCAGCACTTTGGGAGGCCGACGTGGGAGGACTGCCTGAGCCCAGGAGTTTGAGACTAGCCTGGGAAACATTGTGAGACTCCATCACTGCAAAAAAATTTAAAAATTAGCTGGGTGTGGTGGTACACACATATGTCCCAGACACTTGAGGGGCCTGAAGCAGAAGGGTCTCTTGAGTCCCATAGGTTGAGGCTGCAGTGAGCCGCGTTCATGCCACTGCACTCAAGCCTGGACAACAAAGTGAGACCTCATCTCAAAAAAAAAAAATGAAGAAGAAGAAAGAAAATATCATCTTAAACCTAAATTGTGTGAGTCTGTATATGAAAAGACTAGAAAAAAATACATTTATACACAAACATACAATCTCTGAATTATGGAATAAAGTGTGGTATTTCTTCTCTGCTTGTTGGCATCTTCTAAAATTTTGCAATCTCTTATTTTGTAAAAAGAAAAAGTATAATAAAAGTTAGGAGGGTATAAGAGAAGCAGCAGGTGCTGTGCTTGAGCAGGTAAGAGGGCCTGCTAGGCAGACTTGTGCTGAGGCAGGGCAGGGTCCAGGTCTTAGAAATAGCCAGGATCTGGGATTTGCTCTCCTTTACCTGCCCACTCCCACTTGTGAAGGAGACAAAAAGGAACCACCAAGATGTTCATGGTAACAAGAGTAAATGAAAGTCTTTACAACCTATCAAAAGTCAGCTCCATTTATGTCTACCTGGGCCTAAGGAACCAGAATGCTGCCTTGCAGGTGTGTAAGACACCAAAAGTTGGCTTTTCACAATTTCTTTAGCAATAGTAACTGTTATAAAGGGAGTCTTTCCTTAATTACTTCTATTATATGATGGAGATGTCCATCCCAGCTAAAGATGAAACAGTTCACCTTCTCAGGGAATCTCACTTTCTCTCTCCCCTGATAGTAGGCATACCCAAACCTCTCTCATTTAAGAAACAAAATCTCTTTATGCAGCAGATTCTTATCCACTAACCACCCTACGCCTCCCATTCTCCTATGGAGTCAAATTTCTTAAGCAAAGTCAGCAGCACAGTCTGCATTTTTCCACATCCCTATTATATCAATTGAAATGGTTTTTGCTAAGGCAGCCAAGGACTGTCACATCAATAAATCTGACAGACTTTTTTTTTTTTTGCCTGTCTGCTTGACCACACAGGTATACTGACCCTGCTGACCTTTCATTCCTCCTTTTCTGTTTTCCCTTTGCTTGCTGTCCTTCTACTTCTAGGGTAGTCCCTTCTCAGTCTCCAATCCTAGCTCATCCTCTTTCATACCATTAAATAGTGAAGTTCCTTAGGACTCTGTACTAAACCTCTTCTTCCCACAATGCACTTTGGCCAGGGAGTCTCATCCATTCCCGTGATTTCAATTACTCATGCAGGTGACCACTTCCAAAGCACCATCTTTAATTGGGATCACTCTTCTGAAGGCCACATCTTTTTTTTTTTGAAATGAAGTCTGGCTCTGTTGCGCAGGCTAGAGTACACTGGTGTGATCTCACTGCAACCTCTGCCTCTCTGGCTCAAGTGATTCTCCTGCCTCAGACTCTTGAGTAGCTGGGATTACAGGTACCCGCCAGCACGGCCTGCTAATTTTTGGGTTTTTAGTAGAGATGGGGTTTCACCACTTTCACCAGGCTGGTCTTGAACTCCTGACCTCAAGTGATCTGCCTGCCTAGGCCTCCCAAAATGTTGGGATTACAGGCATGAGCCACTGTGCACATCTTTTTTGACGGGCTCTTTTGAAACTCTCACAGTAACTCATCAGGATGCCCCCAAACCTGCTGGTTTGTATGGTCCGTCTCAGGAAATGGTACACCATTACCTACCTGGCTGCTCAGGCCACCTAGGGAGTAATCATCCTACACCCAATTAACCAATAAATCCCATCAATTCTCCCTCCTGGATGCCTCTTAAGTACCCTCCTTAACTCCCTCTAATCCATTCTCTGTAATTCAAACCTCATTTCACTCCCTTAGTTAAAACCTTCAAGGGCTTCCAACTGCTCTTGGAATCCTCACCCAAATTTATATCTTTAACCTTATGCCATGTAACCGGCTCACTAGGCTTAGCCCTATTGTTTTGTTTCACTTCCCAGAAAATACCACGTTTTCCTTAGCTTCAGGACCTATGCATAATCCATCCTATCTGGGAACATTAGCTCCCTGCTTGTCACCTATTTAACATTTACTGACTCTTCTGTCTCCCAGCTTGAATATCAACTTACTCAGGTTACATACTCCCAGAGCATCCTTTATTTACCACTTCCCTACCTTGGAACATTCCTTACATTTGTAATTATTATTTGTTCAGTGCTTGCCTTGCCAATTAAACTTTAAGCTTTATAAGTTCAAGGATTGTGCTATTATTCATGGCAATACCCCCCAGCACCCACCTTAAGTCTGGTGCACGTGAGTTCAATGAGTAACAGTTGCCAAGGGATTCTTTAATTGTGGTATCACTACACATGTGCCATGAGTAAGTGGAACAGACATATTACACTGTGTGAATTCTGAGGACAAGGAGAGCAAGCAGGTGTCATGGTTTGGCGGGGGCGAGGGAAAATGTAAAATGGGGAAGACAAAATGCAACATTGTTCAACATTAATCAATACAACTCACAAAGCCAAAAGGAGAGAAGAAAAATAATTAACTTACCAAAACATTGCAGTGAGATGGATCCGAGACAATAATTGTTAATCTAGTTAAAATTTTAATTGGTCTTGATTTTCCCTATTTAAAAAAGACATGATGTCAAAAAAGCACAAAAGACAATAATTGATTTTCCTTTTTACCAGTGGAAAGTATTCATTAAAAGGTACTGGCTATAAGGGATAGTGAAGATCAATAAAACCCAGTCCTTGTTCTCTAGGAATTTACAATACAGCCACAGAAAGAGATGTATATATCTTAAACTACATAACGAGATAATTTAAAAATTGTAGGACTTCAGGAAAGAAGATCATCAAAGCAATGCTGAATTGATAGTAAAAGAATGTTTCCTGAAGAGCTGAGCCTTGAGGAAAACGTTAAGACTGGTACTCAGAGTAAGGTGCAGCTCAAGCTAGAGAATAGCACAATAATTAGGTACCTTTTAACTGAATAAATAGATATTATGCTTCGTAAACAACAAAACACCTACCTGTACAATTGGCAAAGTTGTGAAGAGTTCAGAAACAGCTACTGGTTTTTCAATTTCCTACAACAAACGATAAATAGTTACTGCAGATTGTATCCATTAATAGCACAAGGCATAATGGAAAAATTACGAGGTGTTCTCAGAAAAAATATGCATTTTTTTTAAAAAGAAAGCAAGGTGATTTCTGGTATTCAAAAAAACTTTTAAAAATTATTTTTAAAAAGAAAGCTAAATAGAGAAGCAACTGTAAACATCAGTGAATAGGAAGAATGAAAACTAATTTTTAGACTGAAATAATCTACAGGATACAGTTGTTGGCCTAAAGAGAAATATACATACTTATTAGTAATGTTTAAGAGAGAAAGTAGTTAATAAGCCCATGACAATAGAATAAAAAGGACTAAATATTTTGATTACAGTCCAGCCAATAACAATGCACTTTTTGAACAGTGAAAAGTAACTTAATTTCAAATCACCTTTAAGAATCCTGAACACTATGTCATATTACCTCACAAAAATCATCATTGTATAAATATGCATCAGCTCGACTGTTTCTATATAAAATAGAAAAGTAGTAGTGCACAAAGGGGTGCATTTAAGAAATATTCTAATCTGTAGCTTCCAAATTACCAATACAAACAGAATTACAAATACTTATTTATGAACTTATTAACTTTAGAAATATTATTTTACCTGTTTCTTTTCCTTAAAGTCAACGATATGATTGATAGCAACAACTGAATAGCCAACTGAAAAAGAAAAATTGAACACTTTTGTTAAATATAACAACCTCTCCTTCCTGTAACACAGGTCCATCCTGAGTCTAGATGTCAAGAGTAGGAGGACATTTGAGGAGTGGTTATGAATGTGAACTCTAGTGTCAGTCTGCCTGATTTAAAGTCTATGCACTACCACTTACAAGTTACTTAACATGAAGTTTCAGGTTCCTCATCTGTCAAATGGTGAAAATAACAACACTTTCTTCATACACTGTCATGAAATTTAAATGAAATAATACACATGAGGTGTTTGAGAACAGTGCCTGGCACACAGGTCTTTGTTTAACCATTATGAATTATTATTAAAATGATACTAAAGACTCTTAACTTTGTGCTTCTCCTTTTCAAATGTCATTCTCTTTCATGACCCTATATTCATTTTTATCCCATCAAGTTCCTACTTTATCACTGTCACTTTTATTCCCGTTCATTTCTTTTGCTTTTTATCCTTCTACTTCCTTCAGAGACTCCTTTCCTAAGGAGAAATGGAGTGATAACTCCCTCACACCACTGCCCGCTTCCCATTTTAAGCTGCACACCATCGACAGACTGGGAGCTCCTTGAGGTCAAGGGCTTGCTTTATTATCCTCATCAGTTAGCACTGTTCTGGACATTTGGGCTACCAAAAAAAAATCTAAATCATGACTCCCATCTTTAATTTTTAAAAATACCAATGGGGATGAAAGGATATTAACATTAAAATACATATCAATGCCAAACTCTCAACAGTTTGTCCAACTTCCTTCTTCCCTTCCTCCCTCAAATATTTACTGAGCATCCATTACTTGACAAGCCCTAAACTGGTGTTGAGCATACAGGATAAATAATATAATCCTTCTCCACAAGAAATTTACAGCCTAGTCTGTTGGAGAACGAAGGCAAATAAGGCAATTAAGCAAGTCATTGTATATAAATACATGTTTTTTATAAGTAAGGATTCTATGGAAGTACATAGCACAGTGAAACCTGGTGTAGGGGTCACAAAAGGCTCCCTGAAGAAAGTTACCCTTAAAAACAAAAAAAAAATCACAAGTATGCCTGTACCTTGGGCTTCACCTTGCACCCAGTTAGTCAAATCAACCAGCCACACCTCCTCCCTATTCTTCTTTACCACACTCCCAAATCTGCTCTAAACTTCCTTGTTATACCCATTTAGGATATCCTTTTGGCTACTAAACAATGTCCCTACCGTTCTACAGAAATGTCAACTAGGATCTGTTTCTCCACAAAACTTTTTCCTAGACTACTCCTCATCTGGCAGCTTAGGAGTACTTACTTCCCCAATCAGGCTTTAGGGTATTTTAATTTACACAGTATATTTCTGAAGCTTATTATTGGTTTCTTGTATCACATCAGAAACTGAGAACCAGGGCTCTGTCTTTCCTATTCTTTGCAAATGTCCACTATTTAGTTCCAGACTCATCAAATAGCAGAGCAGTCCTTTGTCTTTGACTTGTAAGTTGAGGCAACTTTATATGCCATGAATTCCATTTAATTTACAAACAAATAACCACTAACAATGTACATATATTACCACACCTCTTCCAAGTGTATTTTAAACTGGGGGAAATTCTCTAAAGAAATCATTATTAACTTTTCTTTTTTGTATTAATTTTTTTAATGTGTTCAGTTTATTCCACAAGCATTAACTGAGTAACTGCCATGTACTGGTGCCTGCAGAGTGAACGTGTTAAGCACAGTAAATAAAAGGATAAGACATGGCAATTCTCTTAGGAAGCTCATGATTTATTCAAAAATGGGATGGCGTCAGGAAAAGCCTCATTGAGGAGGTAATAATTGCGACAAACTACACCTAGGAAAACTTATTTTACAGGATCAAAGAACATTAGCGCCAAATGGCCCAGATCATCATGTCTACTTTCGTCTTCGTGCTGATGAGCAAAGTACCACAGAGATAACGTTCATTTAGTGGCAGCAGTGGAAAGGGACAGTCATTTCGCCACGGATACTTCATAAAGAGAACAATAAAAAAGTGGTGTGATTCACTTTGCCAAGAAGTGGTTGTCATTTCTAGCACCACCTCTGAACAGTATCAGTAATCAGAACTCACAATGAGCTGAAAACTGTCTCTGAGGAGCAGATGTTACTACACGAACCTCTTGATTCTTTTTAATCTCTCTATTCCAACACTTTACAGTCTACGGAATACAGAACCCATGACTAACTCCAATAGTTAAAACAGGTTCTCGTCTCTCAAGGCTTTCGCTTCCCTTCGATTTGGGCCATGCTATCCTCCTCCTCCACCTCCACTCCGCTGTGTATGTCCTCTGCCCCCACCTACCCTCTCTCTGTCTAGATAGTATTGTTCCAACACTCCCACGTCCTCCTCCTTCTCCGAGCCTCCACGGCGCTTCCTGTCCGTGCCCCAAATTCCAGTATTTGTTTAGACACTGTCGTGAGAATCAGGAAGGGCTGATAGTAACTTAGAAGCTTAGAAGATTGTACCCTTGGAGTCCAGCTCCGGCTTCTGTCACCTATCAGCTGTAGGCCCCTATGCAAATCCCTCGCCCTCGTTAGGCCTCAGTTCCCTCATTGCAGGAAAGTAGCTGAACCAGATAACAACCCCCAGAACCTTCGAGTTTCCCGCGCTAGGAATCAGACCAACACCTCGGCGGGCATCAGCCTCCAGGGACATCCCAGAGACTCTGGGAGACCTGACCGAGACCCATCAGGAAATAGTTACTCCGGAGTGTGGCCCGATGGTCTGGGTGGCATGAGGTTGGCCAGGCGCGAAGCCGGGGCAACTCACGGTGAGCGGCTGTCTCCACAAGTCCGCGCAGAGCCTTCAGGTCAGAACCCGCTCGCAGGTCCAAATCTGCAAACACCGCCATGCTGAAGTCCCATGACCGTCCGCGCGCGCCAGTCTGCGCAGCCGCTGAGCCCGCCCCTCAGGCATGCTGGGAGCTGTAGTTAACCTGCGCAGTCCGTCTCTACCTCCAGTTGACTAGGGATTCGGAGAAACTTACTTGCTTTGCTTTCATCTACCACCAGAATTTGTGTGTTGAAATCAACAGCTTCATTTCAATCTCTCTTTGTCTTCTTCTGAACGACAATGTTTGGTTCCCCCTGGAGGGGTTCCAATTCCCAACTATTCAATACTCCTATAAAATAGTGTAGAAATGAATTCATTCAAAATGCACGCACACGGTATCTACTTAGTGCTGCTCATGAATCAGAGAATTCTGCTAATGGGTGAAAACGCTATTTAAAGAGTCTTAAAGAACACGTTTTCCTTTCCTTTCCCTAAAGTCCATTCCGTTGTTTACAATGGACTTACCGGGAAGAAGGCGTTTGTGTGTGACGGACTCTAGGACTTCAAAAGAGAACTACCCCAAGACGAGGGTCTTTTTACCCAATCAGAACTGTTGATGTCAAAGCCCGCTATTCTCTGTGGCAGTCAACATCTTCAACCACAAGATGGCGGGACTCGCTCTAGGACGAGCGGTTAGAGCCAACATTGATTTAGCCAAAGACATGTTTGAAAAGGGAGGTGCAAAATTGAGATGTTTTACACTTTTCCAGCTGAGAAATGTACAAGGTGACGCATATCCCACATATCTGATGTTTCCACTTTTTTCCGACTTAGTGTAAATGATCTATTGAGGATAATAATCAATTATACTACAAAAGTGTGACTATAGTTTACATCAGTGCTCTCAAACTACCTGTGATGAAGGATCAGTTTCTCCCTCCTTTTCCTCTACCCCCAAACTCTTCGCGAACCAGGATGTGGTCCTTTATGCATTACCAGTAAGCAGCCTGGCCTCATGGGAATCACAAATTTGACAACACTCGAACTGCCCTATACCTGGCTGAATAGAATCTGCTGATCAGGAGCTTGGATTATCAGGACAATGCCAAAGTACTGTAAACTTTCTAAACATCTTCACTTTTTGTTTGTTTGTTTGTTTTATTAACGTGCGCACAGCAACAACAATCACAGAATTAGAGGCTCGGTCATTTGACCTAGGGAGTATCCTAGTTGGTGGCCTGCTGAGTTTTCGTTTCGTTTTGTTTTGTTTTTAGAGAGAGTATCTCGTTATTGACCAGGATGGACTCTAACGCAAGCAATCCTCTCTCCTAGCTGTGATTACAGGAGCCCACCCACATGCTTCACCCATCAATTTCTCTTATTTACTGATCACAAACAGTTCACAGATAGTCTCTCGTCTATGGACCACACCTTAACTAGTACTCCTTTATGCGATTTTCTTGTCGGTCTCAGAAGGGAGGAAGGATCTGTTCCATGCAGTAGCATGCAATTCTCTTCTTGGTTAACTTTTGTAAAGAAGAGATATTTTGCCTTTTCCAGTACTTGATATTTCCTAAGTGGGAGTAGAAGAGAATATTACTTCTGCAAATAGAATAAGGTCATATGAAGCAAACGCTTTGTTTTTCATGAGAATATCTAGTGTTAATTTTGCAGGGTCACACAGGCATCATCACCTATGACCATAACAATCTAGATTGGTCAGAAATATGACCAATGTGTGGTGAAGGTGAATAAGGTGATAGTTCAATTATTTTTTCATTTTTAGTTGACACATTGTAATTATACATATTTATAGGGTACAATTTCATGTTCTGATACATGTATATGTTGTATAATGAACAAATCAAGGTAATTAGCATATTCATCACCTCATGCATTTTTGGTGATAACATTAAAAAAAACTCTTCTAGCTGTTTCGTGATATATAAACAATACCTTACTGTTAACCATAGTCACCTTGTGTGCAATACAACATCAGAACTTATTCCTCCTATCTAACTTTGTACCTGTTGACCAACCTCTCCCCATCCTCCTCCCTCAATCCCTCCCTCAATACCAATCAGTTGGCTATAGGTGCATGCATTTATTTTTGGTCTCTCTATTCTGTTACATTATTGGTCTATGTGTCTGTTTTTCTGCCAGTACCATGCTGTTTTGGGTACTATAGCTTTGTAGCATATTTTTAAGTCAGGCTTTGTGATATCTCCAGCTTTGCTCTTTTTGCTCAGGACTGCTCTTGCTGTTTGAGGACTTTCGTGGTTCCACACAAACTTCAGGATTTTAAAAAATATTTCTGTGAGGAATGTCATTGGTATTTTCATAGGGATTGCATGGAATCTGTAGATCGTTCTGGATAGTATGTCTACTTCAACAATATTATTTCAGTTCATGAACATGGGATATCTTTTCACTTATTTGTGTCATCTTTATTTCCTTAATTTTTTTTATTGTACAGATCTTTCACCTTCTTGGTTAAGTTTATTCCTAGGTATCTTTTTTTGTAGCTATTGTAAATGGAATTGTTTTCTTGATCTTTTTAGATAGTTCCCTATTAGCATACAGAATGCTACTGTTTTTTTGTATGTCAATTTTGTATCCTGCAACTTCACTGAATTTACTTGCTAGTTTTAAATGGTGGAGTTTTTTTGGGGGAGCCTTTAGGGTTTTCCATGTATAAGATCATGTTGTCTGCAAACAGTAATGATTTGAGTTCCTCCTTTCCAATTTGGATGTCTTTTATTTCTTTTTCTTGCCTAATTGCTGTGGCTAGGAGACTGTTTAATTATCTGATGCTAGTATGAGACTAAAGTGGGCTTCTTTGAAAGTCACAGAACTTTTGCTGTGGACTGTACCATATAAACTTCTTTTCTTCTCTGCACCCTAAGCCTGGGTGAAGAGGAAGAGAAGAGGTAAGAAAGAATAGGAATAGATAACAATCAGTATTTAGCACTATACTGAGGGCCAGCGAATTTGCTAAGTACTTATGTATGTATCTTATTTTCAAAGCAGCTGTGTGTTAAATGCTGTTTTTTATTTTTGTTTTATTACTGTTTTCAGATCTAGACTTGCAGAAGTACTGTTTTTTACTTTTTGTTATTTTGTTTTTAAAATCAATATCCATTTTTTATATCTGAGAAAACTAAGGCATTATTAGTGGTAGAACTACATGTGGATGGAGGCAATTTGTTTCAGTTCTTGCCTAGTGTACTGCTTCCTGAGCAAAGCAAGCAGAGACTAGAGTTGTTTGGGAGGGAGGAGGAGAAGAAGAGAAAAGAAGAGAAGGGAGACCAGAGAGGAGAGAAGGAGAGTAGAGGAAAGGAGAAGTAGGAAGGGAGAAGGAAGGAAAGGAAAGAAGTGGAAGAGGGGAGAGAGAAGTGGAGAGAAGAAAAAGACAAGACAGAATAGGGGAGATGAACAGGGAAGAGGGGTCAGAAGTTGGCCTGAAGGGATGGCTGTGGCAACAAGTATCTGCACCTTGAAGAAGACCATAGAAATTTCTGACTGGAAGATAATAGTACTGTTTAAGACTGGTAGCAGTGGCTCACACCTGTAATCCCAGCACTTTGGGAGGCTGAGGCAGGAGAATCACTTGAAGCCAATTCACGACTAGCGTGGGCAACAAAGTGAGACCCTGTCTCTACAAAAAATAAATTAGCCAGAAGTGGTGGCACACACCTGTAGTCTGAATTACTGGGGAGGCTGAGGTGGGAGGATCCCTTGAGCCCAGGAGTTCCATGTTATTATACAATGAGCTATGGATTGCACCACTGCACCCTGGTGTGGGTGACAGAATGAGACCTGTCTCTTAAAAATCCTAGCTACTTGGGAGGCTGAGGCAGTAGAATTTCTTGAACCTGGGAGGCAGAGGTTACAGTGAGCAGAGATTGCACCATTACACTCCAGCCTGGGCAACAAGAGTGAAACTCCGTCTCAAAAAAAAAAAAAAAGTACTGTATAATTATGATAAGCATTTTACATCAGTTATCTGATTTGATCCTTACAATAGCCAATGAGAGAGATATTGTTATTCCCATTATATCAAGGAGAAGTCCTGGGCTCAGATAGGATGGCTCTTGAGTCATTTCTTCTTCTGCGGGAAGCCTAGAAAAAGAGGATGGTTTTTCACATCCAACGCAATCATTGAGCCCTTCTCATCCTCCCAGAAGAGCTCTCTTTTCTGGGCTGTGTGTGGGCTTGGGTGTGTGCTTGATTAGTCTTTGGCCTTATCCTAAGTTTATTCCATTCACCCCTCCTGAGTGAACTGAAAAATGCTCCACCCAACCCCTGTCCTCTTGCAGCTTAAGGCCGAGGGGGAGCCAGGCAAGAAAACCATATTATAAAATGATTTAGCCAGATGTATTGGGAGCACAAAGCAGAGATTTATCTCCCAGATTGAGAGGGAAGTTTGGGAGATCTGAAGGGAAAAAATGGCAGTTTCCTTGAGGGAGTAATGCTTGAATTAAATTTTGACACATGGAAGTGGAAGAGGAACATACATGAGACAGAGATCTAGGGTGTTGAGGGTATATCCAGAGCTGGCACAAAGTAGGTGGTACTCAGCCAAAAGTAACTGATTGAATAAATGAACTCATGGCCTCTTGTTTGACTTTGTTCCCATATCAACAGAATTGTAGCACTGTTGGATGTATTATTTAATCACCTGGCCAGAAATTCACTGAACTGTGCACATGGTGCACTAGTGTGATA
The DNA here is from genome assembly GCF_000001405.40 of Homo sapiens. NCBI lineage: Eukaryota > Metazoa > Chordata > Mammalia > Primates > Hominidae > Homo > Homo sapiens. The sequence goes on along the minus strand of NC_000010.11, from coordinate 90,867,337 downwards.
CACCAGCAACTGAAACAGAACCATCCTCTGTGTCCCACATGGTGGGACACTTATAGGAGCTCTTGGGGAGACTAAAAGAAGATGCCTTAACTCCAGGCTGATATTACAGTTGCCCTATTCATCACATATCTGGAAGTTTGTGCAGTGAACCATCTGCCCAGCCTTTCCCAGAAGCCCTCATAAAGCAGACCAGAGGGGTTAATTGCTAAACCTAGAACTCTAGTGGCACTCCATAGGACATCACCAATCCAGGGAGCTGCTCACAGCTCACAGTGATTCCTTCCTCATCTTCTTACCTTCCCCCAGAAACTCTTGTTACTGACCTGATATCATAAAAATTTGTCCACTTTCTGTGCTGGGGTAATCTGCCCCTGCTTGCAATATTAGTTTTCTTTTGAAGTGCAGGTAAATGAAAGTGAAATTTTTTTACACTCATGTTTCTATTAAAAATTGGAAAATGAGACAGATGTAGGCTTGTATTTACAAAAATTTGCATAAGAACATGCTTGATTGTGAAAATAAAGAGTAGTCCTACCTCTTTAAGATGTAAAGTGTGCCTGATTTTTTAAAAAAAATACAATTTAAGGAGCCATTATGAAAGAAATCAAAGGAAGAATTATGACTGGTATAGGGAAAAGATGCATGATGATAGACTTAAATGTAAAGAAGAGGACTGAAATTTCAACAGGATTTTTGAAAAACAAATAGAATAAATGATGGTATTAGGATTCTCCAGAGAAAAAGAATCAACGTGTTTGTGTGTGTGTGTGTAGAGTGACAGCGAGAGAGAGATTTATTTTAAGGAATTAGCTCAAGTGATTATGGAGGCTGACAAGTCCTAAGATCTGCAGTCAGCAAGCTGGAGATCCAGGGCAGCTGATGGTGTCATTCCGGTCTGAGTCTAAAGGCCCGAGAACCAGAATTGCTGATGGTGTAGTTCCAGGTAGGCTGGCTCAAGAAAGAGCTGACATTTCAATTTGAGTCCAAAGGCAGGGAAAAGCTGATGTTCCAGATCAAAGGCAGTCAGGCAAAGGAATCTTCCCTTTCTCAGGGGATAGTCAGCTTTCTGTTCAGGCCTTCAACTGATTGGATGAGGCCCACCCACATTAGGGAGGGCAATCTGCTTTTCTCAGTCTACCTATTCAAATGTCAATCTCCTCCAGAAACATGCTCACAGACACACCCAGAATAATGTTTGACCAAATATCTGTGCACCCCATGGCCCAGTCAAGTTGAAACATAAAATTAACTTTCACAGTGATGCTGTCTAGAAATGCTTACATATTAAGTGAAAAAAAAATTGCTCAGGCAACAAAAACTTTGTATCAAAGGCAAGTTTAAAAAGAAAGTTTATTGGAGGCAAAAGAAAGCACAAGTCCTAAACAGAAACTAACATTTACAAATGTAATATCTGTAGCTTTTACTGCTCAGTATGTTGTAAATATGGCTTAGAGCTTGCAAGACAAGTTATATGAAAAAACCTAAGTTATTTCTGGCATTTTTTCGTTGCAGCTGATAAGTGTATAGAAACCTAAAAGCTATTTGTGTTGGAGAGTATTTTGAAATGACTAAAAATTTTTTTTGGAAATGGCGCTTCAAAAAGGCACATTAGGAAGTAGCTTATTTTTGTGTATGGAGAAGAGGTTTTTTTTTTTTTGTTTTTTGTTTTTTTTAGAATTTTAAAGTACACTTTTCAGAATTGGTAACCATGGCTACGGATGGGACTCCAGTAGGGGTCAGTGTTACCATCAGACTTATGAAATATAAGCACGATGTAACAAGATTTTGTCAAGACACAGAATTTAAGCCAATTTATTGTACCATTAACAAGAAACCACTTTGAGCTCTAAATTTAAAAGCCATACCAATAATAGCTAAGGCACTAACCATGGCCCACACAGTTCATGCTCCAAATAGCTACAGTGGATGTTGAGAACTCAATTTTGAGCGGCTGAAAGAAATTTACTTATTAATGTCATCAAGGTTAAAATATCCATCTTGGCTCACCAGTGATGGCTGAATCAAAGATTTGGTTCTTGTGGTTGATGATATAACCCCTGCCCCTTAAAAAAATCATATAAGCAGATTTATTCATATATAACAAAATTACATCTTTGGGAAACTCATCTGGGTAGGAATGATCTAGCCCATTTTTTGCACTGAAACTGGTTTTCAGATATGAAAATTATGGACTAACCCTTTATTGCAGCACCAAATTGTGAAGTCGAAGACTATGATCCAAAAAAGACACTCTGATTTAAACCTTTAGACTTGATGATAATATTGCTTAATTTGCCTTTTTCAATTGCTACTGCTAGTGCGAATAAAAATTACAAAAGGAAGTTTTTGAACAGCAGTGCATTGTATTGAGAACTTAAAATGATAATATTGGAACACTAGAATTTTACAAATATCTTGCCAGTAATTAGTCTAAATTGGAGATTAGTAAACTATGGTCCATGGGTGAAATCCGGTTTGCCACCTGTTTTTGTATGCCTCGCAAGCTAAGAATCATTTTTAGATTTTTAAGTATTTGAAAAAACATTTAAATGTGTTATTGAACAATTAGTGTCAGTCAACAACTTATTTTAGAAAAATAATGTGACCCTTCTTGCGCAGAGTAAAACTCATACCTACCTTGCATGGCACACAGGTTTCTTTGTGATCTTCCCCAAAGGTCTACCCTTGCCATTTTCCACAGCTATGGCAAGTCTTCCATGTGTTTATGGACCCTGTCAGCGTTGCATTCTCCTTTCCTCAGTCTTCTAATGAACTTTCTACTCGAGCTGATATGTTAGCTCTGTGAATTTTTTGGTCTTTCCAAGCAGGGCTAATACCTCTTTCCTCTGGGCTCTCATACCTTTGGTTCATACCTATATTAGGAGACTTTCACATTGTACTGTAATTATTTACTCGTCTGTCTCTTCTACCAATGAACATCTGCAGAGCAGAGAACCTGCCTTATTTATTGACCCCAGCACTTAGCACAGTGCCTATTAATATGTAGCTAGGGCATGCTTATTGAATGACTAAAAGAATGGATCAGGCTGGGTGCAGTGGCTCACACTTGTAATCCCAACACTTTGGGAGGTCAAGGCAGGTGGATCACCTGAGGTCAGTGGTTCAAGACCAGCCTGGCCAACATGGCAAAACCCCATCTCTACTTAAAAATACAAAAATTAGCCAGGTGTGGTGGCAGGAGCCTGTAATCCCAGCATCTTGGGAGGCTGAGGCAGGGAGAGGTGCTTGAGCCCGGGAGGAAGAGTTTCAATGAGCCAAGATCGCACCACTGCACTCCAGCCTGGGCAATAGAGCGAGACTCCATCTCGAGAAAAAAAGTCGCAACAAATCAAATAAAATAATGGATTAGGCATAGTTTTTCCTAGAAATGGGATATGACTGTGATGGTAATTTTACTTTAAGATATCATTTTGTTGAATATAGAAGGATTCATAAAATTCTAAAGAAACTGTAGAATAAGATGTGTCCTATCACTTCTTCAATGAAAGCCTTACTTCTATTTTGATTATCTTGAAATACCACAAATCTCTCTAGATTTTGCCCCAATTACTGATTGCCCTTTTGAGTAAAACTACTCCAAAAGTTGTCCACCTTCTGAATTGCCATGTTCTGTCTTTTGATCTCTCGAATCCATTCCAATCTGTTTTACCCCTACCATTGCACTGAAACAGTTCTTGCCTTACTTTGCACTTAACTCAGTCAATTTCTACCCCCTTGAAACATTTTCTTTCCTTGACTTTAAATATCCAATTTCTCTTGGTTCTTCTCCTGCCTGACTGCCCCCTCATTCTCAGTCTTTGTTGGTTTCTTTTCCTCTCCAAGATCTCAGGATGTTGGTGCATCCCACGGTTAAATCCTCAGGACTCTTCTGTAACTACTTTTCCTCTTGGGAGATTTTCCCCTGAAATTGTATCTGCATAGCTGACATCTCCACTTGAATAATCCAATAGTATCTTAAACTTAATGTGTCCTTTTAAAACAGAGCTCCTAAAACAATATCTGGTTTGCATTAGACACTCATTAATTAATGTTGACTCAATGAATGATTGCTACTTTAATCTATTTTTTAATTGAGGAATTTAAATTTTCTTCTCATTAGAAATCTTTCAGGAAGGATTGGGAGCTGACAATGTCAAATGTGTTCATTGATAAAAACTTTCCATGAAAGTTGTCTCTGTGGAATTTGTGCTGCTGAATAGATTCCCCACTAGGGGGTATGCATGCACCACATACATTTCGAAAACAGTCCTGGTTAAGAAAAATTGAGTGATTAATAAAATAAATAAGGGCTCTTGGATGTAGCTGTTGTCTGATTTTTCATTTATCTTGTTTGGAGGAAACTTTTTAAAGGTTACCTTTATTTTGTAAAGAGAATGAAAATTTTCTAAATGGAAAGAATCAAAGAAAAAATGTTTTTATTTTTAGTATGTCTAAATTAAAACAAAACACAATTCACTTTTAGGCTGAAGAATTACTTTACAACATGAATGATTCTTGGTTATAGGCATTATTCTACACTCAGTTCAACTGACTAATGTTTATTGAACACCTAGTATATGGCAGGAGTAAGGAAATATCCCTCCCTTTGATAAGTTCACAGTCTAATGGGGAAGACAGTCATGGAAATATGAAGCATAATGCAACAGTAAGTACTATAATAAATATAATTTAAAAGTGCTTTAAAAGCCTACAAAGAATGAAATTAACTATGGCGAGGGGTGCTGTCACTGAGAAGGAGACATTCAGGTGTCCCAGACTAACTGCTTTTATCCTAACTGGGCCTCAAAAATGTCTGTGTTGATGGATTTGAGTCCCTGTCTCTAGCATGTGTGTTCTCTGTATTAGTGATCTGTAGCCCCAATAAAGGCCACAGGGTAGTATCTGGATATTTACTTACAATACTCTTAGTACTACACTGTCTAAGCATTCTAGTTTCCCTAGTCTTTTCTCACCCAATTCTGGGGGCAAGGGACACCCAGATAATTAGTCTAGTTGAGTGAGGAAATGGGGTACAAATGTGAGAGACTGAAAAATTTGGAGAAATGAAAGAGTGGCCCTGTGGAAGTCCGCTGCACTGGGCATGGGAGGCCATCAGACCCCCGATAGACATGATATCAGCATGCTTGACTGACTAGTGAGTTGCCAATGAACCCTATGGCTTAGGAAGCTTTTTTTGTGCTTCTTAAAGTACATCTAGGTTGTCAGGGTATGAAGGTTTATGGGAAAACAAACTATCCTAAGCTTATGTCCTGTGGAGGGATATGTGTGGGTTTTCATAGATGGGATTACGCATATGCATTTAGATGAGCTAGATGAGTACCTAGAGGGAAGAAGGGCTGATAAAAAGACAGTAACTATGATGTAGGACTCCACAGCTCTTCTGCACTCTCCGAGAGCAGTTCTTAGAGCAGGAGATTGCCAGATTGCCAGTTGGAAACCTCAGAAAGCTGTATTCTCAGGTGCCCTCACTGACAATCTTATGAGAATGCTATTGTAGGCAATGAGAGTCTAGATAAGAATTAGTACTTTTAAAAGCAGTAATTTTTTTAAATGCTAGGAATAAAAGGGACAGAAAATAAAGACATGATTTGATTTAGATGCCAACACTTTACTTACTGTCTCTGGTATAACTGTTGAAGAGTGGGTGGGCAGCGGGAGGGAAGAAGGAAGCAACACCTTGATATGGCTTTTAAACACCAGAAAACTAAGGGCAGAACAAACAACAAATTTAGATGAATATTTAGATATTTTATGAATATTTTGTGAAGCTATATCTTTGGCATTTCTTTGTGAGAAAATTACAGAAAAGTATACACTAGATTTTGGCATTTTTATGAGGACACAATTATTTGTTAGTGAAGGTTAAAGGGAAACTGAAAGAATTCCAGATTGCTCTGTCAGGATTTTGGAATAACACAATGATAGATGAAATTTAAACTCAACATAAGCAAAGTAATGCTGCAGAAGCCGAGATTTTCAATAACTATGTTTATGCATTGTGACAGCTTATAAATTAGAAACCTAGCAACTCTTAGGAAATACACTCAGCCATCACTAGGGATAATATAACAGAGGTGACTGTTCTATAAAAAAGGGAGCTTGGACTTGATGCTATATTGACAATGAAGGAGGTAGTAATTTAAAAAATAGTATTTTAATGATTATTTGCTGTATTTATATGTCACACAATTTAAAAGTTGTTATGGAATAAACATTTGTTTCCTCCAAAAAATTGGTATGTTGAAATCCTGCTCCCCATTGTGGTGGCATTAGGTGTGAGAGAGTATCTCATTGTGGTTTTGATTTGCATTTTCTCTGATGGTTAGGGATGATGAGCATTTTTTCATGTTTGCTGGCCACCTGTATGTCTTCTGTCGAGAAGTGTCTGTTCATGTCCTTTGCCCACTTTTTAATGGGGTTATTTGTTTCTTGCTTGTTCCTTCATTTAAGTTATAGATTCTGAACATTAGGACTTTGTCAGATGGGAGAGGGAGATGATTAAGTCATGAGGGCAGAACCCTCCTGAATGGGATTAGTACCCTCATAAAAGGGACCCCAGGCCAGGCTTGGTGGCTCATGCCTGTAATCTCAGCACTTTGGGAGGCTGAGGCAGGCGGATCACTTGAGGTTAAGAGTTTGAGGCCAGCCTGGCCAACATGGTGAAACCCGGTCCCTACTAAAAACAATACAAAAATTAGGCAGGTGTGGTGGCATGTGCCTGTAATCCCAGCTACTTGGGAAGCTGAGGCAGAAGAATCGCTTGAACCTGGGAGGTTGAGGTTGCAGTGAGCCGAGATCGCGCCACTGCACTCCAGCCTGGGTGACAGAGCAAGACCCTGTCTCAAAAAAAAAAAAAAAAAAAAAAAAAAAGAAAGAGAGACCCAGAGAGCTCTCCTACCCCCTTTGCCAGGTGAGGACACAGCAACATGGCTAAATTTACTGTTGCCTTGTTCTTGGTAAATGTTTGTTGTTAAGCCACCCAGGCTATGATATTTTTGTTATGGCATCCCAAAGGGACTAAAACAAGACAAAAGCAAAAACTAGAAGCTGTTGTGAAATATAAATGGGCTACGTGAGGGCTGTAAGAGTGTAGGTGGTAAATCATATTGACTAGAGGTTTAAATACAAATAAAATGATTAATTTTCAAAATCTGTGTGTAATTACTCTGGAATATTATTTGACAGAGCCAAGACAGAATATATAAGCTGAACTGATTAGGGTATTCAAGGGGAAGAATACAAAAGTCAAAATAAGTTAAAATGAGTTGAAAAGTTAAAATGAAAAAAATATCAAAAGTATCTTGGGGAATATACTACATGAAGGAATTTTTAAAAGACCTTAAGACAATTCCAAACCTCAAAATAAAAAAATGGAGACATTTCAATGCAGTCACATATGATCTTGGATAAGTTATAAAATTTCTCCCAGCCTCTATTTCCTCCTCTGCACTGAAGGGTGAACAAATGGTTTCTTAGATGCATTCCAGCAACAAACTATTTGTCTTTTGTCTGAGATTTCCTCTCTCCCAAGATCCCCAGTGGATGCCTAAAACCCCGGATAGTACCCAATCGTATATATACTATGTTTTTTTTTTTGATCTGGTAAGAGAGAGGGCTACTAAGTGACTAATGGTGGATGGCATATACAGTGTGGATATGTTGGACAAGGGATGATTCATATCCTGGGTAAGATAGAGATTTCATCACGCTACTCAGAATAGTGTGCAATTGACAACTTACACATTGTTTATTTCTGAAAATTTCCATTTAATATTTTCGGACCGTGGTTCACCACAGATAACAAACCAAGAAAAGCGAAACAGAGAATAACTAACATAAGTAAGGTTGAAGAAATTTCCTCATCCATCTTAACTGTTAGATAATATTGCTTTGTGGCCTAGGTATTATATTCAACTCTTCCTCTGACTCAATGGATTGGTTTGCTTATCCTAGGCAGAGAGGAGCCTCTGAAATGTTGATCACAGCAAAAGAGCTGTGAACATTAGGGCTTTTTTTTTTTTCCATTAAAACTTTTTCTGAATGTGTACAGGGAAGAATATGGGCATAGTAATCAGATAAACTTGGGTTTGAAACATAACTATTCCTTACCAGCTGATTGCAAGAGCTAACAACCTTCCCTATCTGGAAAAACAGAGCTAATACCCACCTTGAAGAATGAAAGTACTATTCAGCACTCTGATCAATATACTTTGAGGTTTTTATTCCTTTTCTTCTTATTTATAATCCGCTAGGGCCTAACAAGAAAAAACAGATTTGATTATTTTTAGAGTCTTAAACTACAGAAATCACTGCTGGCTTCCAATGAAACCTTCAAACAAAATGGAATGAAGCAAGTCTCACAAATAATAAAAATCAGCCGCTCTGACAGGGTTTGGATACCAAGGGGAATTTTAGCCAATAGGTATTAAATCAACATACACCTCCAGGATTCCTTTATAGAAGAGTATAACCGGTCATTTCTTTGCTTATGTGTAAGACTTCCAGAATGCTACGGGAAAATTAACTCTCTTTTCAATATATTAGGCTTTGAAGTCTAAATATAAAGGCAATCAGGGTCTATTTTCAGAGCGGAGAGGACTGTTTCTAGACATCCAGGAAGGATTAGTCCAAATGGGTGTAACCCCCTTGGAGGCCTTGTCCCCAGAGCATCCTCATCTCCTGGGTGCCAGGGGCTTAAGGAATCCCCCTCCCTCCTTTTTTTCTTTCTTCCTCTTCTCGGAGCTCCCACCCTCACCCCATTCGGCTGCTTCTTTTCCATCTTCGCTTCTTCCCATAAGCGGTCAAAATAGAAAACGGAAGTACCTATTTGTTGCTTAGTGTAGTGCTCAGAGACGTTTTTTTGGTTGTTGTTTAATTAAGAAAAATAAAATCCCCCTCTAGGTTCTTCATTTCGCAATGAGCCCAAACATCCGCTGGCTCATTAGGCCTCTTAACAAAAGAAAAATGCCCCCACTGAACTGTGGCTGACTAGTGTGCGGAGGCTGGGGTCGGCTGGAGGGGTTCTAAGTATCTATCATGCGGCAAGGACAGCTTCCCGGGCGAGGGGACCCGGGATCCCGGGAGGCGCGTGCAGCGCCGCCCCCTCACAGTAGGGAGGCGCGGGAGAGGCGGCGGTGCCTGCCCAGCCCGGGTATCCCGTCCCAGGAGCGCGAGGGAGCGGGCAGCGGCCGGAGGCGGCGGCGGCGGGGACGCGGCGCGGCTGCCGCAGGGGAGCGGCGGCGGCGGCGGCGGCGGCGGCGGGCGCGAGGGGCGGGGCGCACTCCGCAACTTCTGCCGCTGCCGCCCGGGCGCTCTCGGCGCAGCCGAGCTGCTGCTGCGAACTGTGGAGCTGCCAGCGGAGCCCAGCCCGAGCTCCCTCGACTCCGCGCGTCCCAGGCGTCCGTCGGGGGCCGAAGCGCCTCCCGCAGGGAGTCCCCGTGAGGCCGCGCTGCCGCGTTACCCGCAGCGGCCGGGGGTCCGGGGAGTGCGGGGCTCCGAGACAGAGCCAGGCGCCCCCCAGCGGTCGGCGCGGGCCCCATGGCTGGGCCGGGCGGAGCGGAACCGGTGAGGTGAAGCCCCGGGGCCGGCAGCCGGAGGCGCGTGGCCGGGGCGCCGGCTCCATGGGCAGCGGCACACGGCGGCGCGATGATGGACGTTAACAGCAGCGGCCGCCCGGACCTCTACGGGCACCTCCGCTCTTTCCTTCTGCCAGAAGTGGGGCGCGGGCTGCCCGACTTGAGCCCCGACGGTGGCGCCGACCCGGTCGCGGGCTCCTGGGCGCCGCACCTGCTGAGCGAGGTGACAGCCAGCCCGGCGCCCACCTGGGACGCGCCCCCGGACAATGCCTCCGGCTGTGGGGAACAGATCAACTACGGCAGAGTCGAGAAAGTTGTGATCGGCTCCATCCTGACGCTCATCACGCTGCTGACGATCGCGGGCAACTGCCTGGTGGTGATCTCCGTGTGCTTCGTCAAGAAGCTCCGCCAGCCCTCCAACTACCTGATCGTGTCCCTGGCGCTGGCCGACCTCTCGGTGGCTGTGGCGGTCATGCCCTTCGTCAGCGTCACCGACCTCATCGGGGGCAAGTGGATCTTTGGACACTTTTTCTGTAATGTCTTCATCGCCATGGACGTCATGTGCTGCACGGCCTCGATCATGACCCTGTGCGTGATCAGCATTGACAGGTAAGGGCCGGACCGCCCCGTCCCAGGCTCCGGCTGGGGACCGGCTGGCAGCTCAGCCCCGCGCGCTCGCCTTTCCTGGGAGGATCAAGCTAGACTTCAAGGCGGGATGAAGGGCTGCGCTTAAAACACCGCTCCCCCCAATCCACCCTACACCAACCAAACTTCGGTTACGGCATAGCCTATGTACATCTTTAAAAGAAAAACCGGAAATGTTCTGGTTTACTGTAGTGACGAATTTAAGACCAAAGTTAAGAGTATTTTAAGCCTTAGCATTTCCACCAGCGGGTCCCTTGCCTTGGTTTTTGGAAGGAAGGGATTTGGTGCTCCCTGACTTGATCAAGCCTTGCTGTGAGCCTTAAAGAGTCATTAAAAAATAATAATAATAAGTCGGAGAAAAGCCACCTTGCTTACCCCATTGTGGGAGCTACTCCCTAGGCCAGTAAAAGGACCTTGGATGGTTCTAGAATTGGGGTTTGTATGTCTTACACATTGCATCTTTATGATGGTCAGTTCGGAATCGCATTCTTGCTTGTGGAAGTCTGGTTTCAATGTTTGGTAATGCTGTCTGTATCTTGCGAGCTTGCTGACTGGAGCCTTCCTCCAGGTCTGAATGGCTGGTTCTAGCCTTTCATCATAGCCCTTGGGAACCTTCTCTTGAGAACTCCCCCACTGGAGTAATTGAAACAGAGGCTGACCATCTGTCAGGGATGCTAGGGGAAAAATTCCTGCCTTGGGTGTCATATTGAACTAGGAGACCCACAGGGTTTCTTCAGGCTGTAAGGTTACAGGCTTTTGAAATGGAGCTAGTCTTTGACCCTTGAAATATTATGCAGTTGACAACTTGAAGTATGGTCTCAATCCTCTTTGGCCTAAAACAACTCTATTTCACTTGAAACTGAAATATGAGACCTTAATATTCACACTCAGAATTTTGCCGGTGTTTCAAGACTAGTATCCTGTTGTGTTTAATGATACAGAGAAATGGTTGCTTATTTTCTTAGTGGATCTATAGAACCTTTATATGTGTAGATCTTTCAGCCTAGGGGAAATAATTGATGCCTCCACACTTAAAATGACAGTGCCTCAAAGGATGGTCTAGCATGAAACTGAGATTTTCCTTTTTTTCTTCTTGAAAACACTGCTGTTTGTGGTTTGCTGGTACTTAAAATGTTCTGCTGTATGTATTTTTTGCTTGACCAGGGTTTATAATTACTAAATAAAGGAAATAATAGAAAAGGGAATATTTTCAAGAAGAAAAACACATTGTAGCTCCATTTAGCTAACAATTTAGGTTATTTTTCTTTAAATTGATTCTACCATTTTATATATCATGGTAGAAGCTGCTGACAGCAAACAAGGAATTACTTAAGAGCAGAGCATGAACTGCATATGTGAGAATATTAGCACCAAATTTGGCAGCTGAAGTTCTGAATTACAGTAGTTAAGAATGACAAAACATATGTATTTACAGTCTGACTGTGGCAACTGGAATTAGGAGAGTGCACTCAATACACATAGTAAGTGTATACATGAATTATAAGCACAGAAATCTGACTGCTCAGCCAACCAAAACAGAGCATCCTGCATGAATGGAGTCCTTTTAAATGGAACTTAGTGTAATAAAACAAATAACGGTTTATGCTGCAAGTACTGTATTTATAACCATTTTTTAAAATTTCACAGTTGATAAATGATACATAAATAATACCTTGTGCTAATTTGTCTCCTAAGACAGCCAGTGTTTCTCCTCTTCTGGGCTACATTGAGGTTTGGCTGAGATCACCTTGTGATTCCTATACATGAGCTAAAGGCATTCTCCACTCAGCGTGCATGTGTGACTTAGCATCGGCAGGCATGTCCTGAATACTGAGAAGACATTAATCCTTCTTGGCAAGAGCTTAAGATTTTGTTGTTAACTGTATTCTTATGATTGTCACAAATTGTGGTAACATAGGCATATAGATTCTCCTTTTACCTATGAGAATTGCCCCATTGGTGAATTCTGCTTAAAAATTATTTTAGAAGATCAGCATATCATTTCTTTAGAGAAAATGAAGAATTGATAAAATTGGAAGACACAGACTGATTTTCTTCCAAGAACACTGAGAACTAAAAATGAGAAAAAAGGAAAATATATTATTTCTGAAAAGCATGTTTTCTGCAATTCCGTTGTAGAATATGACAGATGATATTAAATGTGCTGTGAAAATATGTAAAAAAAAAATCTTCATTCCCTTGTTCATTCCCTCTTGAGTACCTAATATAGGTTACACTGTGCTTTGTGCAGCATAATCAAAGATTAATTACAATATTGTTGCTTTTGTGCTCATTACAGGCTTTTGTGTATTTGGAGAGTTTGGATATCTGTTGGGCATTTAGCCTGTCTAAAATGGAACCTTTCATTTTTCTTAACCACTCCCCATCACACCGGGATGCTTTTCTAATGTAATGCCATACTGTTTTTCACAGGCTTCAGAGCTCCCATCCCGTCTTTTTCAGAAAATGATTTGTATTCATTGAAAAAGTAGCAGCCATCAGATGAGAACTTTTATCTTTCCCCCACCAAACAATCTGATCTGTCCTGCATGTGTACCCTTCTTTTTACTTCTTTCCAGTTAAAAAGCAAAAAGACATTGTGAGCCAGCAAATACCAAACTACTTGGACTTTATATTCCATCTCCCCACCTTCTCAAGGTCTTTGTTCCTTTATTGTTTCTTCATGGATGGTCTTTTTTGTTGTTATTGTTTTGTTGTTTTTTTGGGGGGAGTGAGGTGGAGGGGGACAGAATCTCACTCTGTTACCCAGGCTGGAGTGCAGTGGTGCCATCTCTGCTCACTGCACCCTCCGCCTCCTGGGTTCAGGTGATTCTCGTGCCTGAGCCCCTGCAAATACCTAGGATTACAGGTGCACGCCACCACACCCGGCTAATTTTTGAATTTTAGTAGACACGGGGTTTTGCCATGTTGGCAAACTCATGACATCAACTGATCCGCCCACCTCGGCCTCCCAAAATGCTGGGATTACAGGCGTGAGCCACCAGGCCCAGCTTATTGATGGTCTTTCTTCAGCTTTTCCTTTCTACTGTGTCAAGTTTGGTTTTCTATCTTTTAAAACCCTTCTTTGGCCTCTGGCCTCACTTCTTCCTCCAGCCACGGCTCTGCTTCACAGTTAAGCTGCTCAAAGAATTGTATCCATAAGTTGTCTTTTCTTCCTTGCGCTTTAGATAGATGACTTTGATGCTCATCAGGTTTACTGCAATATTCTAATTGGCTTTCCTGGTTCCACTTCTGTCCAGCCCCGAGCTATTCCCTAAGAAGAAGCAAGAATGGTCTATTTAGAAACTTTTTAAAGTGAGATAATTTACATATAATGGCATGCACAGATCTTAAATATTCAATTTGTATGTTGACAAATATATATACCTATGTGACTAATGTTCTAATCAAGATATAGAATATCTTGTCATCCAAGAAAGTTCCCTTGTGCTAATTTAAGAATGATCTTTTAAAAATAGAAATCAAATTACCAGCCAGATGTGGTGACTCACAACTGTAATCCCAGCACTTTGGGAGGCTGAGGCTGGAGGATTGCTGGAGCCCTGGAGTTCAAGACCAGCCTGGGCAACACAGGGAGACTCCCATCTCTACGGAAAAAAAAAAAAGAAAAGAAAAGAAACAAAAAAGCCAGGCATGGTGGCAAATGCCTGTGTTCTCAATTACTTGGGAAGCTGAGGTGGGAGGATCACTTTGGCCCAGGAGGTTGAGGCTGCAGCGAGCCAAGATTACACCACTGCACTCTAGCCTGGGCAATAGAGTGAGGCACTGTCTTAAAAAAAAAAAAAAAAGAAAAAAAAAAGAAATCAAATTACTTTTTATGCATAGTTTTAAAACATGAAAAATAGTTTTACATATCATTTAGGGAAGCTTGTAGAAAGAGTAAAAGTATAAAATAGTGCAAGGGAGTGGTTGACGCCAAATTCAGGACAGTGATTTATCTCTGGTGGGGTGGGTGGTGGTGTAATCAGTAGTATATATATCACCTATATTGGTAATGTTTTGTTTCTTAATCTCGGTGGTGGATATAGACTTATTATCCTTTGTATAACTTTTTGTATGACTGAAATATTTGTTAAAACTTTTTGAAATTCATATAGAAAAGTATATGTATGTGCACAATTCTAAGGATGAAGCTTGATGAATTTCCACATCCATGTAAACAACTATATTAAGAAATAGAACACTGGCAACCTCCCAGAGGTCCCCTCCTCTCCTTTTCTAGTTTCTATTGCTTGCAAAGGGAACCATTGTCCTGACATTAGCATCATGCATTGGGGTTTTGCTTGGCTAGAACTTCATATAAATGGAATTGTATAGTATGTACTCTTTTGAATCTGGCTTCTATTTCTCAACATAATGTCTGTGAGAGTCATCTGTAGTTTTTAGCCTATCAGTGGTTCATTCATTTTTATTGATAAGTAGTATTCCGTTGTATAAATATACCATAATTTGCTTATCCATTCACCGTAGATGGACATTTGAGTTTTTTTCTAGTTTCTGGCTATCTCTAATAGTGCTGCTCTGAACATTTATTTATGTGCAAGTCATTTGTGGATATGTTTAAATTTATTTTGGGGAAATACAATCCTAGGTAATAAGGTACTTTGGAACATTTTAATTTTATCTATCCCCTCACACCTTTTATGTTATTATTGTCATTCATTTTAGGTCTACAGATTATTAAAACCCATTAGATATTATTTTTATTGTTGTAACAGTCCGTATTCATTCTTCTTTGCTTACATGTTTATCTTTTCCATTGTTCTTTGTTTTGTTCTGCATTACTACATTTTCATCTGAGATCATTTTCTTCTGCCCAGTTAGATGCCTATTAGCATTATTATTTTTTTAAATTAAAAACTTTTTTTTTTTTACTTCACATAAAGAGACAGTCTCGCTATGTTGCCCAGGCTGGTCTTGAACTCCCGGCCTCAAGTAATTCTCCCACCCTGGCCTCCCAAAGTGCTGAGATTACAGATATAAGCCATCATGCCCGGCCCAGCATTATTTTTTTACTGAATGTATTAGTCTGTTCTCATGCTGCTAATAAAGACGTACCCAAGACTGGGTAATTTATAAAGGAAAGAGGTTTAATTGACTCACAGTTCCACAAGGCTGGAGAGGCCTCACAATCATGGTGGAAGGTGAAGGGGAAGCAAGACATGTCTTTCATGGCAGCAGGCAAGAGAGAGCTTGTGCACGGGAACTCCCATTTATAAAACCATCAGATCTTGTGAGACTTATTCACTACCAGGAGAACGGTATGGGGGAAACCACCCCCATGATTCAGTTATCTCCACCTGGCTCTGCCCTTGACATGTGGGGATTATTACAATTCAAGGTGAGATTTGGTTGGGGACACAGCCAAACCATATTACTGAGGGTTTGCTAGTGACAAATCCTCTCAATTCTTACTTGTCTGAAAATGTCTTTGTTTCAGCTTCCTTCTTTTTTTTTTTTTTTTTTTTTTTGGGACGGAGTCTCACTCTGTCGCCCAGGCTGGAGTGCAGTGGTGTGATCTCAGCTCACTGCAAGCTCCGCCTCCTGGACTCACACCATTCTCCTGCCTTAGCCTCCAGAGTAGCTGGGAGTACAGGCGTCTGCCACCACGCCCTGCTAATTTTTGTATTTTTAGTAGAGACGGGGTTTCACCTTGTTAGCCAGGATGGTCTTGATCTCCTGACCTCATGATCCGCCCGCCTTGGCCTCCCAAAGTGCTGGGATTGCAGGTGTGAGCCAACGCACCCAGCCTCAGCTTCATTTTTGAATGATATTTTCACTGAGTATGGAATTTTATATTTCTAGTTTTTTTCCCCAGAACTTTAAAACATTGTTCCATTGTCTTCTGACTGCCATCATTTCTGTTGAAAAATCAGCCATTAGCCAACATTATTATCACTCCATGGAAGGTAATGTGTCTTTTTTACCCTGACTTTTAGGGTTTTGTCTTTGCCTTTAATTTTTATCAGTTTTTCTGTGATGTCTCTAGGTCTGGCTTTATTGATTTTTTTGTTGTTATTGTCGTTTATTTACTGTTAACCCTGTTTGGGGTTCCTAATGATTTTTAAAATTTGTGTATTGATATCTTTAATCAGTTTGCTGTTATCTCGTCAAACACTACTACTGTTCCATTCTTTACTTCTCTATGTCTTCAAACATATGTATTGTAGACCTTTTTACTCTGTCACACATATTTCTTACTCTTTTCTATATTTTCCATTTTATGTTTTACATCTGTGCTTGAGTTTTGAAAAAATTTTGACCAGCCTTCCAATTTGTTAATTGTCTCTTCTACTATGTCTAATCTGTTGTTCAACCTTATCTATTGAGTTAATTTCCATAATAGTATTTTACAATTCTAGAAATTCCATTTAAGCTTTTTAAACTGATTCTGATTTTTTTGGTGAAATTCTCTACCTTTTCATCTAATTTCTTCATCTTGTTATATTTTTTAGTGTATTAATCATAGTTTGACTCTTCGTTTCCTGACTCCAATATCTGAGTCACTTGTGGTTTCTTTGTGTGATCTGTTTTTTTCTCTGGGTTTTTGGTCTGTGTCTTGGCATGCCTAGCAAATGTTGATTGTATATTCATCATATTGCATGAAAAATTGTAGATGCTGTAGATGATGTTATTTTGTTCCAGAGAAAATGCTAGGCAGGCATATTGGACAACTGATTATTTTAATCCAATTAGGGACTGAGCTGAACATAGGCTGTATTTTAGTTCTGTTAGAGCTCTGCCACTGGCAGATGCCTCTTTCTAGGATGTAGCCTTCTTAGGATTTTAGCCCAATGACTTCCACCCCTGGCTAGTTCAGAACTTTAAATGTTCTTTCCTCAAAACTGTAAGACTATCAAGCATGGCTTCTTAGCCTCCTGCCTTATGCAGTCTCAGAATTCAGCAAATGTTTTGAGGGAACTAACAGGTGCTGGGCTTAGGTTTCACTGGCATCTTTGCCTTTTAGGCCTCTGACTTTTGCCTCTCTATCTCCAAGAGACTGCCAAGTGCTCTTCTGGTGTTTTTGCCCCTTATTAGCAACTCTCTGCTGAGGCTCTTTACCTGGATCCTTAGCCCCTTACCCTTCACCCAATTTTGGCAAGTGCCCCAAGGGAAAGAGCAGCTGCACAATATTGGCTTGCCTCCCTGTGCTTCTGTCTTCTCTAGGATTTTGTTCCCTGAAGTCCTGGTTGTCTCAACAACTGCTTGATGCTTTCGGGCATCATAGCGTGCATGCGTGTGTGAGTGTGTGTGTATTTGTGCTTTATCCAGCTTTTAAAGTGGCTTTCAGCAGAAGCATTGGTCTGAAGTATCAAACAACCCCATCATGGCTAGAAGTGGCTATGTGCCTGAAATATTTTAAATGTATGCTAATATAGAAATATAATTATGTAAATTTCCTGCTTAAAATTTTTAATTTTCTTTTCATTTCACTTGGAATAAAATTCACTCTTTAGCACATGTAGGAGGTCCTTGGTTTGTCCCTGCCTCACTCCTCAACATCTTGAACTGCATTCTGTCTTGTTCGCCACATTCCAGTCACATTGACCTTTCTCAGTTTCTCTATTGTACCAGATTCTTTCCTGCATCGGGTTTACTCCATGAAAACTCACCAACTAATATATTTGTGAAACTGATTTTACATCTGAAGTTCTGTTCTCTAATATGTGTTTTTTTTTTAATTCTAAGTTGGAAAGTTTAAGTGTTTAACCCTCTAGATTGACAACAATTAAAATGTCAAAAAACTACCAAGTGTTGGGAAGGATATGGAGCAAAGGGAATTTACATACATTACTAGTGGGATTATAAATTGGTGAACTACGTTGCAAATAGTTTAGTGTTATCATGTAATGTTAAAAATACATACACCCTAAGACCCTGTTATTTTATCACCAGGTACATATCAGAAAGATGCTTGTCCACCAAAAGTCTTCTACAAGAATATTTATAGAATCCACAAACTTGAAACCTTAAAACTTGAAATAATACACCTGTGTGTCAGTAGTAGAATGAATAAATAAATTGTGGTATATTCATACAACAGAATGCTATTTAGGAGTGTTTATCAAACTTGAATGTGCATCAGAACTACCTGGAGAGCTTATTAAAACACAGATTGTTGGGCCTAACCCCAGACCTTACCAAATCAGAAACCTTACCCCAAGAGTTTCTGATTTCAAAAGTCTGGGGTTGGGCTAAGAATTTACAGTTCACATAAATTCCCAGGTGATTCTGATGCTTCTGGTCTTGGGATCTTACTTAGAGAAGTATTGCTATACAGCAATGAAAATGAACAAATTCTAACTACACCCAGCAACCAAGTGAATCTCATGAAGTAATTTAAATGATTTTTTGTTATATAAATTTTGAAACATATTTTAAAGTCAAGTATACTATAATGAGTCTGATGTATCCATCATCCATCTTCAACAGTGATCAACTTATGGTCGATTTATTCAAAATATACTTTGCAATTCTTCCTTCATCCAATTATTTTAAATCAAATTTCAGATGTCATATCATTTCACTGATAAATATTTTATGGTTACAAATGTAAGGCTGAGCAGAAGCAGCAAAATATAAAGTATATACATATGTGATTCCATTCAAATAAAAATTTTAAATAGACAAAAATATTTTTAGGGACGTACATAAGTGGTAATATTATAAAGAAAAGGAAGGAAATATATATCATAAGAACAAAGAGGCCAGGCACAGTGGCTTACACCTATAATGCCAGCATGCCAGCACTTTGGAAGGCTGAGGCGGGCAGATCACCTGAGGTCTGGAGTTCGAGACCAGCCTGACCAACATGGAGAAACTCCGTCTCTACTAGAAATACAAAATTAGCTGGGTATGCTGGCGCATGCCTGTAATCCCAGTTACTCGGGAGGCAGGAGAATCGCTTGAACCCGGGAGGCCGAGGTTGCGGTGAGCCGAGATCGCGCCATTGCACTCCAGCTTGGGCAACAAGAGCAAATCCTGCCAAAAAAAAAAAAAAAAAAAGAACAAAGAGAGAGTGATTGCTTTTAGATGGGATGGAGAAAACTGAGATCAGAGCGGCATGCTTCTAAGGTGGTGTAGTGTTTTCTTTCTTGACTGGAGTGGTAATTACACAAGGGTTAACTTAATTATTGTTAAAGTGTCCATGTATATTTTAGGCACTTTCCTGTATATGTATTTTATTTTATAATGAAAGGGGCAAAAGTATGTATTTGATACATCTCTTGAGGTATATTTGGATTAAGTCAGATATATGATTAATCTGAGCAGATACAGTTATTGTTTTAATGCTGTCAGCAACCATTAGTTTTTAGCTTTGTGTATGAGGGCAGGGGCCACCTTTGGGTTGTTCATGGTTACAGGAACTCATCTGCCTTATTTGCAAGAGCTGTAATATTTAGCTCTGATTGGTATCTGGCTGAAGCCTTGCTTCCTCGCCAGGTACTATGACTCATTCCCTCTGATGATCTGAGTTCTGCTTTTGGCTTTAATTCTGCTTCAATCAGCAGGGCAGGGTGCATTCTGGCTTCTCCAGACTCCTTTCACTTCAAAGGAAGTTATCCTTGCTCATCTCTAAAATTAATTTTCTGCTTGTAGATACATTTTAAGAATTGATGGAATCTTCTTCTGGCTTTGCTATGGGAAAGTGAGAAGGAGATGAAATGGGTCTTCTGCCCTGTTCTTTTGTGTAGTAACACTTAGCCACCAACTGCTTTTTTTTTTCCTCTCATGTTAACTAACAGGAAGTAATGCTTCAGGGTAGAAATGATAATAGCTAATAGATGTTTAATGATTTATTGCTTACAGACCACTCCCAAATACAGAAATCTCCACTGATCCCCTCTACAACATTGTGAGGTGGGCATCAGTATCCCCACTTGATGTAGGAGGAACTTGAGGCTCAGAGGGTAGAAGTGACTTGACAAGGACATACAGTTTGTATGGATGGAACTTGTGTTCAAAGCTTGTTCAAATATTGTGTATTTATTTATATCTATGTGTGTAAATATATCTAAGGAAAATAATAAAAGTGGAGACATGGAACATTCCAGTCAAAGGAGCAGCAGATGCCAGGAACACAGAGGCAGTGAATCAGTGTTTGAATGAACTCACAGAGAGGGAGCAGGAAGGCATTCTGAGTGAGGGAATAGCATAGGAGAAGCACAAGTCAATAACCCTTCACCCCTTGCAGTAGATACTGCTGGTTGCCTACCCCAATCTCCGTCCTCCCCTTCCCCCTTTAGTTATGGGAATTCCTGCTTTGACCTGGGAATATGGCTGCCCAGAATAAAGGCTGCATTTCTTAGCCTCCCTTACAGCTAGATGTGGCCATGTTACTAAATTTGGGCTTGAGAGATGTTAGTAGAAGTATTATGTTTCAGCTTCCCAGAAACTGCCTTCAAGAAAATTGGTGTGTGCCGTCTTCCTCTTTTCTGTCCTTTCCTCCATCTTCTTGCCTGGAATATGAAGATGGTGGCTAGAGCTCTGGCCACTTAGTCAAGATGGACAAAAATGGTCATGCTTGTTAAAGAGGAGCAGTATGCTGGAAGGGTAGCCTGGATCGTGGAGGACTGTCAACTCCACAGAATTGCTGGAACCTTGACTTCTTACTAATTGATGAACTAATACCATTATGTTGTTTATCACATGCAGCTGAACTTAATCTCAACTGCTAAACCTAGTACAAATTGGGCATCCCTGATCTGAAAGTCTGAAACCCAAAATGCTCCAAGATTAGAATCTTTGAGTACTGACATGATGCCACAGGTAGAAAATTTCACACCTGACCTCATGTGATGGGCACACAAAATTATTTAGAATATTGTATAAGATTACTTCATATCATTTCACTGATAAATATTTTGATTTTTGGGTACAAGGTAAATATAGAACATAAATGAATTTTGTGTTTAGACTTAGGTCCCATCCTCAAGATATTTTATTATGTATATGCACATATTTCAAAATATAAAAAAGATTCTAAGCATTTTGGATCAGGGATACTCAACTTGTACACATTTCTTCTCCCTGTCACCCATCCTTCCCACAGATGTTTATATACACTTTTTTTTTCCACCTTGGCATATGATTCTATTTTGAGAACAGGCAAAAGAGAACAATGTGTCTGAAGTGCTGGTCAGCCACAGAATCTTGGGTGGCATTGGAACAGAGGGTGAGGTACCATGGAAACAAAATTCTTGGGCAGAAGATCACGGAGTGAAGGGTCCAGGGGGAAAGCTCATGGCTTCTGGGCACCAAGGGTGGCCATCCCATGCAGGCGGTGGTCTTCTTGGAGGCCAGCCATCATGTGCAGTGCCAGGAAGTCTCCAGATGCAGGGCGGTGACCACTGGGGCACCACCTACACTTTCTAAAACTTCATTGTGAGAGTGTCACTGGGTCATGCTTCTTTGGAAACCCTTCAGGGATAACACTACCATTTTATGAATGCGTTTTGTGCTACTTAGGTTTCTAGACACTTGACACATGGTATCTCATAGAATCTTTACAATATCCTTGTGAGGGTGTTTTTCGAGTGTCTGTCGTTGAGTGACTCTGCTGGTCAAAGATGAACAAGACATATATGAACACTTTTAATGCCATGCTATAGGTGAGGAAGCTGAGGAAGCTCACATACATTGTATGTGACTGGAACAGTGTCTGAATCCAAAGGTCATACGTATTTCACTACGTCATTGTAGCCATTGCCTGCTATATGAGGAGGATATTGTTAGGATAGCATTCAAGGCTCTTTATCATTTGATTGCAGTCCCTTACAGCTTTATTCTGGCCAACTCTCCGAAGACACCCTCCTTTTCAACACTACATCAGAACAGAAATAGTGCTCTTACTTCCGCACCTTGTTCCTCGTCCAAGGTTCCCATCCCAAAAAGTGCCATCAGTTTGCACCCAGTTGATTTGCTAGACATTTGAGTATCGTTTTTGAAACTTTCCACTTCAGCTTTCCACTGTCACTTACTGATCACCAAGTCCTCCTGATTGTGCCTACACAGCCCCCTACCCCCAGCAACTCAACTTCAGCCCCTATCATCTTTCAGTTGGGCACTCACAGTAGCCTCTTGGGGGTCTCTGGGTCTTCATCCTTGGCCCCTGTTAATGCGGGGTGCACAACCCTGGCTGCATGTTAGAATCACCTGGGCAACTTTATACCAGTGCTTGGGGAGACCCCCTAGAGATTCTTATTTAATTGATGCCAGATGGGCCTGGGCGTCACATCAGTATATTTGAAAATATCCTCCAGATGATCCCAATGTGCAGCCAGAGTGAGAACCCCTGAGCCAGACTGATCTTTTTTTTTTTTTTTTTTTTTTTTTTTTTTTTTTTTTTGAGACGGAGTCTCATTCTGTTGCCCAGGCTGGAGTGCAGTGGCACAATCTCGGCTCACTGCAAGCTACGCCTCCCGGGTTCATGCCATTCTCCTGCCTCAGCCTCCCGAGTAGCTGGGACTACAGGCTCCCACCACCACGCCCGGCTAATTTTTTTTGTATTTTTAGTAGAGGCGGGGTTTCACTGTGTTAGCCAGGATGGTCTCGATCTCCTGACCTCATGATCCGCCTGCCTCTGCCTCCCAAAGTGCTGGGATTACAGGCATAAGCCACTGCGCCCGGCCAGACTGATCTTTAAAACATAAAAATGTGATTATATCCATGGTTCCCAAACTCATCTGCATACCAGAGTCACCTAGGAATCCCCTCAAAATTCCAAAGCACTGGCCATACCAAGACTAATTAATTCATAATATCTGGAAGTGGGACTCATGCATCCATATTTTTTGAAGCTCCCTAGTCTAATGTGCAGATAGGTTTGGGCACTACTGGGTCATGCTGTTCTCCAGTTCAAACTATTTATTGGGTTCTCCTGGTCTTGGGATAAGATAGTAAATCTTTAATGTGACCTAAAATATTATATGATCTGGCCTCTGCCAATCTCACTAAATCAGGGGTTGGCAAACACTTTTTTTCTGTAAAGGTATAGACAGTAAATATTTTAAGCTTGTGGACTGTAAGGTCTCTGTTGCAACTCCTCAACTCTGCCACTGTAGCATGAAAGCAGCCATAGATAATATGCAAATGTGTGGGTGTGGCTGTGTTCCAATAAAGCTTTATTTATGGATACAGAAAACTGAATTTGATATAATTTTAACATGTCATAAAATAGCATTCTTCTCTTTGATTTTTTTCAACTACTTAAAAATACAAAGACCATTCTTAGCTGGGGGCCATACAAAAACAGACTGGGACCAGATTTGGTCTTACTGGAGCTTGCCAGCTTCTGCTCCAGATTTGATTTGGTCCCATTTAATTCTTTCCCTCCTTTCCTTCTTTCCCCCTTTCTTTTCTTCCACCTTTCCTTCTTTCCCCCTTTCTTTTCTCCCACCTTTCCTTCCTTTCTTCCTACCTACCACCAACTAACCAGTCATGTACCATACTGCCTCTCCTCCCCGTATTTTGGCAATTCTGGTCTTCTTTCAGTTCCTTGACACTGGGTCTTCACACATCTATTCATGTCTCCCCTGGAATATTCTTCTAGCTCTTTAGCTGGGTAATTTTTATCACTCTTCAGGCAGGTCCTTGATTAGATATTACTAGGTCATGACACATTTCTAGAATCCCCTGACTATCTTAAACAGTCTTTTAACACCTTGCACTTTTTCTTCCTAATTCTCACCTCAATTTGTAATTAATGGTTTGTAAAATTAACTGTAATAAAGTCATGATTTATGGGATCATCTGTACACTCTGCATAGCATGACCCAGGCTTATCTTGAAGACTGTATTGCCAGCCTGTTGGCATAGTACTTTGTACTTGGTAGGTGTTCAGTTAATCTTTGTGGATTGACTGCGGAAGGAAGGGAGGGAGGGAAGGAAGAAGGAACAAAAGAAAAAAAAAGGAGGGAAGGAAGTAGGAAGGAAGGAAAAAAAAGGAGGGAAGGAGGGAAGAAAGGGAAGAAAAAAGGGAATGGTGCCTCTGATTCTCAAATCCACACATGTGGCCTTGACTTCTTATTCTGCAGCTTCCTATAAGACATTCCTCTTGGTGGCAGTGGAGAAGTTTACTTGAGAAACCAAGTTAGGATCAGGAGATGTCTGGTGAAAACAGAAGCAGTGTAGAGGCAGTGGGACAGTCCCAAGGGATGGCCTCATGAGAACATAGTAGGCTGGTGAGTTACTTCCTGTTCTGCAGAACACCGACATTAGCAAAGCTGCCAGTGATGTGAAGGTCTTAGCAGCTTAGATCCAGGAGTTAGCTTTTTAGTATCATCAGTGCTGTGCTATGGAGCAGTGTGAGAACATAGGCAAAATTAAATGAAAATCTCAGGGTCCTTTTTTTTTTTTCACTAAATAAACACATTTTTGATGAAGGCCACACATCCCAGAAAGAAAGCCATGGGTGTCAGCCATGAAGGCAATACCCAAGTAGAGGAGCATAGGAACTGACAGTAGCAATCCCATTGTTGGGTGCCAAGGGCTATGCATGATTCATCTCATTTAATCCCCATGACCACTCTGTGGGCACACTCACACCCCCACCCCTACTCCTGGGTGATGAGGACAGGGAGGCTGATAGAGGTTAGGAGTACACAGCAAGAAAGGAGTGGTATCAGGTTTGGCCATGAGGAATGTCTGACTCCAGATCTGTCTTACCCCTTCATGCTGCTATAACAAAATACCCAAGACTGGGTAATTTATAAACAACAGAAATTTGTTTCTCACAGTTCTAGAGGCTGGGAAGTCCAAGATCAAGGCACAGTCAAGTTCCATGTCTGGTAAAGACTGCTTGCAAGATGGTGCCTTGTTGCTGCATCGTCATGTGGCAAAAAGAACAGAGGGCAAAAGGGCCTAGCAAATTTACTCCAGCCCTTTTATGAGGTTGCTAATCCCATCCATGAGGGCTCTAACCTCATGACTTAATCACCTCCCAAAAGTCTGCCTCTTAATACTATCACATTGAGGTTCAAGTTCCAATATATGAATTTTTGAGGGACATATACATTCAAACCATAACAGGATCTTTTTTGTTGTTGTTGTTGTTGTTTTTGTTTTTGTTTTTCTTTGAGACAGAGTCTTGCTCTATGCCCAGGCTGAAGTGAAGTGGCATGATCTCGGCTCACTGCAACCTCTGTCTCCTGGGTTCAAATGATTCTTCTGCCTCAGCCTTCCAAGTAGCTGCGATTACAGTCGTGCACCATCACGCCTGGCTAATTTTTGTATTTTTAGTAGAGATGAGTTTTCACCATGATGGCCAGGCTGGTCTTGAGCTCCTAGCTTCAAGTGATCAGCCAACTTTGGCCTCCCAAATTGCTGAGATTACAGGTGTGAGCCATCACGCCCGGCCAGCAGGGTCTTCCAAGGCTCAAGGGGGCACTGGCTTTGTGAACATGATTTATGAACCATGTCGACCATGGACCATTTTCTCTTGCCTTTCAGAGAAGAAGATGATGTTAATAATAATTATTAGAATATAAATTTATAGTCTCATCTAAAACCCTTAGGATCAGAGGTATTTCAGAATGGAAGGGGGCCATGAGCCAAAGAATGGGAGAAGCCTCTAAAAGACGGAAAAGGTGATGAAATGAATCCTCTCTAGAGTCTCCAGAAAGGAACACAGCCTGTAGACACCTTGATTTTAGTCCAGGGACCCACATTTGACTTCTGACCTACAGAACTGCGGGATAAAAAATTTTTGTTGTTTTAAGCCACTGAGTTTGTGGGAACTTGTTATAGTACCAATAGAAATTAATACAACCAGTTTTAAGAACAAGGTCTGATTTCAGAGCTTTTCAGGCTTTAGATTTATGGTTAAGAAATTGTGGACCTGTAAGTAGTCTTAACTGTGCATTACTCAAGATACTAAGTGTCCTATTGAAGGCACTTTTATTATCGCTGTTTTACAGATGAGAAAGCTGAGGCTCCGAGAGGTTGACAAATATGCCTAAGGTTGCAGAACTAATAAGTGACCAGTCTGGGACTTGAAGCCATGGCTCTTTTTCTGTTTCATGGTCTGTGCTCTTAGACTGCTTGCTTCTAAGCAATTGTTGGTGCCTAGATTTGAGGCTTAAAGCTTTGACCAGTGTCAGGGACTGTACTTAATGCTGGGGATAAGGATGAACAAGTTAAAGATGAATACTGCCCAGGCCTTGGAGTCAACAGACCTGAGTTCAGGTCCCAAATTTGACATTTGTAGTTCTGTGGCCATGTAGACATTATTTAACTTCTTTGAGTTTCAGGATAGTCATCTATGACATAGGTAATACTAATGCCTTCCTCATAGGTTTGTGATAGTTAATTGGGTTGGTGTAGGTGAAGTCTTTTGTTGCATGCCTGGCTAACACCAATTGTGCTGATAAATGTGAGCTGTTACACTTATTAGTAGTGTTGTTGTGTTAATATTATGCTTCTCTAGTAAGGAACATATTGTTGTGAATAGAGGAGTCAGGTCTCTAAGAAAAATTTGAACAGTTCTTAAAAGTTGAAGGAGTTGAAAGAACAAGACAAACTCCATGCCTGTGTCACACAGGATTCCCTTCTCTTGGTTGCGGTGGCTGCTGTAAGTGTTGGGTGTTGAGGACACTTGCATTGCATACTGCAGCTAAGTTTTCTGCATGTTTGGGGTAGGAGAATGAAGCAGCCTATCTGATCACTTGGCTTTACTCCTTTCCAGTGTCATTCCAGGCACTTTTATTATCCCCATTTTACAGATGAGAAAGCTGCTGTCACTCCCTGCCATCAGTTAGATTTTGGGTTACGATGACAATTAAGGTATTATGGACTATCAGATCTAGTCCTTCACAGATTTAAGATAGAATCTAAGCAGTGAGCTCTAACAGAGAGGCCAGATGTGTGTGTGTGTGTGTGTGTGTGTGTGTGTGTGTGTGAGAGAGAGAGAGAGAAACAGATGGAGAGACAGACAGATGGAGAGATGGAGAGGAGAGAGGAAAAGATGATTGCATGCAAACCAAGTTAGAGAAGATGGTGGTGGTGAGATTTATTTAATAAGCAAACTGTTACTGCTTGCCTACTAGATATTTAAGAACTATGAGGATACAAAAGTGGATAAAGACACATTCCCATCCTTAACATGTTATCTAGTTGAGGGTAAATTAAGACTATTTCATTCATGTCAGAAAATTTAGAGCTTTTGAAAGTTAGGTTATAGATACTGCTTTACAGTCAATTCCTGTGTGATAGGACCTTTCTTGAAAGAGATATGAGTCATTTAGCTTCTGGTTGCAAACAATTGTGTTGTTTTATTAGCACTTCTGTCAATAAAAACCCTGGTATTCTCTGGTCTGTTTTCCAACAGCCTTTTTGTGCCTGAAGACTTCTTAAGGACCCCTGCAAAATGATGGCTCCTAGATCAAACCTAAGTGCTCACTCTTCTGATGTTGCGTGTTAAAGTAAATCTGGGATTGGGGACTATCTCTAGTGCATCTGTTTGGGGAGCTTTATTTCACCCATTTATCCAGTTTGTATTATCACTTTCATCATGGCCTCTGTTCTGATTCAAATCCCTGAGTATTCTGTTTTTCTGGGCATGCTTATAACATATTCCATTCTCTAAAAGAGAGGCAGCTACATAGCTTTCTTCCTTTTAAATGGTTTTTTTTTCATCTGGAACATGAGGCAGAACCATCTACCAAAAAGGGGCTATCAATATTTATGGTCAAACATGGGGAGACTTAAAAGGCATGCTCCAATCCATCCATAATCAATCTGGTCCAGTTGCCTGAATATTTCAGAATTATATTCCGGGAAATGTATATTCTGTATGTTTGGATTGAAAAGTCTCTGCTATTTTCAGTAGAAGTCTTTGAAAATTCTTTCATACTGATGAAAGGATTGTCTTACAATTTTTCATTTGATAGTTTTCTGAGTTCCACAGGCCCCTACTAATTGAGCTTCTTTTCTGGGCCACAAAGGTGATAGCCCTTTATTAGCAACTCCTTAGCATAATAAAATTGCCTTTTCTTATTATGTGAGTTATACAGGATTTATCTTTTTGCTTTTTTAATATTTATTGACTACCTAATCTATGTTGGTTAGTCTTCCTTATCATAAGCAAGGCAAATAACACCTTTGCTCTCTAGGATCTTATATTCTAGTAAGAATAAACAGGTAGATAAGAAACAGATAAGTTAAAACACACACACACACATTAATTTGTTAGTAATAAGTATCACGCACAATTAAAATAGGGCAATGTGTAAGAGTGGGTGATCATGGAGGGCCTTTCTGAGGAGGTGACATGTAACTGAGATGTAAATGACATGAAGGAGCCAGCTGTGTGAAGATCAGGAAAAAGAACTTTCTAGGCAAAGGCAGCAGCTGGCAGAAAGGCCCTGGGCCAGTGTGATTGGAGGAGAGAGACAAAAGGAAAACCTGGAAGGAGATGAGATTAGAGAAGTGTTGCAAATTATATTGGGATTCAGACCAGGTAAAGAGTTTGGACTTTATTCTAAGTGCGGCAGAACCACTGGAGACTTTGAAACATAGGGTGAAATGGTCTGGCTTTTAATTTTAATGGTTCATTGTGGTTACTTTGTGGAGAATGAAATGGAGGAGGGTGAGAATGAAAACTTGGAGACCAATGGGAAGGCTTCTACGTTAGTCAAGGCAAGAGGTAATCGTAGCTTGGACTGGGTTGGAGTAGTGGAGACAGAGACAACTGGAGAAATTCCGGATCTGTCTTGGAGGTGTATCGGCAGGCCTTGCTGATGGACTGGATGTAGGCGCTGAGGGAGACAGGCATGAAGGATGACTCTTGTGCTTTTGGCTCAAGCAATTCAGTAGATGGTGATACTGTTTACCAAGACATGATGGTAGTAGAATTGGTGGTAAAAATCAAGAGTTCTATTTTGATTGATAAATTTTATATCAATAGACATTTGAATATGAGTCTAGAATTCCAGAGAGAAGTCAGGACTAGAGGTAAAAAATTGGTTGTGATTGTAAATGATACTTCAGGCAATGGTGTGGGAGAGAGCAGATAGGAAAAGGGGTTTAAACACCAAGCTTTGAGGGATAAAATGTTTGGAGGTTAAGAGAAGGACCCAGCAATGCTTAAAAAGGGATGGTTAGTCAGTGCGATATGAGGAACACCTGTCATGGAAATTAAGGGGAAAGTGTTTTGACAAAGATGGAATATAATCAAATTGGTGACCTTGAAGTCATTGGTGATCTTGAGTAGTTTTAGTGAAGCAGTCAGATGGAAGCCAGCAAGAGTCAGGTAAAGAGAAGATGAGAGGAAAGGAGAGATGGCAGCTAGAAGCAACTCTTCCAAGAAGTTTTGCTGATAGGCACTCACCTGGAAGTCAAAGGACCTGGATTCCAGCCCAGATGTGCCGCACTGTAGTCTGATGATAATTGTTTGTGTTAGTCATTTTCTGTTGTTATAACAGAATACCACAGATTGGGTAGCTTATGAAGAAAATAATTTTATTTAGCACAGTGTTCTGGAAGCTGGGAAGTTCAAGAGCTTAGTGCCAACATCTGGTGACAGCCTTCTTGCTGCATCATAGCATGTTGAGAGGGCAAGAGCCAGAGAGCTAGAGAGAGAGTTCACTTTATAACAAAGCCACTCTGGAGATAATGAGCCCACTCCCATGGTAGTGACATTAATCCATTCATGAAGGCAGAGGGATTAAGTTTCCAACACATGAACTTTTAGGCAACACATTCAACCATATCATTGTTTATGTAAGTGTCTTATATTCCACTAGGATGCACAAAAACTTTGAGGTCCTTATTCACTTCAACTTCCTAATACTTAAAAAGTTCTTGGCACATGGTAAATACTTAAACACATTTTAGTTGAATGAATGGATGGATAAATTAATGAATATTCTACTAGAGTAGAAACACTTTAGGCTCAAGACCACGTCTGATTAATCTTCTACAGGCCGTGCAAACTAGTCAGGATGCAAAAATATTTCTAAATGAATAAATGACTCTAATGAACTGAGGGGTATAGTAGGGAAGCTGGGGCCAGGAAAGTCCAGAGATGGGAGCTGTTTAGACCAAGGTTCTCACAGGACTGGGTAAGACCTGGGACTGAGGTTTAAGGGCATAGAAAGCTGTTGTAGTAGAAGACAGGGGATAGGATACAGGTTCTTCTGAATTTGTCTCTGACTCCCTAACTATGACCTTACATAAGTTGTTATGTCTTATCTCTAAACCATATTCCTCATGATGATAGAAATATCACTGTAGAGTTAATGTGAGGATTTAATGAGATTACATTCACAGCTGAACATGGTGGCTCATGCCTGTGATCACAGCACTTTGGGAAGCCAAGGCGGGAGAATTAGTCCAGCTCAGGAGTTCAAGACTGGCCTGGGCAATATAGCAAGACACCATCTCTACAAAAAAAAAAAAAAATTCTGGTGTGGTGGTACACGCCTGTAAGTCCTAGCCACTCAGGAGGCTGAGGTGAAAGGATTGCTTGGGCCCCAGAGGTCGAGGCTACAGTGAGGTGTGTCATACCACTGTACTCCAGCGTGAGCAACAGAGCAAGACCCTGTCTCAAATTTTAAAAAAATTTTAATTAACAATATATATTCACAAAGGGTTTAGTCAATGGCTTGACTCATATAAACACCCACTGACAGGCAGCATTGTTATTAATACTATTGGTAATATTGTTCGATACTGACCTGTACCAGGGACTTAGGTTATACCACCAGTCAGTTAGGGCAGCTTTCTGGGATTAAGGAGTTATTTGAATGGGAGGGCTTGCTGATGTTCTTTCTGACTCTCCGTTTTCATCCTAAAAGCAATAAATAAATCAAGTTTACCTTTGGGAAAAACCTGTATTGGGGCTTGATGAGGCTTCAGGGAATGCCATCCTGCCCTCCAAAGCACCCTATGTGTTTATTGATGTCAGCAATGGGGGCCAAAGTGTATCCAATAATCGAGTTCAGATGCTGCTCAAGGTAAGTCAGTGGCTTGAATTCATTCACGCTGAGGTGGGATCAGTAGGTCGGTCGGGAAGGATACGTAATTTGTGTCTTATATAATGTTTTAGCGAATGGGGAGGGTTTGGGTGCATCATCACACCTCAGATAGCATCCAAGTTGTTCTTGCCCTTTCCTTGTGTACTTCCTGTCATATGTTCTCCTGTGCTTCCATACCCCAGTACAAGTTGTTTCCTCTGCTTGGAGTGCTCTACCCTTGTCTGCCTATTTCCTAAACATTCTTTGAGATTCAGCTAAAGTGCCACAGCCTTTGGAAAGCTGTGTCTGACACTGAGGTCTGGGTTAGGTGTCCCTCTCAAGCTCTCCCTTAGTCCCCTGAGCTTCCTTCTCTACTCTCATCATGCTGAATTGTAATTGTTTATATTTCTGGGTCCCTTGCACACCAAATGCTGAGGTCCTTTGGGACAGGGCATCTTATTTATCTGTGTTTTCTTCCAGCTCCTATTAGTATGTGGAAGGTGCTCAATAAATGTTTGGTGGATTAGTGGTTGAGTGAATGAATGAATGAAACAAGAAAACAAGCAATAGTTGACTGTTTAATCAGGTCTTGGTATAAAACAGGTAGGCAGAGGAATATGAAAGAGAGACATAGAAGCTGCACCACTGATGACCCAGTTCTGCCTTGGTGGGTTGTGTTTTTTTCTTCCCTAAGTGGAGACCTCATCATAGCTGCCAGGACCATTTGTTCTGTGACTTTGAAGGCTTAGCCCTGCTTTATGTGATTTATGAGGACACTGCCAATTTCATTCCCAGGATGTTCTGTCATTAAGGTCTTCCTGTAAGGGTGGTCAGTACAATGGGATTTTACCTGCATAGCTCATTATATGAACATCTCCAGCATGGGGATGGTTTAGCTTATTGGGTTACTTTCCAAGCCCTAGAGGCAAGACTAGACACTGGAAATAGTATGATAGCTATAGTGATTTCAAATATACCTATACAGAATGGGAAATCATAAGATGAACTCTAACCTTATCTCCAGAACCTCCCAAAACATACACATTACTACATCTTGGGTGAGTCAGACGCATTTTTACATTTCCACAGTGGTTCTTGTCTTGATTCTTCTTCCAGGGAATAGCAAATTTTTCCTGGAAAATTCCTAGGAGACGATAACATTCCCTGTCCCAAGATATCACTTGTATGCAGCCTTGTGATAGACTGTAAAAACTGCCCCCAATTCTTCCTGTTCCTACATGCACACCCCTCTCAAGGGTGACTTTGCACCCCTTCCTACACAGAATTTAGGATTGGCCTTATAACTTGCTTTACCTAATGGGATCTTAGCAAACATGACACAGGCAGAGACGTGAAAAGGGGGGTTCATTGGAGTTGGCCTTTTGCTTCTTTTGGGGACCCTGTGACTGCTAGCTACCATGTGAAGAAGCCCTCATTGGACAATGAGAGACCCATGGCCTACTCATTCTATTTCCTTGGCTGCCAGTCGCCAGTCAAGTGAATGAATGAAGTTATTATAGATTGTCCAGACATGAGCAGATCTATCACCTGACCACAGACACAGAGAAAACCCAACTGAGATGATCTGAACCTGCCTGGACTGGAACAGCCCAGCTGACTCACAGAAGAGCAAGCTGAATAAAAGGCTGTGGTTTAAGCCGCAAGGTTTTGCAGTAGTTTGTTATACAGAAAAAGCTAACTGATGTAGCAGGCCTTTAGTGATTTCCCCCACCCCCCGAATTTATGTTCCCATATTTATGTATTCAGATTATAACACAATGTTCATCTCCATCATGTTCTTTGGATGGTTGTTCATGAGTCTGCCTCCCCAGTAGACTTTGGATACTCCAAGGGTAGGAGCACTATTTGGAGGACTAGTAGGATTTGCACACCTAAGGCCTAGCCCAGTGCCAGGGACTAAGAATGTGCTCTGGAAATGTGGATGGACTCCATGAATGTGTGTGTGCACCAGTAGCTCCTTTATTTATTTCCCTCCTACTCCTCAGCTGGGTATATAAAACCTGATGTTTGCTATATTCTTGAAATTTTCTGTTTTCGCATTCTCTTTTGCAGTAAGCGTGCCTTTTACCTATCCTTGTAATTTCTTAGTGTACCTATAGATAGACAACAGCAAAGTGCCCCCAAGTTTTTTCAAAATAGGATTATGTAGTCATAAAAGACACCAGCCAAAATAAAGCCTTTTGATAATAATCCAAGTTTCCTTTTTCTAAATTACATCTTTCAAATAGCATTATGTGATGATTGATTTTTATTTCATTTAGATTTAATTTTATTTTCAATGTGTAAGTTTCATATTTTCAAAATGAACAATCTTCCCAATGAAAGCTATTAATTTCATCTTGTCTAAGGTGATAAATCATTTCCTGTGTCTCTTCACTAAAATCCATGATTATTACTGGCATTTTGGGAACCCCAGGAAGTCATGTGAAGGAGGCCCCCAGAGACAAAATGAAGGAAAAGGAAGATAACTCAGATAAAAGCCATTAACAACTCCCCAAGAAATTTTTGTCAAATAAATCCTCAATGTAAGATTAATAATAAATGTTACTATTTATTAGTCAGGCCCTGTGTTACATGCTGAATATCTCTTTTAATCTTTACAACAACCCCATGCGGTACGTTCTATTACCCTCCTTTTACAAATAAGGAAAGGCTTAGATAATTTAATCAGGTTACCCAGAGTCAGAACCTGGAATCAAACCAGCATGGGTCTGCTTTCAGAGCTGGTGCCTTAACTCTTAAGCTTCACAGAGAAGGGAATGTAAAATATGGTCTATTCATGGTAAATCATGTATCCTCTTTTAAAAAGATAAAAATCAAATAACATATCTAGAGCTTGGAAGGTCCCCTAGAGGCATGATCTCGACACTCTGGAATATTCTCTACAGTGGTGGAGTAGGGGCTGACCTTGGTGTATACTTTGGTTCATATCCATTTCTAATGGCCTAGGAGTTTCAGGCTTGGCATGCCCAAGGTCAGTTGAGGTCGAGCTATCCTCACAACTACCAGAGAATGTTAAAACTGGAAGGGACCTGTGCTAGTTCATGTCTCCAAGTCTACTCCACCTTCCTCCACCCCATCCTCTTCCCTGGGAAACTGACATGCTGTTTGGCTTCAATGGGTTCAGCCAGTGGAGAGTCCAGGGAAGGATATCAGAGGGAGTGGGAAGGTGGAGAGTGGACTCCCTGCTTGTAGGCCCACCTTGCACTGGCTGTGCCCTTGTCTGGAAGTCACTGGTCTTTTTCAGAGGGCCTTTTCTGCGTGACTCCTTCCTTCTGGACCATGTTTTGTCCTCTTCCCTCCTCCCTGTGGGCCTGGGATGGCGAATGTTCTGTTGCTGAACTCTTATGGTTTTCCTACTGAGAGGTGACAGCGTGCTGGCAGCTCTCACAGCCCTCGCTCACTCTCGGTGCCTCCTTGGCCTCGGTGCCCATTCTGGCCATGCTTGAGGAGCCCTTCAGCCCACTGCTGCACTGTGGGAGCCCTTCTCTGGGCTGGCTGAGGCTGGAGCCAGCTCCCTCAGCTTGTGGGAAGGTGTGGAGAGAGAGGCACGAGCGGGAACCGGGGCTGTGCATGGAGCTTGAGGGCCAGCTGGAGTTCCGGGTGGGCGTGGGCTTGGCGGGCCCGCACTCGGAGCAGCCGGCTGGCCCTGCCACCCCAAGCAGTGAGGGGCTTAGCACCTGGGCCAGCAGCTGCAGAGGGTGTGCCGGGTCCCCCAGCAGTGCTGGCCCACCTGCGCTGTGCTAGATTTCTAGCCGGGCCTTAGCTGCCTCTCCTCGGGGCAGGGCTTGGGACCTGCATCCCACCATGCCTGGGTCTCCCCTACACCCACCGTGGCCTCCTGCACTGCCTGAGCCTCTCCGACGAGTGCCACCCCCTGCTCCACGGCGCCTGGTCCCATCCACCACCCAAGGGCTGAGGAGTGCACCCGCATGGCGTGGGACTTGCAGACAGCTCCACCTGCAGCCCCAGTGCCAGATCCACTGGGTGAAGCCAGCTGGGCTCCTGAGTCTGATGGGGACTTGGAGAATCTTTATGTCTAGCTAAGGGATTGTAAATACACCAATCAACACTCTGTATCTAGCTCAAGGTTTGTAAACACACCAATCAGCACCCTATGTCTAGCTCAGGGTTTGTGAATGCGCCAATCGGCACTCTGTATCTAGTTAATCTGGTGGGGACTCGCAGAACATTTATGTCTAGCTAAGGGATTGTGAATGCACCAATCGACACTCTGTATCTAACTCAAGGGATTGTAAATACACCAATCAGCACTCTGTGCCTAGCTCAGGGTTTGTAAATACACCAGTCGACACTCTGTATCTAGCTAATCTAGTGGGGACGTGGATAACTTTTGTGTCTAGCTCAGGGATTGTAAACGCACCAATCAGCACCCTGTCAAAACGGACCAATCAACTCTCTGTAAAACAGACCAATCGGCTCTCTGTAAAATGGACCAATCCGCAGGTTGTGGGTGGAGCCAGATAAGAGAATAAAAGCAGGCTGCGCGAGCCAGCAGTGGCAACCCGCTGGGGTCCCTTTCCACAGTTTGGAAGCAATGTGTTTTGCTTTTTGCAATAGATCTTGCTACTGCCCACTTTTTGGGTCCACACTGCTTTTATGAGCTGTAACACTCACAGCGAAGATTTGCAGCTTCACTCCTGAAGTCACCGAGACCACGAACCCACCGGGAGGAACAAACAACTCCAGATGTGCCGGCTTGAGCTGTAACACTCACCGCCAAGGTCTGCAGCTTCACTCCTGAGTCAGCGAGACCATGAACCCACCAGAAGGAAGAAACTCCGAACACAGCCGAACATCAGAAGGAACAAACTCCGGACACGCTGCCTTTAAGAACTGTAACACTCACGGCGAGGGTCTGCGGCTTCATTCTTGAAGTCAGTGAGACCAAGAGCCTACCAATTCCGGACACACTACCTCCAGCCCATGGGTCTGCAAATAGTCTTCTTGAACTACCCTAATTGGAATGTGCAATCTATTTCTTGCTGAGACCCTGATTGATACAGAATTTTAGAGATTATGTAGTACAACCTTCACATTTTATGAAGAGAAAACCACGGTATAGAGAGTAAGTGCCTGCTTGAAGCAACTGCTAAGTGGCAGAGCCTGAACTCTGAAGGTGCACCGGACTGACCTCTTGTCTGGAGATCCTCCAACATAACCCTAGTGTGGAAAGACTAGTGAGTGGCACAACATTAGTTGGAGTAGGCATTTATTTTATTTTTAACTTTTTTGTGGAGCATCGTAACTGGGCCAAAGCTTGTTTGCTTGCCTTTTTTTTTTTTTTTTTCTGAGACAGGGTCTCACTTTGTCACCCAGGCTGGAGTGCAGTGGTGCCATCTTGGCTTACTGCTGCCTCCATCTCCCGGGCTTAAGCGATCCTCCCACCTCAGCCCTCCAAGTACCTGGGACTACAAGCACGCACCACCACACCTGGTAAATATTTTTGTATTTTTTGTAGAGATGGGGTTTCATCATGTTGCCCAGGCTGGTCTCAAACTCCTGGGCACAAGCTATCTGCTACATCGGCCTCCCAAAGTGCTAGAATTACAGGCGTGAGCCACTGCGCCTGGCTGGCCAAATCTTTCTATAGTGACTTTTGCTCACGTTATTGCTCAGCTGTACTTAGGCAACTTTTCAGCTATGACTTTTGCCTTTTCTTAGGTGTTCCAGAATAAAAAATTCCATGAATGGGCTTCTGTGTTTCATCTGGTTACAAATTTAGAAGCTGTGTAAGCAAGTGGTTTGTGTGTGAGTGTAATTAATGCCTTCAGGTAAATGGTTTTTGTTCTTTAATAATTGCAGAGTATTCATCAGTTTAATAACACCCATGAACCAAAATGGCAGTGAATCAGGATCTTCTTCAAAGGAAGACTGTTGTTACAGTTTATTGGTAACAATTATTGAATGGTATTCAAGTTTGGATTACTGAGGTTCGCTATTGGTGGGTATACTGGCACAAGATAAACAGTCAATAAATATTTGTCAAATTTTAGGATTGTTTTCTCTATTACTGTGAGAAATGTCATTGGTGTTTTGATATGGATTGCATTGAATCTGTAGATTTCTTTGGTTAATATGGACATTTTAACAATATTGATTCTTCCAATCCATGAACATGAAACATTTTAACTTTTTTTGTATGTGTTCTCTTCAATTTCTTTCACTTCTTTGGTTAATTCCTAGGTATTTAATTTTATTTGTAGCTATTGTAAATGGGATTACTTGATTTCTTTTTCAGGTTGTTTTCTGTTGGCATATAGAAATGCTACTGATTTCTGTATATTGATTTTGTATGTTGAAACATTACTGAGTTTATCAGTTCAGATAGTTTTTTGTTTTGCGTGTGGAGTTTTCAGGTTTTTCCAAATGTAAGTTCATATCATCTGCAAACAAGGACAGTTTGACTTCTTTGCAATTTGAATGCCTCTTATATCTTTCTCTTGTCTGATTGCTCTAGCTAGGACTTCCAGTACTGTGTTGAATAACAGTGGCAAAAAGTGGGGATCCTTCACAGGGAGGGGAACATCACACACCAGGGCCTGTCAGGGTGGGGGGCTAGGGGAGGGATAGCATTAGGAGACTAATGTAGGTGACAGGTTGAAGGGTGCAGCAAACCACCATGGCACGTGTATACCTATGTAACAAAACTGCATGTTTTTCACATGTATCCCAGAACTTAAAGTATAAAAAAAAAATGATTTGACAACCCCAAAAAAAGAAAAGTGGGGATCCTTATCGTGTTCTAGATCTTAGAGAAAAGGTTTTCACTTGTTCCCCATTCAGTATCATACTAGCTGTGGGTCTGTCATATATTGTTTTTATTATTTAGGTATGTTCCTTCTACACTCAGTTTTTTGAGGGTTTTTATCATGCTGAGGGATCCTGAATTTTATCAAATGTCTTTTTCAGCATCAGCTGAAATGATATATGGGTTTTGTCCTTCATTCTGTTAATATAATGTATCACATTGGTTGATTTACATATGTTGAACTATGCTTGCATACCTGGGATAAATCCCACTTGGTCATGATGAACGATCTTTTTAGTATGTTGTTGAATTTGGTTTGCAAGATTTTTTTGAGGATTTTTGCTTCAATATTCATCAGGGATATTAGCCTGTACTTTTTTTTTCTTTCTTTCTTTCTTTTTTTTAAATTTTCAACCCCCTGAGACTTCTACATCCTATCTAGTTTTCTTATTTTTTGGATGCGTTTTCATCTGGTGTTGGCATCAGGGTAATACTGTCCTCATAAAATGAGTTTAGAAGTATTCTATTTTTCAGAATAGTTTTAGTAGGATTGATTTTTTTAAAAATGTTTTGTGAAATGAAGCAGTGAAGCCATTGGGTCCTGGGCTTTTCTTTGCTGGGAGATTCTTTATTACAGCTTCTATCTCATTACTTGTTATCGGTATGTTCAAATTTTGGATTTCTTTATGGTTCAATCTTGGTAAGTTGTATGTGTCTAAGAATTTATCCATTTCTTCTAGGTTTTCCAATTTAGTGGCATATTAAGCCTCTCATAATCCTTTGAGTTTCTGCAGTATCAGTTATAATGCCTTTCTTTTTCATCTCTGATTTTATTTATTTGGGTCTTCTCTATTTTTCCTTAGTTTGGCTAAAGGTTTGTCAAGTTTGTTTATGTTTTCAGAAAACCAAGATTTCATTTTGTTGGTCTTTTGCATGGTTTTCTTCATTTCAATTTCATTTATTTCTGCTCTGATATTTATTATTTGTCTACTGATTTTAGGTTCTGTTTGCTCTTGATTTTCCAGTTCTTTAAGATGTATTGTTAGGTTGATTACTTGATGTCTTTCTACTTTTTTTATGTAGGCACTTATAACTATAAACTTCTCTCTTATTACTGCTTTCACTATATCCCACAGGTTTTGATATGTTGTGTTTCCATTATCATTTGTTTCGATAAATTTTTTGATTTGCTTCTTAATTTCTTCATTGACAACTGGTCATTCAGGAGTGTATTATTTAATTTCCGTGTGTTTGTGTGGTTTCCAAGATTTTGCTTGTTATTCATTTCTTGTTTTATTCCATTGTGGTCAGAGAAGATACTTATTCTTTCAGTTTTTTTGAATGTGTTAAGACTTGTTTTGTGTCCTAATATATGGTCTATCCTTGAGAATGATCCATGTGCTGAGAAGATTGTGTTCTCCAGCCATTGGATGAAATATTCTGTAAATATCTGTTAGGTCAATTTGGTCCATGGTGCAGATTAAGTTCTTTGTTGGTTTTCTTTCTGGGTGATCTGTCCAATGCTGAAAGTGGGGTGTTGAGGTCTCCTGCTATCATTGTATTGGGGTTTATCTCTCTGTTTAGCGCTAACATTTTCTTTATATATCTGGGTACTCCGGTGTTGGGTAGATATGTATTTACAATTGTTATATCCTCTTGCAGAATTGACCCTTTTATCATTATACAATGACCTTCTTTGTCTCTTTTTATGATTTTTGTCTTGAATTCTATTTTGTCTGATAAAAGTATAGCTACTCTTCCTCTTTTTGGTTTTCACTTGCTTAGAAAGTCTTTTTCCATTCTTTTTTTTCAGTTTATGTGTGTCTTTATAGGTGAAGTATGTTAGTGTGTTTTTAGTAGGCAACAGAACACTGGGTCTGTTTTTTAAAAATCCATTCAGCCACTTTGTCTTTTTTGACTAATTTTTGGTTTAATTTTTATTTTTAGTAGAGACATGGTCTCACTTTGTTGCCCAGGCTGGTCTCAAATTCCTGTGCTCTAGCAATCCTCCACCCTTGGCCTCCCAAAGTGCTGAGATTCCAAGTGTGAGCCAACATACCCAGCCTACTCTGTGTCTTTTCATTGGAGAGTTTAGTCCATTTACATTCATTGTTGTTATTAATAAGTAAGGACTTACTTCAGCCATTTTTTATTTATTTTCTGGTTGTTTTGTGTTCTTCTCTTCCTTCTTTCCTTCCTTTCTGTCTTCCTTTTAGTAAAGGTTATTTTCTCTAGTGGTATGGTTGAATTTGTTTCTTTTTATTTTTTGCATATTTGTGGTATGTTTTGTTTTGTTTTGTTTTGAAGTTACTATGAGGCTTGCAAATAATAATTTATAGCCCAGTATTTTATTCATTTATTTATTTTATTATTATTATTATTTTTATTTTTTGAGATGGAGTCTCGCTGTGTCACCCAGGCTGGAGTGCAGTGGCATGATCTTGACTCACTGCAAGCTCCGCCTCCTGGGTTCATGCCATTCTCCTGCCTCAGCCTCCCGAGCAGCTGGGACCACAGGCACCCGCCACCACACCTGGCTAATTTTTTGTATTTTTAGTAGAGATGGGGTTTCACCATGTTAGCCAGGATGGTCTCGATCTCCTGAGCTCGTGATCCGCCCGCCTCAGCCTCCCAAAGTGCTGGGATTACCCCAGTATTTTAAACTTATGACAACTTAACACTGATTGCATAAACAAGCAATAAGTAATAAAAACTCTACACTTCACCTTCATCCTCTTGCTTTTAAACTTTTTGTTGTTTCTATTTATATCTTATAGTACTGTCTGTGCCTTAAAATTATTATTTTTATCAGTTCATCTTTTAGTCTTTCCACTCAAGAGGTGAGTAGTTAACATACCACAATTACAGTGTTATTATATTTTGTGTTTTTCTGTTTACTTATTATTATCAGTGAGTTTTATACCTTCAGATGATTTCTTATTGCTCATTTACTTCCTTTACTTTCAGACTGAAAAAATTCCGTTTACTTGTAGGACAGGTCTGCTGTTGATAAAATACCTCAGCATTTGTTTGTCTGGGCAAGTCTTTATTTCTCCTTCATGTTTGAAGGATATTTTCACCAGATATATTATTCTAGGGTAAAAGTTTTTTTTTCTTTAGTATTTTAAATATGTATGCCACTCTTTCCTGGCCTGTAAGGTTTCCACTGAAAAGTCTGCTGCCAGACATATTAGAGCTCATAGTATGTTGTTTCTTTTCTCTTGCTACTTTCAGGATCTTTTCTTTATCTTCGACCTTTGGGAGTTTATTAAATGCTTTGATGTAGTCTTCTTTGGGTTAAATCTGCTTGGCATTCTTTAATCTTCTTTTACTTGGATATTGATAGCTTTCTCTAGGTTTGTCAAGTTCTCTGTTATCCCTTTGAATAAACTTTCAATCCCTATCTCTCTCTCCACTTCCTCTTTAAGGCCAGTGACTCTTAAACTTGCCCCTTTCATGCTATTTTCTAGTCTTGTAGGTGTGCTTCATTTTTTAAATTCTTTTTTCATTTTGTCTTCTCTGACTGTGTATTTCCAAATAGCCTGTCTTCAAGCTCACTAATTCTTTCTGATACTTGGTCAGTTCTGCTATTAAGAGACTTTGATGCATTCTTCAGTATGTCAATTTCATTTTTCAACTCTAGAATTTGTTTGATTTTTTCAAATTATGAATTCCTTTGTTATATTTATCTGATAAGATCCCAAATTCCTTCTCTGTGTTATCTTAAATTTCATTGAGTTTTCTCAAAACTGCTATTTTGAATTCTCTGTCTGAAAGGTCACATATCTCCATCTCTCTGGGATTGGCTCCTGGTGACTTATTTAGTTTATTTTTGAGATCATATTTTCCTGGGTGATCTTGATGCTTGTGGATATTTGTTGGTGTTTGTGCATTGAAGAGTTAGGTATTTATTGTAGTCTTCTCAGGCTGGGCTTGTTTGTACCCATCCTTCTTAGGAAGGTTTTTCAGGTATTTGAAGGGACTTGGATGTTGTGATCTAAGTTTTTGGTCACTGCCGCCATGTCTGCATTAGGCGGCAGCCTTGTAGAGGTATAAGCCTGCAGACTCATAGAGGTACAAGCCTGCAGACTCATAGAGGTACTGCCTTGGTGGTTGTGGATGAGATCCTGAAGAATTCTCTGGATTGCCAGGCAGAGACTGTCATATTCTTGCCTTACTTTCTCCTAAACAAATGGAGCTTCTCTCTCTGTGTTGAGTTGCCTGGAGCTGGGAAAGGGGTTATATAAGTAGCCCTGTATTCACCACCACTGGGACTGCCCTGGGTCAAAACACTGAGTCTTGCCCAAGGCCCACTGTAACCACTACCTGGCTAC
The DNA here is from genome assembly GCF_000001405.40 of Homo sapiens. NCBI lineage: Eukaryota > Metazoa > Chordata > Mammalia > Primates > Hominidae > Homo > Homo sapiens. The sequence continues at coordinate 90,824,994 of NC_000010.11, read as the reverse complement.
TGCCTGTATTCACTCAAGGCCCTAGGGCTCTACAGCCAGCAGGTGGTAAAGCCAGCCAGCCTTCCCCTTCAGGGAGTGGAGTTCCCCAGGGCCCCAGATGGGCCCAGAAAAGCCACCCAGGAGCCAGGACCTGAAGTCAGAAACCAAAGAAATCTGTGCTGGTGCCACAAGGCAATGTCTTTCCCAATAGTCCCTCCCCCTTCCACAAGAAGAGGGGTCTCTCCCCATAGCCACCATTACCCCAGGCCCATGAGGAATACTGCCAGGCTACCACTGATGTTCACTTAAGGCCCAGGAGCTTTTCAGTCAGCTTGTGGTGAATGTTTCCAGGATTGGGACTCACCCTTCAGGGAAATATGTTCCCCTCTGGCCCAGGACAGGTCCAGAAATCCAAGAGCCAAGGCCTGGAATTAGGGAACACCAAGGGCCTGCTTGGTGCTCTACCCAGCTGTGGCCAAACTGGTATCTAAGCTGCAAGACTAAGTCCCCTTTACTCTTTTTTCTGCTTTTCCCAAGAAGGAATCCCTCCCCTTGGCTACCACAGCTGGGAATGTGCTGGGTCACACCTGAAGCCAGTACATCTCAGAGTCTCATCCAAGGCTCACAGTGTGTACTACCTAGATACCACTGCTGATTATTCAGGGCTCAAAGGCTCTTTAGTCAGGAGGTTATTAATCCTGCAAGGACTACATCCTTTCCTTCAAGACAGTGTTTTCCCTTCTGACCCAATGTGTGTCTGGAAATGTCATCTGGGCACTAGGAAATGGAATGGGGACCTCAGAACTCTGTTTGGTACCCTATCCTGTTGTGGCTCAGCTGATATCCAAATTGCAAGACAACTCTTTGCTCTTCGCTCTCCTCTCCTTAAGTGGAAGGAAGGAATCTTGTTCAGAGCTGCAAGCTGCACTGCCTGGGATTGGGGGATGGTTAGTACAAGCCCTCCTGTGTTACTCTGTGATCACACTGCTATAAAGAACTACCTGAGACTCAGTAATTTATGAAGAAAAGGGGTTTAATTGACTCACAATTCTGAAGGCTCTACAGGAGGCATGGCTTGGGAGACCTCAGGAAACTTAAAATCATGGCAGAAGACAAAGGGGAAGCAAGCATGTCTTCCCCATGGCCAGCAGGAAAAAGAGAGTGAAAGGGGAGGTGCTACACACTTTCAAACAACTGGATCTCATGAGAACTCTATCATGAGAACAGCAAGGGGGATTTTCACCCCCATAATTGAATCAACTCCCACCAGGCTTCTCTTCCAGCATTGAAGATTGTAGGTCATTATGAGATTTGGGTGGGGACACAGAGCCAAACTCTATCATTCTGCTCCTGGCCCCTTCCAAATCTCATGTCCTTCTCACATTTCAAAACAATCATGCCTTCCCAACAGTCCCCCAGAGTCTTAACTCATTCCAGCATCAACTCAAAAGTCCAAGTCCAAAGTCTCATGTGAAACAAGGCAAGTCCCTTCCACTATGAGCCTGTAAAATTAAGAACAAATTAGTTACTTCTAAGATACTGTGATAGTACAGACAATGGGTAAATGCTCCCATTCCAAGCGGGAGAAATCAGCCGAAACAAATAGGCTCTATGCAAGTCTGAAACCCAGCAGGGCAGTCATTACATCTTAAAGCTCCAAAATAATATTCTTTGACTCCATGTCTCATTTGTAGGCCATACTGACACAAGGGATGGGCTCCCAAGGCCTTGGGCAGCTCCACCCCTGTGTATCTGCAGGGTATAGCCCCCTCGGCTGCTTTTATGGGCTGGTGTTGAGAGCCTGCAGCTTTTCCAGGTGCATGGTGCAAGCTGTTGGTAGATTCTGGGGTCTGGAGGACAGTGGCCCTCTTCTAACAGCTCCACGAGGCAGTGCCCCAGTGGGGATTCTGTGTAGGTACTCTAACTCCACATTTCCCCATACACACTGCCCTAGAAGGGGTTCTCCATGAGGGCTTTGCCCCTGCAGTAGACTTCTGCCTGCACATCCAGGCATTTCCATACATCATCTGAGATCTAGGTGGAGGCTCCCAAGCCTCATCTCTTGCCTTCTGTGCACCCACAGGCTTAATACCACATGGAAGCCTTGGTGGCTTCTGGCTTGCACCCTCTGGAACAGTGGCCTGAACTGTACCTTGGCCTCTTTTAGATGTGGCTCCATGGCTGGAGCAGAGTAGCTAGGACACCAGGTGACATGTCTCGAGGCTGCACAGAGCAGCAGGTTCCTGGTCCTGGCCCATGAAACCATTCTTCCCTCCCAGCCTCCAGGCCTGTGATGGGAGGGGCTGCTGTTAAAGTCTCTGAAATGCCCTAGGGGCATATTCCCCATTGTCTTGGCTATTAACATCAGGCTCTTCTTTACTTATGCAAATTGCTGCAACCAACTCAAATTCCTTCCCTGAAAATGGGCTTTTCTTTTCTGCCATATGGCCAGACTACAAATTTTCCAAACTTTTATGCTCTGCTTCCCTTTTAAACATAAGTTCCAGTTTCAGATCATCTCTTTGCTTATGAATACAAGCATATGCTGTTAGAAGCAGCCAGGCCATGTCTTGAATGCTTTGCTGCTTAGAAATTTCTTCTGCCAGATACCCTCAATCATCTTTCTCAAGCTCAAAGTTCCACAGATCTCTAGGGCAGGGGTAGGCACAATGCTGCCAGTCTCTTTTCTAAAGCATGGCAAGTGTGACCTTTACTTCAGTTCCTAATAAGTTCCTCATCTCCATCTGAGACTTCAGCCTGGACTTTATTCTTTATATCACTTTCAGCATTTTGGTCACAACAATTTAACAAGTCTCTAGGAAGTTCCAAACTTTCCTACCATCTTTCTGTCTTCTTCTGATCCCTTCAAACTGTTCTAAACTCTGCCTATTACCCAGTTCCAAAGCTGCTTCCACATTTTCAGGTATATTTATAGCAATGCCCCACTCCTGGTACCAATTTTATGTATTAGTTTGTGATTACACTGCTATAAAGAACTACCTGAGACTCGGTAATTTATGCAGAAAAGAGGTTTAATTGACTCACAGTTCCAAAGGCTGTACAGGAGGCATGGCTGGGGAGGCCTCAGGAAACTTAAAATCATGGCAGAAATAAAGGGAATCAAGCATGTCTTTCCCATTGCCAGCAGGAGAGAGAGAGAGAGTGAAGGGGGAGGTGCTATATACTTTCAAACAACCAGATCTCATGAGAACCCTACCACAAGAATAGCAACGGGGAAGTCCACCCTCATGATTCAGTCACCTCCCACCAGGCCCTTTCTCCAACACTGAAGATTACAATTCAACATGAGATTTGGGTGGGGACACCTAACATCAAACCACGTCAATTCCCTTGGCTGTACTGGTTGGTGTCTCACTAGGTCATGTGTCCCCGAAGTCCACTGGCCTTGAACCCAGCACAGCACTAGGAATTGCCTTGGAGTTGCAGTCCTTGTGACCTAGACTGCCTTTCTAATTTGTTTAAGACCCCAGAGCACCTTAGCCTGCAGTGGCAAGGCTTGCTGGAACTCAAGTTCTAACTGCTGGCAGGGACAATTCCCCTTTGGCTAGGGTTGGTTTAAATGCTCCCTCCATTTATTTCAGCTGAGTTCTGGCCAGGGTTGCTTTTCACTGTGACAGACAGCACTGAGTTCCAATGCAAAGTCCCACAATCACTGTGCTCTTTCTCCCCCAAGTGCACGGATTCTCTATGCTTTGGGGCTGCTGCTGGGGGTTGGGGAAGGGATGGCATCAGCAATTCAAGATTGTCTTTCCTACCCTCTTCAGTGCCTCTTTCAGTGATATGAAGTTAAAATCAGGCACTGTGATTACTCACTTAATGTTTGGTTCTTATGAAGGTGCTTGTGTGTGTGTGTGTGTGTGCATGTGTGTGTGTGTTTGTGTGAGTGTGTAGATAGCTGTTAAACTTGATATTTCTTCAGGGAGGATGATTGGTGGAAGCTTGTATTCATCCATTTTGTTCCACCTCCTGCTACTCTGTGACTTTCTTATGAGATATAACACATAATTTTATTCCACATGAGCCTCAATTTCCACATTGTAAAACTGGGTTGATAATACCTTCCTCATAGGGTTTTTTGATGGTTAAGTTTTTAAAAATGTATATGCTAGAGAGCTTTTTAAAAATAAGTTGTAAAGAGATTATAGACAGTCCCCAACTTAGGATGGTTCCACTTACTATTTTTCAACTTTTTAGTGGTTCAAAAGCAATATACATTTAGTACCTCCTCATCTTATGATGGGGTTCTGTCTGGGTAAATGCTTTGTAAGCCCATCATAAGCCAAGGAACATCTGTGTTGCCTTTACTGTAGTGCTAGGATGTTACAATTGTCCTTTCAATGGACAGACTCAGTGGGACTGTCTTGTAGGACCTATGTTGACGTTTTGTTCTGTGTACAGTACTAGTTCAGCTGCTTGGGATCTTCTTCCTGTATGTATAAAACTCATTTTTAGTTCTTTTGATTCCAAAGGGTTAACTCAAGAAAATTACTAGAAGGCACATTTCTTACAGCAGGTATCCCCCTTTGTAAATCAGGATGTCTGGGAGTGTCCAGATCTTTGCACTAAGCACTAATGGTGGTCTGAAGTTATGTTCAACAACTCTTCCCATGAAAACTTTTCTCCCCAAAACTTCTGAACACCGTGTTCAGATTCTTCTTTCTCGTCCCTACTTCCCTGCCAACAACAACTAAATAAAAAGAAAATCAAAAAGCCATCACTCCTTTAAATTACCAGGGGACCACCTAAAAATCTTTATTATTTCATTATGCAGAACAGTTTATCTCTTTTCAGCCTGACTCAACTGTCAGACTAGCCTAGAGCCATCCCTTTCACAGCCTAAAGACTGTGCCATACCAAACAAAAGACTGACTTATTCCCCCAGGGGTGAATTCTGTGCTTCCCCAGAATGCAGAAGCAGCTTGTGCAAGAATTTCTTTCTTTTTTTAAATAGATTTTCCTTCCTGATAAATGTAGATATGGTTATGATTAATAAAATGCAAATTTACTTAAGAGCATTTAAGCTATTATAGTAGCTTTTTGTCATTCTGTATTTTTTTCAATCAACTGATACTAAAATAAAATCACTACTAAATGTGGGTTACAAAAATGTTTTGACATTTAAAAGATGTTCTTTTTTTTTTTTTAAGATGGGAATCTCTGGGATAAGCCTTTTAGTTTGTGAAACACTTCTTAAACTCCACCCTTCCTCAAAGCTAGTGGGAAGCTAGCTGATGCCAATCTGAATGATTCCTGGTCTGGGGTCTGTGGTGGTATTTGTGTTTCTTATTGCAAGGTTTTGTTCTAAGGAATGAGGCTGAACTAAATCCAGTGTCAGAGAAAAAGTGATCTCAGAAACCAAGAGGACAATTAGAAGTGAGTTGGCCCCAGAAATAGAAACCAACTATCAGGCAAAGCCTTCGTGAGGCAATTTGGGGTTGTAACACTACATTACCTACAAATCAATGGATATTTTAGGAGAAATTAAAAAGGGATGATGTACTCTGTTCAAAAAAAAGGTTTGAAACCCAGCAGATTCCTGTGGGCTTTGCATCCCCAGCCCTAGGCATCTCTGTTTAAAGAGGCAGCTTAGTGATAAGGGAGGAGGAGAGAATTTCTAAGAAGGGGTAGAAGTGTAGACTTATATTTATATATATTTTTAAAAAGTTTTTATTGTTTAGCAGCTTCAGTAAGGTATAATTTCAAGATCATAAAATTACCCAGGGTAAGTGGGTATAGATAAGTATATAGGTCATTTATTTTGAGTGAATTTTTAGAGTTTTGTATCTATCAACACAATTCAGTTTTAGAACATTTTTTAATATCTCTTACTTCATTTTGGGTTGCTGTAACAGTACCTGAGACTGGCTAATTTATGTGTATTAGTCTATTCTCACACTGCTATAAAGAATTACCTGAGGCTGGGTAATTTATAAAGAAAGCAAGTTTAATTGGCTCATGGGTCCACAGGCTGTACAGGATGCATGGCTGGGGAGGCCTCAGGAAACTTTCAATCATGGTAGAAGGTGAAGTAGGCATGTCTTAACACGGCTGGAGCAGGAGGAAGAGAGAGATGGGGGAAGTGCTGCATACCTTTAAACAACCAGATCTCATGAGAATTCACTGACTATCATGAGAACAGCAAGGGAGGAAGTCTGCCTCCATGATCCAGTTACCTTCCACCAGGCCTTTTCTCCAACACTGGGGATTATAATTTGACCTGAGATTTGGGTGGGAACACAAATCCAATCTATACCTTTTAAACTCTAGAAGTTTATTTAGTTCATGGTTCTGGAGGCTGGGAAGTTGAAGAACATGGTGCCAGCATCTAGTGGGGGCCTTTGTGCTGAATCATTCCATGGCAGATGGTGGAAGAATAAGAGAGTGTGAGGCCAAGAGAGTGTGAGAACATGAGAGGAAGCAGGGGCCAAACTCACTTTTTTTCTTTTTTTGAGATGGAGTCTCACTGTGTTGCTCAGGCTGGAGTGCAATGGTGCGATCTCGGCTCACTGCAACCTCCACCTCCTGGGTTCAAGCAATTCTTCTGCCTCAGCTTCCCAAGCAGCTGGCATTACAGGTGTGCACTATCATGCCCAGCTAATTTTTGTGTTTTCAGTAGAGACAGGATTTCACCATGTTGGCCAGGCTGGCCTTGAACTCCTGACCTCAGCATCAGCATCCCAAAGTGCTGGAATTACAGGCCTGAGCCACTGCACCAGTTGCAAACTCACTTTTATATCAAGACCACTCTTGTGATAACAGTGTTACATTAATGAGTGCAGAACAATGTTACGTTAATAAAGGCAGGGCCCTCAATGACCCAAACACCTCCCATTTGGCCCCACCTCCCACCATGGTTGCGTTGGGGATTAAGATTCCAACATATGAACACATTTAAACCACAGCAACCCCCAAAAGTTCCCAGTGCTCTTTTATAGTCTATACCCACTTCTGTCCTCTAGTTCCAGGCAACCATTCACTTTCTGTCTATAGATTTGCCTTTTCTATAAATAGACTCATAAAATATGTATTCTTTTGTGTATATCTTCTTTCACTTTACATAGTTTTGAGGTTCATGGATATTGCAGTGTATATCAGTAGCTCATTTTGTTTTCTGAATAGATTGTTTTATGAGTATAGCATATTTTGTTTATTCTTTCAACAGTTGAAAGACATTTTGAAATGTTTCCACTTTCTTGCTATTATGACTAGTTATATTATGAACATTTATATACCGGTTTTTCTGTGGACTGACAACCGAAATGAGTGATTAAGGCACAAGTCTCAAATCATTGAGGTTTATTGAGCCACCTTAAGGGCTTGCCCAGGAAAATCTTGAGTCACAGAAGCACCTATGACTTTTTCCAAAGAGGTTCTCAGGAAGTTTAGTGTTTTACATTTTCCTTAAAAAGGGTGGGGGATGGGGCAGCAGTGAGACAAATTATTACATACTTATGAGAGTTTAGTTAGTGCCCAGTAAATCTACATCTTACATAAGATAAGGTGAACATTTGAAGAAAATGGGAATAGAGGAAACATATGTCTCAGGGAAGGGTGAAGGAATGATTAATCTCATCTTACCTTAGGGAGGGGTGAAAGCATGTTTAATCTTGTCTTTGTTGTGTCCCTGTGAAGATAAGCTAGTAGTCTTTTGAAAGGACTAGTTTCTTTTTAGCTCTTAGGGAGGAAAGCCTGATGGCTCCCCTGAAGGTGGGAGTATCAGGAAGTGTGTCCAACTTCCCATTTCACCATGGCTGTGAACTCAGCTTTTCAGGTTTCTCTGGGGTTTCCTTGGCCAAGAGGAGGTGTGTTCAGTCTGTTGGATGTTTAGAATTGTTTTTATTTCTCATTTTTCCCCCTTTTGGCTAAGATTGGCCAGAGGCAGCATCAGTGGCCACACTTTCATTTTGTCCCATGTTGTTGCTGAGGTGGTATGGCTATCTGCTTCAGGTCCGTCCTGTCCCTTGGTGGGGCCCTTGTGGCCAAGAGACATAGAGCCAAAAAACTTAACAGCCAATTTAAGTGTTCTAGGCCAGATGGCATAGAGGGCAGGCACTCATCAATGTTTAAAACCTTTTATGCAATAAAAGAGCTAAAAACCAAAGCCAAAAGGCCAGGTTATTTGTAGGGTCTGAATTAATTATATCCCTGAAAACCAGACCTAACAGTTTCATGTGCCCGCTTCTTCCATGATAGTCCCCGGGCTTAGAGGGAGGGTGCTTGTATAGTTTTAGCAGCAGGGGATTGGCAAGGAGAAACAGATCAGGCCCGGTGGGATATCAAATTAGGGAGATTCATAGGCTCTTAAATCATCTGTAGTTTTCAAAACACCGCAACTTCAGTTTTCTCAGACGAAGTGAAACAATGGGGAAATAAATAACATTAATCATTTGACAAAAGAGAATTTATATGTCAGAATGGAAGAGGAACTTATTCCATGAGAGAGCTAACTAAAAACATCATGAAGAAAATTATAACTAGGTTCTTTTTTAGAGACCCACTGCAGAAAAATAATAATTCAAAACAAAAGTCACAGCTGGAATCCAATAATAATTGTGTTATAGTTTTCCTTTGAAATAGAATTTCTCTCTCTCTAATCTCTCCTTTTTTACTAAAAAGAAATGATAGTATGGCCAATTTATGTGCAAAATAAGTTTCAGGAATACTCACAGATAGTTTCCAAATTTTGGAGAACTCAGAGAGGTATATTCTGCTCACAAAAGTATGCTTTACAATCAGAGTAGCAGCCTTCCAAGCAGGACATTGTCCTTTCATCTTGGAGCTACCATCCACAAACCAAGCAGCTCTTTATCAGTCAGGTGAGAGCTATTTATTGGGTAATGTAAAATCCAGGAGCTCCTCGCATAGCTTCAGACGCAGTCCTAGGGAGAAAGTAGCTCTTTGCTCATGAGTATCTCCTCGTTGTACACTCCAGATGGCATCATCCTATATAAACCATTTCCATTTTATTAGGGAACCCTGGGCACTTCAATGGGGCACTGCTATCCCTGTTAGCATAGGGATAGCTTCACTTAATGTCCCTTAGCAAGGCAGTAAATGCTCCTCAAGTGGAAATTCTCTTAAAGTCTCAGTAATCATCATTGGGAAGTGCTCACAGACTTTTGCCAAAACCTGCAATAAATGCTCTACAAAGGGCTATCAAAGTACAGAATTTGTTCCCACCAGCATTCTAGCTTTTACTCTCCACTCTGTGGGCTTGGGCAATCTTACTGGTTCTCATTTAGCATGTCCATTTTTTTTTTCTTCAACTTTTAAGTTCAGGAGTACATATGCAGGATGTGCAGGTTTGTTACGTAGGTAAACGTGTGCCATGATGGCCAGTTGCACATATCATCCCGTCACCCAGGTGTCAAGCCCAGTGTTCATTAGCTATTCTTCCCAATGCTCTCCCTCAGGCCCCCCACAAAAGGCCCCAGCATGTGTTGTTCTCCTGCCCGCACATGTCCATTTAATATTGCCTGAGGGGCGCATTTACATCCTTTCTGTTTTATAGTACTAGGTAGGGGAAACCTCTCCCAGTCAGATACAAGATCCATTTTTATAAACATTTAGGTAAAGAAGACACAATCACTTTAGAAAATGCCTGTTTAAACATTCCAACTTTTGCCTGTAATCCAAGCACTTTGGGAGGCTGAGGCAGGTGGATCGCCTGAGGTCAGGAGTTCAAGACCAGCCTGGCCAACACGGTGAAACCCTGTCTCTACTAAAAATACAAAAATTAGCTAGGTGAGGTGGTGGGCGCCTGTACTCCCAGCTACTCATGAGGCTGAGGCAGGAGAATTGGTTGAACCTAAGAGGCAGAGGTTGCGGTGAGCCGAGATCGCACCACCGCACTTCAGCCTGGGCAACAGAGTGAGACTACATCTCAAAAAAAACAAAACAAAAAAAAAAACAAAAAAAAAATCCAACTTTTGCAATCCTGCATTTTTACATTCTGGTCCCAGAAACTTCTTTTATGACCGTTTTACCCTTTCTTTTGAAAAGGACCTGGGTTCCCAGCAGGAGGTTGAGCCAAGGGACTTAGGCCCTTTTGTCAATCCATATCTTGGTTCACCTGCCTCACTATGCCCCAGGCAATTATTGGCCAGCTTTCTCATTGTAATCTTTGTCTTTTGACTTTTTAAAAAAATTTCTCCAATCTAGGGTAAAGGGAATAAAAAGGTTTGGGGCCCTTTAATGCTGGGGAACTAGCAAAATCCCTTTGGTCCATCCAGCCCTTGGTAATGTTGTACTAAGACCTTTGTTTTAACCCCATCAGTTTCTATTTTATTCGTTTAATTTCTTAATAACCATCTAAAGACTTCTACTACCCTGATGGGATGAATCCCATGTTTCTCTCTCATTTCTTCTCTGAGTTTCATTGTTTTTCTATCATTGTTTTCTTTCTTCACCTTATTTTTTAGAATAACCATTTAAAAATTTCCACCTTCCTGGAATGAGTCCTTTGACTCTCCCTTTTGCTTTTCCCCATGCTCTTCTTAATTACTTTAATGTATTATTAGCATCTGTAAGACCCATGAGGGGAAGCTGAAACAGCCAATTTGCTACGGCTTCTCGTGTTGTTCTGGACAACAGTAGGAGTAGCATTACATAGGGTGCCCATTTGGAAGGAGCCCCTTTAGCCCCTATAACCACAGCATTTATCATGAACTAGGTAATGGGCATATTTAGTGGGTGAATATTCCTATCATCATAAAGTGAGTCCCTCATGGCTTGTAGATGAAGCACATCAGCAGCTGCATCTGGCGTGCTCCACTTGGCATTACTAAGTAGAGTTGGATAGTTCCCCTTCTTAGGGCTTTTATCCAGTCCACTAGGCTAGCTATGAAACAGCACCATTGTCTGGAGTAAATACCTGAGGTTTGTCATCTCATGCCAAGGAAATCAATTAAGTGGTCACAAGAAGTGGGTTTAGGAGCGGAGGTTTAATAGGCTAAAGAAAGAGAAAGGAGAACAGCTCTCTCTCTTGCGAAAGAGAGGGGCACCTGAATGGGACTTCTGGCCCACTGTGGAGTGTACCGGATTTTATAGACAGGCTTGAGGAGGCTATGACTGATTTACATAGGGCCCATAGATTGGTTGGACCAGGTGCGATGTTTACATAGCTGGTGAGGAAGCTGGTCGTCCCACCCTAATCTTATTAGGCAAATGGAGTCTTTGCCTGGCCAGCGCCATGCTGTCTTTTCCTTACTGTACATGTGGTTTGGCAAGGAGAAGGGAAGATGGAGATGCCATTTTGAACCTGCCTAGCCCCAGGTAGCCATTTCCTATTGGCACAGCTGCTGGCATTCACCCTTGCAAGCTTCTAGCTTGTGTGTCTATGTCTGCAGCTTGATTTTACAGGTTGCTCTTTGTTAGAAAAGAAATGATTTTGGGGCTGCTTTTCATTGAAAGGAAAACCTTACCAAGGACTCCCGAACCCTCACTATCTAAATAATTTCTTTTTTTTTTTTTTGACACGGAGTCTCACTCCATGACCCAGGCTGGGGTGCAGTGGCATGATCTTTGCTCACTGCAACCTCTGCCACCCGCGTTCAAGCGACCCTGTGGCCTCAGCCTCCCCAGTAGCTGGGACTACAGGCGTGTGCTACCATGCTTGGCTAATTTTTATATTTTTGGTAGAGATGGGGTTTCACCATGTTGGCCAGGCTGGTCTTGACCTCCTGACCTCAGGTGATCGGCCCGCCTCGGCCTCCCAAAGTGCTGGTATTATAGGTTTCATGCGCGTCCGTGTGAAGAGACCACCAAACAGGCTTTGTGTGAGCAATACAGCTTTTAATCACCTGGGTGCAGGCGGGCTAAGTCTGAAAAGAGAGTCAGCAAAGGGAGATAGGGGTGGGGCCGTTTTATAAGATTTGGGTAGGTAAAGGAAAATGACAGTCAAAGGGGGTTTGTTCTCTGGCGGGCAGGAGTGGGGGTTGCAAGGTGCTCAGTGGGGGAGGTTTTTGAGCCAGGATGAGCCAGGAAAAGGAATTTCACAAGACAATGTCATCAGTTAAGGCAGGAACAGGCCATTTTCACTTCTTTTGTGGTGGAATGTCATCAGTTAAGGCGGGGCAGGGCATATTCACTTCTTTTGTGATTCTTCAGTTACTTCAGGCCATCTGGGCGAATATGTGCAAGTCACAGGGGATGCGATGGCTTGGCTTGGGCTCAGAGGCCTGACATTCCTGCCTTCTTATATTAATAAGAAAAATAAAACAAAATAGTGTTGAAGTGTTGGGGTGGCGAAAATTTTTGGGGGGTGGTATGGAGAGAGAGAATGGGCGATGTTTCTCAGGGCTGCTTCGAGCAGGATTGGGGTGGCTTGGGAACCTAGAGTGGGAGAGATTAAGCTGAAGGAAGATTTTGTGGTAAGGGGTGATATTGTGGGGTTGTTAGAAGAAACATTTGTTGTATAGAATGATTGGTGATGGCCTGGATATGGTTTTGTATGAATTGAAAAACTAAATGGAATAAGAGAAGGAGAAAAACAGGTATAAAAGGTCTAAGAATTGGGAGGACCCAGGACATCTGATTAGAGAGTGCCTAAGGAGATTCAGCATAGTCCTGCCAGCAAAGATTATTTATTTACTTCAAGAGTTAAGAGTGGCAGTTTGGGGATAGCACCAGGAGATATCAGCTGTGATGGCTTGGAGAAACAGTGTAAACCGGCAGTGTAAACAAGAGCAGGGCATGTATGAGTAGCTGAGAATGGTGAATAGGAGTATGACTAGACAGAAGATAGTAGGGATGACAAGTTTTTTTGGGGCACAGTCTAAGTTGGTCTGGTGTCTGGAATGAGACTGGGGCCTAATAAAAAGGAGCGTCTATACAGGAGCTCAAATGGGCTGTACCCTGTAGCATTCTGAGGACAGGTCTGACTTCTGAGAAGGGAAAGTGGTAAAAGTATTGTCCAGTCCTTTTTAAGTTGGTGGCTGAGCTTGGTGAGGTGTGTTTTTAAAAGACCTTTAGTCTGTTCTACTTTTCCTGAAGACAGAGGACTGTAAGGGATGTAAAGGTTTCACTGAATACTAAGAGCCTGAAAAACTACTTGGCTGATTTGACTAATAAAGGCTGGTCTGTTATCAGACTGTATAGAGGTGGGAAGGCTAAACTAAGGAATTATGTCTGACAGAAGGGAGGAAATGACTACGGTGGCCTTCTCAGACCCTGTAGGAAAGGCCTTTACTTATTCAGTGAAAGTGTCTACTTAGAATAAGAGGTATTTTAGTTTCCTGACTCGGGGCATGTTGAGTAAAGCTAATTTGCCAGTCCTGGGCGGGGGCAAATCCCTGAACTTGATGTGTAGGGAAGAGAGGGGGCCTGAATAATCCCTGAGGAGTAGTAGCATAGCAGATGGAATACTGAGAAGTTATTTCCTCGAGGATAGATTTCCACAATGGAAAGGAAATGAGAGGTTCTAAGAGGCGGGCTAGTGGCTTGTACTATAGCATAGCCTGCCTTTGCTGGTGTGTGGCGATTACGCCTGGTGGAACTGCCATCAATAAACTAAGTGTGATCAGGGTGAGAAACAGGGGAGAAGGAAATGTGGGGAAATGGGGTGAACGTCAGGTGGATCAGAGAGATGAAGGAGCTGGGGAGCAGAAAGTATAGGCATCAGGTGTGAGGAAGAAAATAGATTTTGGAAATTATGAGAGCTGTAGAGAGTGAGTTGAGCATAGTTTGTGATTTTAAGGGCCTCTGAAAGTATTGGGGTGGCAGCAGCCACTGCACGGAGACATGATGGCCAGCCTAAAACAGTAAGGTCAAGTTGTTTGGACAAAAAGGCTACAGGACGCGATCCCGGTCCTTGTGTAAGAATTCCGACTGCACAGCCCTGCACTTCAGCTCTGTGTAATGAAAAGGGTTGGGATGAGTCAGGGAGCGCTCGGGTTGGGGCAGTCTCTAAAGCTGTCTTCAAGGAACGGAAAAAGGAGTGGGGAAAGGATTTAGGATCTATGGGGTCAGCTAGGTTTCTTTTTGTGAGTTTATATAATGGTTTTGTTAGGATGGCAAAACCAGGTATCTAAAGTCGAAAGTATCTAACCATGCCTAGGATGTAGAAGGTGTTGGGGTTTGAGAGATCAGTCAGACACGATCGGCAGAGAGAGCACATGTGTTTTTCTAAGAATTACGCCGAGACAGGTAACAGATGAGGAAGAAATTTGGGCTTGACTGAAGTAATGGGGGATGTCTGTTAAGCCTTGCGGCAGTACAGCCCAGGTAATTTGCTGAGCGTGATGGGTGTCAGGGTCAGTCCAAGTGAAAGCGAAGAGAGGCTGGGATGAAGGGTGCAAAGGAATAGTAAAGAAAGCGTGTTTGAGATCTAGAACAGAATAATGGGTTGTAGAGGGAGGTATTGAGGATAGGAGAGTATATGGGTTCAGCACCATGGGGTGGATAGGCAAAACAATTTGGTTGATAAGGCACAGATCCTGAACTAACTTGTAAGGCTTGTCTGGTTTTAGGACAGGTAAAATGGGGGAATTGTAAGGAGAGTTTATAGGCTTTAAAAGGCCATGCTGTAGCAGGCGAGTGATAACAGGCTTTAATCTTTTTAAAGCGTGCTGTGGGATGGGATACTGGCGTTGAGTGGGGTAAGGGTGATTAGATTTTAATGAGATGGTAAGGGTTGCATGATCGGTCACCAAGAAGGGAGTAGAAGTATCCTATACTTGTGGGTTAAGGTGGGGGGATACAAGAGGAGGATGTGAAGGAGGCTTTGAAGTGGGGGAAAAGGTGGCAATGAGATGTGGCTGTAGCCCAGGAATAGTCAGGGAAGCAGATAATTTAGTTAAAGTGTCTTGGCCTAATAAGGGAACTGGGCAGGTGGGGATAACTAAAAAGGAGTGCTTAAAAGAGTATTGTCTAAGGTGGCACCAGAGTTGGGGAGTTTTAAGAGGTTTAGAAACCTGGCCGTCAATACCCACAACAGTTATGGAGGCAAGGGAAACAGGCCCTTGAAAAGGAGGTAATGTGGAGTGGGTAGCCTCCGTATTCATTAAGAAGGGGACGGACTTACCTTCCACTGTGAAGGTTACCCGAAGCTCGGAGTCCGTGATGGTCTAGGGGGCTTCCGAGGTGATCAGGCAGTGTCAGTCTTCAGCCGCTAAGCCAAGAAGATCTGGGAAGCAGTCAGAGAGCCTTGGGCCAGAGTTCCAGGGGCTCTGGGAGTGGCTGCCAGGTGAGTTGGACAGTCCGATTTCCAGTGGGGTCCTGCACAGATGGGACGTGACTTAGGAGGAATCCTGGGCTGCAGGCATTCCTTGGCCTGGTGGCCAGATTTCTGGCACTTGTAGCAAGCTCCTGGCAGAGGAGGTTCTGGAGGAACGCCTGGCCGCTGCGGTTCAGGCATTTGGAAGTTCTTGTGTGCTGGAGTTGTGGCTGGGGTTTGTCTCACAGTGGAGGCAAGGAATTGCAACTTTTTTCTATTATTGTACACCTTGAAGGCGAGGTTAATTAATCCCGTTGTGGGGTTTGAGGGCCAGAATTTAATTTTTGGAGTTTTATTTAATGTTGGGAGCAGATTGGGTAATAAAATGTATTTTGAGAATAAGACAGCCTTTTGATGTTTTAGGGTCTAGGGCTGTAAAGAGTCTCAGGGTTGCTGCCAAACGAGTCATGAACTGGGCTGGATTTTTATATTTGATGAAAAAGAGCCTAAACGCTATCTGATTTGGGATAAAGAAAAAGGAGCATTAACCTTGACTATGTCTTTAGCTCCAGCCACCTTTTTAAGAGTAAATTGCTAGGCAGGTGGCAGAGGGCTAGTTACGGAATGAAACTGTAAGCCAGACCGGGTGTCAGGAGGGGAGGTGATAAAAGGATTATAGGGTGGAGAAGAGGGGGCTGAGGAAGAATTGGGACTTAGCTCGGCCTGGCGAGGAGGGGAGAGGTCAGATAGATCTGTAGAAAAGGAAGATTGGAGACTCAGTGATGCTTGGGGTTGGGACTGAGGGGACAGGCGGGAGGGAAAGAAGGAAGATTTGGGACGAGTTGCATTGGGAACAGAGACTAGGAAGGGACTGATGTGTAAAAGAATGCCTGGACGTCAGGCACCTCAGACCGTTTGCCTATTTTACGACAAGAATTATTTATATCTTGTAGGATGGAAAAATTGAAAGTGCCATTTTCTGGCTATTTGGTACCACTGTTGAGTTTGTATTGGGGTCAAGTGGCATTGCAGAAGAAAGTAAGGCATTTAGGTTTTAGGTCAGATGTGAGTTGAAGAGGTTTTAAGTTTTTGAGAACACAGGCTAAGGGAGAAGAAGGAGGAATGGAGGGTGGAAGGTTGCCCATAGTGAAGGAAGCAAGCCCAGAGAAAAGATAGAGACAGGAGGGAAGGGGTTCAGGGGTTCTTACCCTCCAGAAAAGTGGGAAAGGGGTCGGGGCGCAGAGATACAAGGTCGGGGCATGGAAATAAGGGATCAGGGCGCAGAGATATAACAGGTTGGGGCGTGGAAATAAGGGATCGGAGCACAGAGATATAAGAGGTCGGGGCATGGACATAAGGGATCGGGGCGCAGAGATACAAGGTTGGGGTACTTGCCCCTCCCCCAGAAAAGCAGGACTTGCCGCTAAGGATGAAGGAGAAGGGGTTGGGAGTTTCTTGCCCCCCAGAAAGGCGGAGAAGAGGTAGAGACATGGAGAGAAGGGGTTGGGGTACTTGCCCCTCCTCTAGAAAAGCGGGACTTGCTGCTAAGAGTGAAGGAGAAGGGTTAGGGGTTTCTTGCCCCCCAGAAAGGTGGAGACGGGGTAGAGACACAGAGAGAAGGGGTTGGGGTACTTGCCCCCCCCAGAAAAGTGGGACTTGCCGCTAAGGGTGAAGGACCAAGGCAGGCGTCCCTGCGTGATCTGACACCTCTGAAACGTGGGTGAATAATCAGAGAGGCGTATCTGCAATTATTAAACACCAAGGGAAGGCTGCCTTCCCAGTCTGTGACCGGCGCCGGGGTTTTGGGTCCACGGATAAAACATGTCTCCTTTGTCTCTACCAGAAAATGAAAGGAATTGAAATTGAAAGAAGGGAGAGATTGAAGAGTGGAAAGGAGAAAGTGGTTGAGGGATAGTGAGAGAGGTTGAAGAAGAGAGTAAGAAGAGGCCGCTTACTCGATTTAAAATTGGTGAGATGTTCCTTGGGCTGGTGGGTCTGAGGACCTGAGGTCGTAGGTGGATCTTTTTCACGGAGCAAAGAACAGGAGGACAGGGGATTGATCTCCCAAGGGAGGTCCCCCGATCTGAGTCACGGCACCAAATTTCATGCGCGTCCGTGTGAAGAGACCACCAAACAGGCTTTGTGTGAGCAATACAGCTTTTAATCACCTGGGTGCCTGCGGGCTGAGTCCGAAAAGAGAGTCAGCAAAGGGAGATAGGGGTGGGGCCGTTTTATAATATTTGGGTAGGTAAAGGAAAATTACAGTCAAAGGGGTTTTGTTCTCTGGCGAGCAGGCGTAGGGGTTGCAAGGTGCTCAGTGGGGGAGGTTTTTGAGCCAGGATGAGCCAGGAAAAGGAATTTCACAAGACAATGTCATCAGTTAAGGCAGGAACAGGCCATTTTCACTTCTTTTGTGGTGGAATGTCATCAGTTGAGGTGAGGCAGGGCATATTCACTTCTTTTGTGATTCTTCAGTTACTTCAGGCCATCTGGGTGTGTACGTGCAAGTGACAGGGGATGCGATGGCTTGGCTTGGGCTCAGAGGCCTGACAATAGGTGTGATCCACCGTGCCCAGCCCAATAATTTCTTTCTAACTTCTATATCAGCTGTTCTCTAAGAATACCCTCCTGTCAGTCTGTATCACATTTGCCCATCTGTGATTTTTCAGTAGTGAGCTGTGTGTCCTGCATCAACCTACACATCTTTTTTCCACTCTGTCGTATTTAAAATGCAAGATACTACTCCAAAATCAGTCACTGTTACAATCCGTTTTAGTAAAGGTTTTTTAGGAAGCTGATGATACTGATGTGCAAAATGGAACAGTTCCTTTACATTATGCCCTCTGGTTTCAGTAGTTAATTGGTTTTACCCTTCCCTCACATTAGCTACCTTCTTGGTAATCACAGGTCTCAGAGGTACTTTTTGTTGCCCCAGTCTATCTTTCCCCTTTGCAGGTGGCTTTGAGGCTGGTGATCTGAGATCAGACAGTCCCTCATCAGAACTTGGTTTGGCCAAGGCCCAGCCCAGCACACTCTTTTACTTTTGTTTTAGCTATTATAGATAACAATAACCAAGGGATTGAATGTTTCTCTTTTTCCTTATTAGTTTGCATTTCCTCATGTATCTTGTGAACCAGTTCCCCAGGAGCTGGATCCATTGCTAAACTCCACTGGTAACTTTTACCTTTAGGAACTTTTTTTTTATTTTTTTATTTTTTAAATTTTTTTATTTTGTTTTTTTTGAGATGGAGTCTCGCTCTGTCGCCCAGGCTGGAGTGCAGAGGCGTGATCTCGGCTCACTACAAGCTCCGCCTCCCGGGTTCACGCCATTCTCCTGCCTCAGCCTCCCAAGTAGCTGAGACTACAGGCGCCCGCCACCACGCCCGGCTAATTTTTTGTATTTTTTAGTAGAGACGGGGTTTCACCGTGTTGGCCAGGACGGTCTCGATCTCCTGACCTCGTGATCCGCCCACCTCAGCCTCCCAAAGTGTTGGGATTACAGGCGTGAGCCACCGCGCCCAGCCTACCTTTAGGAACTTAATACAGCACAGCTGCAGCTCCATACCATGGATGACCCCGTCAAGGGTTCCTCATTCCCTACCCTTTTATCCTTTCTCTTTCTATCCATTTAATTTTATCTGTCTCATTTTTTCTTCATTTTGAAGAAATCTTTATGTAGCCTCCAAACTAGACAAATTTACTTTTTCTTTAGCAAAAAACCACATCCTCATGTTATTTATAACCTTTACCAAAACGCATCTTAGTTTCTTTATGAACTCTGCATGTAGAATTCTCTTATATCTAGTAGTTTTAATTATATTTATTAACAACTATTCTAACTAAGTAACCCTAATTTACAGTGAAAAACCTGGGATTACCTAATATAACATGATCTCTAGATTTTAAATTACTAAAGAAATTTTACAACTAGTTTTACTTATCAAAGATTCCTAAAGTCTCATGAGCTAACAGGCATTTGGGCTAGCATGTTGTTCTGATATTTGATTTAAGCACTTAATTTCCTTTAAGCCTATTGATTAGAGTGCTTTCATAAAATTTGGTAGTGAAACATCACATACACATGCCACATAGAAACATATAGACACATAGAAGCAGATCTTACAGAGTTATAAGATTTTTCATTTGTCAGGTTTCAAAAAATTTCTCTCCCCTAATTTAGAGTATCAATCTCTTTATTACCTGTTTCATACCTTAAAACAATTATTAGCTAGGCAACTCTACATTTGCATCTCCAAACACATGACTCTTAGGGGAGAGAAAGTAGAAAATGCATACCTCAAAGGCACAGAACTTAGAACAAAACAAAGGCAAGCAAGGTTTGTTATGTTAACTTTAAGACACTGTCTTCCCTGTAGTTAAACTTCCTAGCGGTTTAGGTGCAGAGACAGAGGTGCATTTACAAATGATGATTTCCTTTAAAGATGTAAATTTCTTTCACAAAGAGATTCAAAGACTGATTTAATTTAATAGGTGTTCTTTTTCAACTTAGCTTGTGTGTTATTTAGATAACTGGCTTCAGGGTGGAGTCCTTTAAGGAACAGGGACAATAAAGCATGTGGTTTTTAGGGCCCAAACCATGCTTTTCTCATCCAAACATGCAAAGAAATGAGTAGCCCCCTATAGTAATGACCATTTCCTGTAAATAACTGTCTTCAGCCACCCCTAACATTGTAGCTATTGCCCAACTCACCAGCCAGTGCACACACCAATGTCAAGACCTTTCATAGTACAAAGTAATATCTGGTACCCTGCAAAAGCTAGAGACCAGGTAATGCAATATAAAACAGTGCAGAGTTTTAGACCTGAGAGGCATCTGTCTGCTTACAACTCTTGGGTTTTCATAAGGAAAAACAAAATTTTCCTCCCAACAGAGGAGTCTTTGTCAACTTTTATGTTTTCCCCAAAAGATCTTAGATTGTCAGAAATTCCTCCCCTTCTTTTGGTCCCTTCTATGACATTGGAGGTTGCAAGAGGAAGGAGGAACAGACAGGATTCAGAAAAAATAAATAAATAAAAATCCCCAAGACAGGATCCAAAAAGAGAAACAGCATAAAGCTCTTTTAAAAAAAAATTGTAATTATAGCTTAGATATCAGCTTTTAATGAAGCTGACTGCTAACCATAGAAGTCTTTAAAAGAAAAAAATTCTTTCAGATCTCTTATTACCTGGGATAAACAGCTGATATTTCTGGCCTTTGAACTCCTTTACCAAACCTGAAGGAGTGGGGAGGGGTGGTGGCTCGTTTTGCTCAGCTGCTGAGCTCAAACCTCTTGTGGGAGGGGGAGCATGCAGGTGAGCAGGTGCAGGAGCTGGGGGGAGTGCCTTTAGGCGCTGGCAGGAATGAACCCGTACCAGCCCATGGCACATTCTAGCAGTTGCCCACAACCTCTGGAACCCCAGAGGGCATGTGTTACAAACAATGCTCTTTTGGTATTTGCTGTCCAAAGATGGCTAAGTGTTAACTAGCTCAGTGGGGAGACATATACCCTGCCCTCTTGGTACCCAGGTTCTTGTCTGGTGTCCAGGAAGAATCATGTCACACAGACTCGAAGGATGGTGAACGTGGAGGTTTTGTTGAGTGATGGAGGTGGCTCTGAGCTGAAGGGGAGCTGGAAAGGGGATGGTGCGGGAAGAAGGTGATCTTTCCCTGAAGCCCAGCCATCTATGTCTGGGCTCCTCTCTGAAGTCTTGTCTTCTGAAGTTAAGCTGCATCTTTTCCTAGTCTCTGATGCTCAGTTGCTCCTTCTCATCTCAACATTCAGTTGCTTGTTCTCTTTTCTCCTTCTCTGCCACACTGCTCTGCTCCTCTGCCAGTGGAGCTTGGGGTTTTTATGGTTATAGGTTGGGGGCATAGCAGGCCCAGGTGGTTTTGGAAAAAGCAACACTCGGTGGGAGAAACAGGGATGTGAAGTTCTCATTTAGGGCCACAGGCACAGGCTTGCAGGTGGAACCCTTGCCAGGGACTCTGCCCTCTCCTACCCAGTATTTTCCTGCCTCCTGTTCGTACCATTATGGCTTAGCCAAGAACACACAAAGTATCTCCAAAGCAGTGCAAAGCAGTCCTCTTAAGATCCAGAATTGTTACAGTAGGTAGGTAGTCAGACATGACCAGGGCAGGATAGGGCTCCTCTCCCCAACACCAGGAATGTCAGGCAACCATCAGATGATGGTCAGGCAGTTGTTAACTCTCTCTCCAAAATAATAATTGGTCATAGCCAGACTCAGGAAAAGGCGGTCTCCCGATAAACAGAAACACCTGAAACTGGTGATCAGCAGCTTCCTGATAAGATCTCAGGAGTGGGGCGAGTGGGTTCAACCTTGTGCATCAAATGGCAAATAGTGGAGTTTAAGTGATATTTGACCTCCTAGGGATATTCAACTAGTAAGGGAAAAACACCTCAAGTGAGATGTGTACAACTCCAGTAAACGTACTGTGCATACACCCTTCCCAAGCGCTGGCAGGCTACTGCGCATGTGAATACCCTACCCCAAGGGAAAGATCAGGGGAGAAGGGACACAAGACCCTCATATGCCAACATATCAAACCCCAAGTCAAAGGTCGAATGGCACACTTGATCTCTCAAGTCACCTGCTTGGCCCTCTTCCAAGTGTACTTTACTTCCTTTTATTCCTGCTCTAAAGCTTTTAAATAAACTTTTAGTCTTACTCTAAGACTTGCTTTGGTATCTTCTTCTCCTTTATACCCCTCAGACAAATTCTTTCTTCTGAGGAGGCAAGAACTGAGGTTGCTTTAGGCCCATATGGATCTGCTGCTGGTAACAGAATGACACCAAAGACAGCAAAAAAAAAAAAAAAAAAAAAAGGCCACAAATGGGGTACAACTCATTTTTGTCTGTCTGGCCATATACTCTATGGTCTCAGTTTCTCAGCTGGTCATCTACACACAAAGGCCCAAAACCACCATATGCCCCCACAGATGGAAGACAGGAAATCAAAAGCTGTCCATGGAAGGGAAAAGGATCAATAAGTGGCAAAAGTCATACAAATATCAAACCAAAAGGACTGATTCCATGATCATGAATTTTAACTACCAGACTACAAAGTGGAGCAGCTTCCGTTGTTAATCCCACATGGAATCAAAAGCAGGCAGTTTGAGTGTACAAGGGATTTTAACTTTGTTTTAGGTCAGATTTTGCTCTTTAAAGAGAATTTTTAAGGCTAGCTATAACGCTATTACGGATTCTTTTAAAAATTTAACCTTTCCATCAATTGCTTAGAATAAGAGATCTCTAAAATCTTTTTTATTTCCAATAGTGTACTTAGTTCCAGTAGTGACTCAATTCAAAAGCCTCTTCATTTAAAGCCCAGGTGGTAATTTTCCAGGTTTTTACCATATATTCCTGGAGAGGGCATAGAGGAAGCAATCCCCGTGATCCTCCAAAATTCTCTCTCAGAAATAGACTTAAGCCAGCGAAAGACTGCAAAAGCCCCGGAGGGATGGAACTTTTAAGTCAAAACTCCTCTCAAGAGCTTGACACATTCAGAACAGTGTGTTACTTAAAATATTATGTGTCTTGGACTCCTAGTCTTTTCAGATTGGCTGGCTGGCCTGACCCTGAAAAATCATGCCATCTGGATGGCAGAGACTAGAAAAGTAACCCAAGCACATAAAACAAGACAAGAGGGAAAACTCATCCAGTTTCCCTCTCAGGAGCCCACAGCGAAGTTTGTCTAAACAGACACCGGTCTAGTCAGAACCATAAAATGGACTCATCTGCAGGGCTGGCTTGAACAGCAGGCTTATAGGGATTCTAGGCCCATGTTCTCTACCCTATGACACTGCTCTTTATGAGAGAACAACACAGAAAGACAAAGGAAAATGGCAACAAAAAAGGCTATTTCTGAGAGGCAAGGGGTCAAACAATATGAACATTCACACCATAAAGTACCAAAAATACACCAGAGTCACTACACCCCAAGACTAGTCACACAAATCCCTTTTTTCCCAATAATCAAAACTTTGAGACAAAACGGTGATTTTTAACCATCTGTTCAATCAGATTGCACAAGGAGGCCAGGAGGCTCACTGATAAGAATTTCTTACCTATTTGCTGGCTTGTAAGTTTCCTGAGTTCTCTTCATTCTGACTTCCAAAAGAGAAGAGTGATTTTGGGGATCCTACTGGCTATGCCAAATTGTGGGGGCCAAGGAGGAGCTTTCCCCTTGACCCTCTGAAGTTTTGCTGAAAAATTAACTCACAAAAGGCAGATTAATGGGAGAAAAAGTATACAATTTATTTAATCATGTTTACATGGGAACCTTCAGAATGAAGACTCTTAGCTAATCTTTCCTAGATCCAAATTAGGGAAGGTCTGGCTGGGCCACTTTATAATATGTCAAATAAATATATTTTGGGGGGTAAAATATTGATTTCTTTTAACCAGCTGGTGTTTCCGGGGTTGGAGCTTGACTTTCTGCAACTATGGAGTTTTAGTCAACATTGTGGCTGGGAGGAAGAGTTGGTCAAATCTAATGGAAGATAGACTAAAACCAAAAAACAGAAAAAGTGATTTCATAATTTACATATAGTTGAGATCTCTGAGCTTAAGGAGAAATTACAGCCAGCTGGCAATAAACCTTGACCTTCAGCTACCAAATCCCAAAATAAAACCCCAAACCAGCTCCTTACCTGGAGATGGGGCCCACGCTGAAGACTGCTCTCCATTGGAAGTGAGCAAACTCCCTTTTTAGAGGAGTTCTGTGGCAAAATGAACCTTGGGATCTGAAATCAAAAATTTCAGATCAGGGAACCTCAGGAGAAGAGAGCAGCTTTTGAGCATTGGTGATGTGCACAATCTGTCAGAGAGAATCTCTTGCCAGCACTGATAGGAGAATTGCTGCGGGTCAAAGGGGCTGATCTCTTCCCTGAGATCCCGTCAGAGTTAATGAAATGACTGCTAACATGAGTGTGAGGCATAAGTCTCAAATCATGGAGCTTTATTGAGCCACCCTGAGGGCATGCCCAGAAAAAACAGAAGCTTCTATGGTTGTTTTTCACAAAGAGGTTCTCAGGATATTTAGTATTTATATATTTTTCCTTATAAAGGGGAAAGGGTGGGACAGCAGTGAGACAAATGATTACATACTTGTGAGAGTTTAGTTAGTGCCCAGTAAATCTACATTTTACGTAAGATAAGGTGAATGTTTGAAGAAAAAGAGAATAGAGAAAACACGTCTCAAGGAGGAGTGAAGAAAGGGTTAATTTCATCTCGGGGGGTGAAGGAATGATTAATCTCATGTTGTATTTGTTCTGTACATGTGAAGATAAGGTAGTAGTCTTTTGAAAGGACTAGTTTCTATTTAGCCCTTGGGGAAGAAAGCCTGATGGCTGTTAGGAGGGTGGGAGGGTGGGAGTATAGTAAGGCGTGGCTAATCTATCCCTTGTCACTGTGACTCAGCTTCCAAGGTTTCTCTAGGGTTTCTTTGGCCAAGAGGGGTTCTATTCAGTCAGTTGGGGGCTTAGAATTTTATTTTCATTTCTTAGGACATTGTTTTATTTTTCTTGGGTAGATTACCATGAGCAGAATTGCTAATAGATGTGTGTTTGACTTTCTAAGAAAACGGCCAAACTTTTGTAAGTGGTTGTACATTCTCAAATCAATGTATGGGAATTCCAGTTTTGTTTTCACATTCACACCACACTTTGTCATGTTAGATGTTTTCATTATAGCCACTCTAGTGAGTGTGTAGAATTTCTGTTGTCATTTAAATTTGTATTTTTCTTCTTATTAATGGTGTTATCTTAGCCAATTGTGTAATTTCTTTGATGAGATATCCATACACAGTTTACCTCCACTTTTTAATTGGATTGTTTGTGGCTCTATTATTGAATTGTAGCAGTTCTTTATATATTCTGGATACAACCTCTTTATCAGATATATGATTTGGAGGTATTTTTTCTCCCATCTGTTATTTTTTAAAAATCATTACTTAAAATACTTTCAACCTCTAAGTTTTAGTGTGGTGGGGCAAAGCACCAGGTCATCAAAGCTAGGGATAATACAATGTTTAACTATCACCACTGACCAGTCAGAATGGATTTGGGTCATAGGGTGGATGATGGAAAGGTGGGGGACCCTCAGGAGCTTGGAACAGCAGCTGTTTGCCAGCAAGTTTGGAAATATTATATTTAAACAACTGGTACCATTATACCAGTGTATATACCTGGTATGAGATCAGACTTAAATCTTTGTCAAGCAATTTGAGGGGTACAGGAGATGATTTGCGGGGAGTCCTAGAAGTATCAGTGTGGAAGCACAAAGAAGAAACCAGCCTAGAATCTCACCAGTGGACAGCTGGGGCTGTTAGGGGTTTTGATCTAATGCAGACAGATACCGACACCCAGCAGGCTCAATGTATTTCTCAGGAGCATTGGCTCTCACCCCAGGCTTTTATGAGAATCACCTGGGGATCTCTTCATTCATTCATTCATTCATTCATTCATTCATTCATTCATTCATGCAGAGCCGGCTGTGCGGGAAACATGAGTTTTATTACTCAAATCAGTCTCCTGGAGCATTCAGGGATCAGAGTTTTTAAGGAAAATTTGGTGGGTGTCAGGGTGGGGAGCAGTGAGTCAAAGGAGGTCTGATTGGTTGGGCCAGAGATGAAATCACAGGGAGTTGAAGCCGTCTTCTTGCACTGTTAGTTCCTGGATAGGGGCTACAAGATCAGATGAGCCAGTTTATCAATCTATATGGTGCCAGCTGATCCATTAAGTGCAGGGTTTGCAAAATATCTCAGGCACTAATCTTAGGTTTTACAATAGTGATGTTATCCCCAGGAGCAATTTGGGGAGGGTCAGAATCTTGTAGCTTCCAGCTACATGACTCCTAAACCATAATTTCTAATCTTTTGACTAATTTGTTAGCTCTACAAAGGCGGTCTAGTTCTCGGGCAAGAAGGCGGTTTGTTTTGGGAAAGGGCTGTTATTATCTTTGTTTCAAAGTATAAACTATAACTAAGTTCCTCCCAAAGTTGATTCAGCCTACACCCAGGAATGAGCAAGGACAGCTTGGAGGTTAGAAGCAGGATGGAGTTGGTTAGGTCAGATCTCTGTCACTTTCTCAGTTATAATTTTGCAGTGGTAGTTTCAGTCTTACTCTGTCACCCAGGCTGGAGTGCATGTATGATCACAGCTCACTACAGCCTCAACCTCCTGGGCTAAAGAGATCCTCCCACCTTGGTCCCTGAGTTGCTGGGACTCAGGCATGTGCCACCACACTTGGCTAAATTTTTTTAGTTTTGTAGAGATGGGGGTTTCAGTATGTTGCCCAGGTTGGCCTTGAACTCTTGGGCTCAAGTGATCCTCCCTCCTTGGCCTCCCAGCACCAGGCATGAGTCAGTGTGTCCAGCCTGGGGATATATTAAAAAGTACCTATACCTGGGACCCAACCCAGTCCAATTTAACCAGACTATCTGCAAGTGGGGCTTAGGCTATAGGAGTTTTTAAAGCTCCTAGGTGATTCTAATGACATCTACTTTTGAGAATTCCTGTGGAAAACCCAATATTGCTTTGAGTAGGATTGTACCCAGTCCTGAATGAGCTACATAACATGAAGATAGTATTAGCTTTTGCAAACATGGCTTCTTCTGCTGCTTGAGAAGAAGTGGAGATAAAACAACAACTCCCATTTTTTTAGCCTTCTTTAAAGCATATGCTGTGGTTTGAATGTTCCCTCCAAAACTCTGTTGAAATTTATTTGCCATTTTGATGGTATTAAGAGGTGGGACCACTAAGAGGTGATTAGGCCATGAGGGATCTACCCTCATCAGTGAATTAATACCATTATAGAAAGAGTGGCCTCCTGATAAAAGTGAGTTCCACCCTGTCTTGCCCTCTTTTACCCTCTTATGCTCTCTTGCCCTTTTGTCTACTGCCATGAAATGGTGCAGCAGAAAGGCTCTTGCCAGATATGAGTCCCTCAGCCTTGGACTTCCTAGCCTCCAGAATTGTTAAGAAATAAATGTATTTTCTTTATAAATGATCCAGTCTGTGGTATTCTGTTATAGCAACACAAAATGAACAAAGACAGCATGTGACCTCATTGAATTAAACAGTTATCTACCCTGATAATTCATTTCTTTTTTACATGTGAGGAGACAGAGACTCAGAGCCATTGAACAGTTTACTCAAGATCACATAGTCCATAAGGGGAAGAGTTTCTTTTCAGAGAATTAGCATCATTTATGTGAAAGTCCTGGAAACCTTTAGTATTGTCTTGTAAACACCTTCCCAAAATGCAAAGAATGGAAAAGAGGCCTTCAAGTTACCACAATGTATGACCCTACAGAATAACATTGAAACTCTTACTTTTTGTTCTTAGAATAGTTTTTCATTTAGATTATGGCTATTTTTGATACAATTCTAACAAGTTTGCTTATCTGGTTTCCCAGTTGTCAGATTAGAAGCAGAAAATTAGAAAAGGGAGATGAGTTGCTCACAATAGACATATTAAAACAGGAATACATTGGAGCCAGAGCTTCATGGTGGAGGAAGAAAATAGTTTCCTTCTCCGTAAAATGTGTGGGTTGAACTGGTCTCTGAGGCCCCTTCCAGCTCTAAAACTCAGTGTGTTTAAGATAAAAGCTATAAAAAGCTTCAGAAAAACACATAAAAATGAAAAAAACCTAGAAATTTGGACCCAGTGTTGGAGAAATAATCCTAGAAAATTTGGCTGCTTTTGAGGACATACCTTTATCATAGACAGTGCAGTACTTGATGTTTGTGATTATGGCACTGAATCATCAGGAGAAGATTAAAATTTGTCGGTTTTTTTTTTTTTTTGAGACGGAGTCTTGCTTTGTCGCCCAGGCTGGAGTGCAGTGGCATGATCTCGGCTCACTGCAAGCTCCGCCTTGCAGGTTTACGCCATTCTCCTGCCTCAGCCTCCCGAGTAACTGGGACTACAGGCGCCTGCCACCACATCCGGCTAATTTTATTTTTGTATTTTTAGTAGAGATGGGGTTTCACTGTGTTAGCCGGGATAGTCTCAATCTCCTGACTTTGTGATCTGCCTGCCTCGGCCTCCCATACTGATGGGATTACAGCCGTGAGCCTAGCCTTGTCTGTTTTTTAATCATTTTAGAGACAGGGTCTTGCTGTGTCACGCAGGCTGGACTCTAGTGGCACAATCATAGCTCACTGTAACCTCAAACTCCTAGGCTCAAGTGATCCTTCCACATTAGCCTCCCTAGTAGCTGGGACCTACAGGCACTTGTCACGACACCTGGCTTATTTAGAGACAGGGTCTGGCTATATTGCTCAGGGTGTTCTGGAACTCCTGGCCTCAAAGTGCTGAGATTACAGGTTTGAGCCACCACACCTGGTCTAAAATTTGTTTTGTAAGTGCTGTTTCAGAATTCAGGAAAGCACACAAATTACTTTTGAAAGATTTCACTCTTTTCAACCTTTTGTTATTTAAACATCCATAGGTTGGAACATTTGTGTTGTGGAACAGTTTCCCTGATACATTCCTCATTGTTTTGTGGGACTTCTGTTCCTTGATAGAATAATTCAGTTAGTTGTGACAGTATCTTGCATCTATTTATTGCTTGTCAGCCAAAAATAAAATCCTGAGATTCCCCCAGCCATCTGAATGGAACCCTCCCTCCTTGGCCAAGTGCATCCAAAGTTAACCTGAAAAACCAGTTCAGGCCATGATAGGAAGGGGGAGGTTGGACATGCCTCATTATACCTTCCTCCCTTTTGGAATTCAGGAAAAGCTGACCAGCATTAACGTCAACACAGATAATAAGTCTGATTAGAAACATTTATACAATCTATTGTCTCTGAAGCCTGCTACCTGGAGGCTTCATCTGCGTGATAAAACCTTGCTCTCTATAACTCCTTATGATAACCCAGACGTTCCTTTCTATTGATAATAACCCTTTCAACCAATTGCCAATCAGAACATGTTAAAATCTGTCTATGACGTGGAAACACCCCTCAACCCCCACAGATCCCTGCAAGCTTCAAGTTGTCCCGCCCTTCCAATGTACCAATGTAAATCTTACATGTATTGATTGATGTGTTATGTCTTCCTTAATGTATAAAGGCAAGCTGTACCCCAAACACCCTGGGCACATGTCATTAGGACCTCCTGAGGCTGTGTCATGGATGTATTTTTAACCTTGGCAAAGCAAACCTTCTAAATTGATTGAGACCTGTTTCAGATAACTTTTGGGTTTACAACTTTATGCTAATTCAGAGCATTTTTCTTTAAATCTTCCTCTTGCTTTTGTAGACTCCTATCTTGCCATCTCCTGTCTTCTTACTTCTAGTTTCACACCTAAACTGATAATGTCTTCTACCTTTATCATTTGTTTCATTGTTATCATTCAGAGAGCCTCTAAATTTTTGTACTTCTGTCATTACTCTCCTTAGAAAGTGGTGGTGGACATGGTAGAAGGAGGTGCTAATTTTTTTCCGTACGTATAAATGTTTATGAAAAGTGAGTTTGTGCTGTAGTTATAGTTTCCTATCTTGTTTTTTATTTAGGAGAAAAGAGAATCCTTGTGCATTGTTGTTGGTTTGTAAATTGATACAGTTATTATGGAAAAAAGTATGGGGGTTTCTCAAAAAATTAAAAATAGAACTACCATATGATCCAGCAATCCTACTACTGGTATATACCCAAAGGAAGGTAAATCAGTATGTTGATGAGATATCTGCAATCTCATGTTCATTGCAGCATTATCCACAATAGCCAAGACATAGAAACAACCTAAATGCCCCACAACAGATGAATGGATAAAGAAAATGTATATACTGTCATGCGCTGCTGAGTAATGCTTTTTCGGTCAATGACAGACCACATGTATAACAGTGGTTCCATAAGATTATGATGGAGCTGAAAAGTTCCTAGTGATTTCTGATGTTGTAGCCATCTTTACGTCATAGCACAATGCCTTACTCACGTGTTTGTGGTGATGCCGGTGTAAATTAACCTACTTCACTGCCAGTTGTGTAAAAGTATAACACATACAATTATGTATAGGCTGGGTGCAGTGGTTCATGCCTGTTCTCAGAACTTTGGGAGGCTGAGGTAGGAGGATTGCTTGAGCCCAGGAGTTTGAGATCAGCTTAGGCAACACAGGGAGACCCTATCCCTACAAATAATAATAAAAAAATAGCCAGGTGTGGTGGTGTGCACCTTTAGTCCCAGTTACTTGGGAGGCTGAGGTGAGAGACTTGCTTGATTCTTGAGCCCAGAAGGTTGAGGCTGTAGTGAGCCATGACTGCACCACTGCACTCCAGCCTGTGTGATTGAGCAAGATCCTGTCTCAAAAAAATTTAAAAAAGCAGAAAACAAAAATAAAAATTATGTATAGTACATAGTACTTGATAATGATAAACAATTATGTTGCTGGTTTGTATGTTTACTATACTATACTTCTAATTGTTATTTTAGAGTGTACTCCTTCTACTTATAGAAAACAAGTTAACTGTAAAATAATCTCAGGCAGGTCCTTAAGGAGGTATTCAAGAAGGAGCTATTTTTTATCGCAAGAGATGACGGCTCCTTGTATGTTGGTGCCCCGAACACCTACCTTCCAGTGGGACAAGATGTGGAAGTGGAAGACAGTGATATTGATGATCCTGACCCTGTGTAGGCCGAGGCTAATGTGTGTGTTTGTGTCTGTTAATATTGGTTATATGGTTTAAATATGGTTAATATTGAGTGTCAATTTGATTGGATTGAAGGATGCAAAGTATTTTTTCCTGGGTGTATCTGTGTTGCCAAAGGAGATTAACATTTGAGTCAGTGGACTGGGAGAGGCAGACCCACCCTCAACTGGCTGGGCACCATCTAATCAGCTGCCAGTGTGGCTAGAATAAAGCAGGCAGAAGAAGTTGGAAGGACTAGACTTGCTGAGTCTTCCAGCCTTCATCTTTCTCCCATGCCTCATGCTTCTTGCCCTTGAACATCAGACTCCAAGTTCTTCAGCTTTTGGACACCAGTGATTTGTCAGGGGCTCTTGGGCCTTCAGCCACAGACTGAAAGCTGCACTGTCGAGCTTCCCTATTTTTGAGGTTTGGGGACTCAGACTGGCTTCCTTGCTCCTCACCTTGCAGATAGCCTATTGTGGGATTTCGCCTTGTGATCGTGTGTGTCAATACTCCTTAATAAACTCCCCTTCATATATACAGCCATCCTATTAGTTCTGCCCCTCTAGAGAACCCTGACTAATACAGTGTCTTAGTTGAGGTACATTGTACACTTGTCTGTAATTCCAAGGTGATCTTTTTTTTTTTTTTTGAGCTTTCTTAAAAATTGTTTTTTTAAAAATAATATTAAATTTATTTTCACTATCTATACTAAATATATATATATATAATTAGAAATATTGATGTACTACTATAAGTAATTTCCCAATATTAAACTCTTCTTGCATTCCTGGAATTATCCTCTTCTATGGTTATTAATGATTCCTTTAGTTGATTTTCAAGTTCTGCCCGTATGTTATTGTGATTTTCACCTCTCTACCCTATCATAATTATGATTATTGGAGATTTGTGTATCTTCTTTTCAGAAATGTCTATGTAAGCCCTTTGCCCATTTTTAAATTGGGTTATTTGCTTTTTTCTTGTTGAGTTGTAGAAGTTCTTATCCGGAATATATTCTGGATATTAATTCTATTGAATAAATGATTTGAAAATATTTTCTCTCATTCCATGGGTTGCCTTTGCACCCTCTTGATTGTTTTCTTTGATTCACAGATGTTTTAAAGTTCTGTTTCTTCACATTTGTTAATTTTTTGCTTTTGCTGCCTGTGCTTTGGTGTCATATCCAAGAAGTCATTGTCAAATCCAATGTTATGAAGCTTTTCTTTATGTTTTCTTTTAGGAGTTTTATAGTTTTAGGGCTTATATTTAGGTCTTCAGTTCATTTTTTTTGTCGTTAATTTTCACATGTGGTATAAGGTAAGGCTCCAACTGTATTCTTTTGCATGTGGATATATGGTTTTCTCAGCACCAGTTGTTGAAATACTGTTCTTTCTCCATTCTGATAAGTTCTGATAAATCCATTTTAAGGGTTTATCAGAACCCTTATTAGATAAGCCTTTCCATTTTAGATGTAAAAATGGAAAGCTGAAAGTATATTTTCAATGTAATGATATTTTCAACTTATGATAGTTTTATCCACATGTAACCCCATTGTAAGTTGAGGAGCATACCGAATGGTAAAGTTGAAAAATGGTAAGTCAAGCCGTAGTTAGTTAGGGACCATCCATAATCTCTTTACAACTTATAAAAAAGCTCTCTTGTGTATATATATAATGTACAGTTGAAATATATATATTTAAAAGTGTAACCATTGAAAAATCCTATGAAAAAGATATGTTTATAATATGCTATAAATCAAGAATTATGATTAATTCCTGCTGGTATAGCTGCAGCCAAAAAAAACCAAACCAAAAACAAAACAAAAAAACCCCAACAAAACAATGAAAACCCACAAACAAACCCAAAAGAGTCCTATTACAGGCTGTATTCTTCATTTACCCAATTAGACGCTGAAGGCTTTAGAACTATAAACTTGTTGTTATCTTATTTTTAACTCGCACTACTTTGCCTTATACATGGGTGATGTTGGACTGGAAGGCAAGAAATTTGAAAATTTGATTCATGGATTCATAATTATGTTTTTGTCATTCAGAGATTGTATAATGAACTTGTGTGAACAGTTTTTAAAATTTTTCATGTTTTTGATAAAGTGGCTTCATACTCTGTTTTATTTCATCCTTGCAACAGAGTCACCTAATCTTTCTGCGTGGTAAATGCTTCTGAAAACGAGGAGTTTGAGCCACAAGATTTTCTGCTCTTTTTACTGCTCTTTAATTTCCTGATGTCTTTTTGTAGTATACTGAAAACAGATTTGGAGATTTCCCAGGTAAATCCCAAAGAACTGTAAGAAACAGCTGTGCCTAGATATTTCATACTTGAGGAGCCAAAACCCCTGTCAAATAATGGAATAATTTTCATGTTTGTGAGAAATTGTTAAGAAAGATGATAGTGATAAAATGGAAAATTATTCAGCTTCAACTTACTAGAAATTGTAATCGTATCCAAGTGAAATAAAACACTTGGAGGGATCATAAACACAATTAACCTTAAAAATTCTTCTCTGGGCTCATTTGACATAGTATATGTGTTTATTCTAAGTGCAATTTTGGGGGCTATGACATTTTAATTTAGGCTAGCCTTGCCATTGCCCGCTCCTCTTCCCCCTTCAATGCACACAAACTAAAATGCTTACATACACCTGGGGCACTCATCTTTTTTGAACATTTTCAATCTCCTACCTCTGAATCTTTCTGTGGTCTTTTACACTTAGTCCTCTTGTTGAATTCTGTTCAGTGTTCAATGTGCAACTTCAGTATTAGGTTATCCATATAACCTTTCTTTAACTTCCCAGTTGAAATTACTCACCCCCAATCTAACTCCCCCTCACTGCTTTAGGTATTGTGTATAATATACATTATTTATGTGTACATACACACATACACTTTGATGGCACTTTCCACATTTGTCTCATTCTAAATATATATATATATCTGTATTCTCTAAATGTAAACCTTCTTGTGTTCAGGTATTTGATAATTTTTTTGAGTTTGTGTCCCACCTAGAAATTATAACAGTTACTGGCCCATGGTAATTTCTCACAATAGAGAAGGGCTTAGGACAAAGTTTTCTGAACCCTGCCCCTTTTCAAAATGAAATATATATGTAGGATTGATAAAAATATATGGAAGAGATGAAGGGGAGTGTTTTATTTGTATGAATTTATTAGTTCAAATTTGTGAGATTTGATTCTTACTGCCATTCAAAAGAGCAATGAGGCTGATTTAACAAACTTCCTGTGAAATTGTTGTTTATGGAAGACAGTTGTAGTCACATCAGTCTAAGCATCCAATGTAATTTTCTCTCTCTCTTACTCTCTTTTTCTGTCTTTTCCTCTCCCTCAATCTCCCTTTCTCTCTCTCTCTCTGCATAATATTGAGAAAATCTAGATTTACATGGATGAGTAGTTACAAATGGCAGTATTTTTTAAAATAGCTTGCTCTTTAGTGTAACTGATACAGTATTTTTAAATAGCTTCTTCTTCAATTTAACTGAAACAGTAGCTCAAAAGGCTAGGAAATGCTTGTTTCAAATTAAAATCACAGCAAGTAACAAGTGCATGCAGTTATTAATTGTTAAATGTTCAGTTTAGAGAGTCAATTAACGGATTCATCAGCTAGTTTAATTTGTCACCGTTTGGCAGAAAATACCATATGAATGTATCCTGTCACTTAATTGAGTGGAACACACAAATGCCAGAGGATTGTATTCACTTGTATGATTTTATGTGAATAGACATATACAGGTCTGAATTAAAAGAACAAATCAAAACAGAAAAAGACCTGCAGTCTTGTTAATCGGTGTCACATTTTTAAGGAGTTCAAATATATCCACTGCAAAGTTTTATTTTGAGGGCTCCAGAAAAAAGCAAAGTTAACCAGGCAGCACAAATTAAGTCATTTGGGGTCTCCCTTGTATTAAAATTTGATAAAGAACTCAAGTGTGGGTAATACTTTTTATTCCAGTTTTAAAAATGATTAATATGTTTAGCAATGAAACTTGAATCAAATGTTTGCTGAACCCTGGAAACACATTTTCATTCCACATGACTAGGATAAAAGGATGTTAGCACTGGGAAGGTACATTGTGTCTAACTCTTTCATTTTTCTAGATTTGAACTGCGATGATGTATATGAAAGTTTCCAGTACAATGTGTAGGGTGTGCACTAAGTAGATATTTTCTTGAAAAAATGAAATGAAATAATGAAATGAATGAATCTTTATGGAACGCTTTTTGCATGCTAGGCACTCTGCTCATAACAAACCCAGGATGGTACTATTATTATTTCCATTTTACAGATAAGAAAACTGAGGCATAAAGAGATTACATAATATGTTCAAGGTCACCCAGCTTATCCACTGCAGAACATGGATTTGAAATCTGGCGCTCTGGACCTCCCCAAATCCAAATGTTTAGCCACCACAGACAGTATACCATCATAATGCATTCAGCAAGTGCAGTGCTTTCCCTAGTGATTTTTTTTTGTTTGATTGTGGCTGATTTTATGCAATCACGAAAGGCTGATCTTTCTGTTTTGTTTATCATTTTCATAGAACTATGATGATTCTTAATTGTCTGTTAACCTTCAGCAGTACATTTGCTAACAGCATTTAAAGAAACAGATCATGTCTCGGCACTTGGATTTATAAAGAACATTTGATTTTCCCAGTGAACCTTTCCACCTTCTTTTCAGTTCAGGCAGATGCACTGATGTGTGTGTGGCATATCCCTCCTGACACAGTTTTATTGTGGGCAGAAGAGAAAAAAATAGCATTTAAAACCAGAGACCTTGTTATTTTTTCTTCTTTACACTTCAATGATTGTTGATTTTGTGTCTTGAGAAGACTAGTTGTGAAGACCATGTAGGCAAAAAAAATCACAAAAGAGTCAAAGCAGAGGCCTTGAGAATTGCTTGAGAATTTATGCTACTTTCAGGAGCTTTTTGTGGTATAACAATGCAGAGCATAGAAGGAGGAAGGAAATGGTATTTGTTTCAAAGGATCATTATTTACTTCTGGTTTCAGTAGTCAGTTAGCCAGTAGATATACTGAGAAACTTAAGAAAGTCCCCATCATCTCTGTTGAAGAAGGATAAGTTGGTGCACGATGACAATATAACATTATATTGCATCATAGTGTTATGGATCAAGTGCTAGGGGATCGCGATAATGGGAGTAAGTAGCTGGGGTGGGGTGCAGATAGGAAGGACCTTACAGTAGAGGTGACACTTGAGCAAGGTCTTAAGGGATAAATAGGAGTTTGCTAGGCTATGAAGTGGGGACTAGAAGTGCAGACACTTTCTGTCTTCTCCACTTTGGCCTGTTACTCTATTTCCCTGAATTTTTTCATCAACCTCCTCTCTTCTGTTTTTCTTTGCTTTTTGTCAAAGGGGAAAAGTAACTAAACATGACTAACTGAAATAAAATGCTCCTTTATTTTTCTTGTTTTTCTAAGAGGTCTTATATGAAGTACATTCAAAATTTTTGTTTTGTTTTACTCTAAACAAAGTATAGGTAGAGCCATTGTTTAATCTTATGTCATACTGATACATTGATATCACAATTAGCTAATATTTAGTAAAAGAATGTGCAAAGAGAGTTGAGTTCCAGTAGCTGTAGGGATTAGGAATAACCATTTTCTTTTAAGCTTTATATCTGGATCCATTCTAATTCTTGGTCTCCGAATGATTGATCTTATTTGCTTTAACAAGTTTAGTGCAGTTATTTGTAGATGTATATATGTAGGCCTTTCCTGTAAGAAGTTGAGATCATCCCTATTGTATTGTGACCATAATCATGGATTTTCCAGAAGAGCTCCGTTTAAAGTGTTCTTTGGTAATTCCTTAAAAATACCAAAGCTGGATCTATTTTGGGCTTGGAATACTGTTTATGTACTAGGTGTTTCGTTTTTGGTAAATCTGGGGGGTTATCAGATCAGCTGTCAGAGGTCTGCAGAATGATGGCAAAGCACCTACATGAAGATGTTTACCTGAGTTACCCAGGTAATTGCTATAATCCCTTGCTGGCTGTCAACCATTCCATAATGGCAGTCTTCCTTGCCAGGCCTTTCTCCACTAGATGGTGCTAACACCCACTGTTGCAGCTCCGGCTCAGGGTAAGGGTAATTTAATAATCAAAGGCAAATCATTTATTTAATATCTATTTAACACTTACGAACCGGACCCTACAGGGGTTGTGAGTAGTGGGTTACGAAGACAACTAGGCCTCAGATCCTGACTTTGGGAGAATATACTCTTATTGTTATACAGAAATAGCAAGGGAGCAAGCGGAAGAGGTCATAAGAGAGGCAGTCTAATAAAGTGGTTTAACATGCGCATTCTGGAGACAGAGTCCCTGGTTTCACATCCCAGCTTGTTCATTTGCTAGTTTACTAGCTAAATTACTTCACTTCTTTGTGCCTCAGCTTTGTCATCTGTAAAATGTGAATAGTAATATTCACATTTCATTTACAATTCCTCATTCATTTACAATTTCTCATCTCTAAAATATGAATGATAATATTACCTCCTTCATATGGCTGGTGTGAGGATTACATGAGTTAAATATGTAAAGCACTTAGCACTATAGCTGACGTAAATCCCCACCCACAGCTACCAGCACGTAAGTCCAGTGAAGGTAGTGAGCTTTGTCTTATTATTTTTTTTATTTTTATTTTTTTTGAGATGGAGTCTTGCTCCATAACCCAGGCTGGAGTGCAGTGGCGTGATCCCATCTCCCTCACTGCAACCTCTGCCTCCTGGGTTCAAGTGATTCTCCTGTCTCTGTCTCCCGAGTAGCTGGGAGTACAGGTGCGTGCCACCACACACAGCTAATTTTTGTATTTTTAATAGAGACGGGGTTTCACCATATTGCCCAGGATGGTCTTGAACTCCTGACCTTGTGATCCACCCACCTTGGCCTCCCAAAGTGCTGGGATTACAGGCGTGACCCACTGTGCCCAGCGGTTTGTCTTATTATTTACTGATGTATCCCCAGTGTGTCTGGCACATAGTAGGCCCTCCTCTTTAGTAAATATGTTGAATGAATAAGGCACGGTTAGAGGATGGCTTTGTGAATCTACCTGAGTGAGTGATGTGTGGAAGTAAGGGTCTAACAGGAGCTCAGAAGCTTTCTAGTTTACTCACTTTCTTCTAGATTTCTGTCCTACTCATTCTAAAGAGGTATCTTATTATTAAAGTATGCCATTTTCCTAAGAAGATCTTCCTGAGAAAATGCAGTAACGCAGACGATGATTTTTTCCCACGTATTGTGCCAGAGAGGAAGGCGTCCATGAAGACCTTTCATGCCTTGGGCACCTCTTACATGGGGCTGGTCTCCTGGAGGTATCACCACTCATCCTGTCTGATTCTCCCTCTTGCCCTCTTGCTTTCTCTCTACATTGAACAAACATCTTGAAGGCAAATGTCAAGACAAGGAATAGGAAGAGCTTAATTTGTCACGTTGAGTACCGCTGTGTGTAGAACTGCAATTTGCATTTTAATGTCCTGCTTATTCCTGAAAAATGGCATTTTACAGATTTCCTGTATTATTCATGAATTTTAAGCTTTGTAGTTTAAAAATAAAAATTCAGGTAATAACCAAGAATAAGAGAAGTTAAACTCTGTCAGGTTTTCTTACTCTTCCCTGGTCTCATGACTTTTCCATCTATTTAAGCATTTCATAGCCTATTCTTATGTTGGTTCTTAGATATTAGGAACAAATACACGTGGAAGTGTTAGCTCAGGCACCACATCTGGCTTCCTCGTTAGCTTCAAATTCCCCAAAATACATATGTGGGAAAAAAAATCAGTGGCCTGCATAGAGAACCATGAACACATACCTAGCAGCAGGGGAGAACCACAGCATTTTCCTGATAATGAAGTGGATGAACCATCCTTAGCCAAGGCCTGCCGTGGGCCACTTGGCATTTACTGAGTGTTAGGGCACCCCGATGGTTATCCTCTGTGTTGGGATGTGTGAGGTTTATAATATTGAGTAAAGATCAGGTGTTAATCTGCCTGCTCTTCTAAATTATGTGTTTTTAATGAAAACACAGGTTGGCCCAGGTTAGAGATAAACCCGACATATGTGCTGAGGAAGTTCCATCCCAAGAAATGCTTGGAATGAGCAGTATTTAAGAAGGAAGCCAGGTGGTATGAAAGCACCTTGTAGAAAGGCCACATCCCAGTGGTCACATGAACACAGGTGAGAAATCACACTTCAGGGGCAGATACATTCCCAGGTCGGGTTGCTCAGCTGGCAGTACCATGGCTGCTTTCCAGCTCTCCCAAGAAGGGGCGTCAAGGCCACAAGACTTTGTGGATTGCTGTATTCTTGGCCCAATTCTTGTCATCAGGTGTTGTGGTGCGTTCTGAGAAGGAGTAAGAATTGTTGGGGAAAAAAATCAGCATAGTTTTGAGGACTAAAGTAAAGTATAAGAATGAACCATAGTATTTCTTAAAATACATCACAAAATCAAGGTTGGAGTTCTGGACGCTCAGTACTGGTTCTTGGCTGAAATGGCTATTGCCACAGGCAGTGTTAAGATTGGTGGGGGAATGCAGAAGTGCAGTTGGTTATTCATATGTATTTAGTGCCTGTGCACCAGGTACTGAGTCATGTGTTATATGGAGAAGTGTGTGTGTCTGGGGGCAGTGGAGGTGAGGAGGCAGATAGACAGACATTACGAAGGTATCAAAGGAATTTACATATAGGGTTTGAAAATCCCCTAGACTCTACTTCGCTTTCACCGAGAAGACAGAGTTCAAAATACATGTCTCTGCCACTTCTTTAATTAGATTGTCAATTAGATATTTAGGCCTTTCTGAGTGATCAAACACTTTTGATGTTTCTAGCTGCCTCTGATGTTTATGGGACAGGTACAGTTTTTGCTACGGTTTTCTGCATGTTTCATTCATTCATTTATTCATCCAACCAATATTTATTTAATGCTTATGTCATATCAACCATTGTACCAGGGTTTGGGTTTATTGCTGACCTGAACAATGAAAAACACAGTTCTTGTGCTAATGCGTCTTATATTACTGGGAATCCAGACAAATCAGCAGGTCACTTATAGCCTCCTGCAGCGGATGATGAGGTGATTCCCTGAGAACTCAGAGCAGGGAGCTCAGTGAGATCAGAGAGTCTTTCTGGAGGACACGGCATCCTAGCTGATATCTAAAAAATGAGTAAGTCTTAGCCTGAAGAAGTCTATGGAATGTTCTCAGCAGAGGAGCAGCCTGTGCAATGGTGGAAGCTTGAGCCTTTTCCAGAGTGGTTGACAACGTGAATAGGAGTTAAGAAACTGGGAAGTAATATAGAACTGTATGTTCTGGAACTAATGATGCCAAGTCATGTGGTCAGCTATTACACATTGTTCTGGATCAAGGTGAGAATCATTAGGCTTTCTCCCGACTGCCTGTCTTAGAGAGTGTGTTGGCTCCACATAGGATAAAGTGAAAGAAGGTAGTAAAGTCAATTCACATTAATCCCCATTCCTTAAGCAAACCTCTTGGCTTCCTGACATTATACTGATATTGGCTCAGTTGTAATTCATTTATTATATATACTACTGCATTTATGATAATATTGGGTGAATGTTTTTAAAAAAACTAGATAGTAGTAGAATTTGTTTTTATGGCTTCCATTTATTGAGGATGACCTA
Source organism: Homo sapiens (assembly GCF_000001405.40). Taxonomy (NCBI): domain Eukaryota; kingdom Metazoa; phylum Chordata; class Mammalia; order Primates; family Hominidae; genus Homo; species Homo sapiens. The sequence continues at coordinate 90,784,504 of NC_000010.11, read as the reverse complement.
TGTGCTGGCATTGTACCAAGGTTTTTAAAAGGGTTCATATTTAAACCCTGACATAGTCCTGTAGGGGAGGAATTATTATATTTCCATTGTGCAGATGAGGGCCAGACAGTCCAAGAGATGAAGTGGCCTGCTCTGGGATGCTTGCCTAAGAAGGATTAGAGCAGGGTTCAAACCTAGGCTAAGAGGATAGGCACAGAACCCCAATACTTGAGCTTCAGAGAAAGAACACAGAGGTATTTAGCACATGATGAAAGGAGAGTTATTAATGGATCTTTTCAGAGTCCTATATAATTAATTTTAAGATAACGAAAGGATTTTAAGAGATAAATGGTTAAATCTCCTCAGCTGGCTGGCAGCTGGCTGGCATCATGATTAGAGAGTTTTGTATGTGGTGTATTTTGTGACAGATAATGTATAAAATGTTATACTATTCCACATCATCTACTTAATATGACTTGTTTTAGTAAGAATGTAATTAATCCCCATCTTTCTTTGTATAATTGTATTGTAGCTGTCAAGAACTAAATGTTCTAGAAATTTTGCTTGAAGTCATAGAATAAAAAGGATAATTATATAGTAACCTTTCCCCGGTGGACCAACCTAGTTGGAAAAAGTAATGGTGAAGAGCCATAGCTACACCATGAGTGGAGCATGAGAAAAGAAGACCCAGGCAGAGGTGAACTGTGTATTAGTGGGGACTCCAAAGTACAGCAGAAACATCACAGTAATTGAAGCAGGTGACAAGGAGAGGCAAACATAAACCATTCAAGTAATGGGGTGGAGAAAATACTGAGTAAAATTTTAACATGAAATTAAAATCCAGTTTATTTCTAGTAGCATTATGGATGGATCAAATATTCTAAAAAGCCTATCTCTAAAAAGCAAAACACTAAAAAGCCTGGATAAAATTTTAAAAATACATACCATTTTAATTGCATGGCTGAGCTGGCAAGAAAGTAAGAGGAATCCTTAGAGATATGAAATGGAGAGAAAGCAAGGGGCCCAAGAGGTAAACCAGTATAGAAGCTATTAGCTTCCATTGGGGATAGGTGCTGATTTCTGGCGACCCAGAACTTTGAATATAAAGGCTGCATTCTGGAGGCAGGAAATAAACACAGGGCTTTTACAAAGTGGGGAGTAAGACTGAAGCTGCCACCAAATCTAGGGCTTTTAAAAACATGACCCAGGGGAGGAAAATTTGCCAGGGAAATTTGCCTTTTCAACTTGGGCACTGGTAGTGGGAAGTCTTTCTTGAGAATCTGTAATTATAGCAGGCACTCATGGGGCTAGGGGCTAAGTTCATCCTTCTCCTGAGGTCCAGAAAAAAATAGAGAAATAAAAACACTTCAAACTGGAATTTAATTTAAAGGGGTCCTGGACTGACAGCACTGCTGGCCTGACAGAAGTAGATGCAAATGGTAATTGGAGAAACAGACCCTTATTACAGGCCTTAGAGAATTCCCACAGTTCCAGTCCCAGTAAGCTCCTAGTCACCAAATCATAAAACTTATCAGGAAACAAGGCACTTCCACCAAAAACTATACACAGCACAATGGATCTGCAGACTTGACAGGTTAGAATTATCAAATACCAAACATAAAATAGCCATGTTCACTGTTTTAAATATATAAAAGATGGAATCAATGGTATGAGCAAGAAAGAAGCAAACAAACAAAAAACACCTCAAAAATGAAGCGGATTTGTGGGAAAGGAGAAAAAGGCCCCAGAATGAGTGGCATTAGAAAATATTAGAAAATTGTACATGTCAATGAACACTTGCGGAGCCTCAGAAGCATCTCCATGGATCAGGGGTTTACCTTGTTTTGGAAGATCTTTGTTGAGTCTTTTGCACCATTTAAGAGCACAATTATTTATTTATTTATTTATCAGAATGCCTTTCCTCTGGAAGAATCTAGGTGATCTCATTCCTTGAAGTATAGGAAAGGTGATGGGGCATGATTCTAGCAGGTTTGATTGCTCAAGGAAGTCAGGAATTCCAAAGATGTTTTGAAGAGATTTAACTTCATCATTGCCATCATCATCATCATCATCATCCCCATTTATACTTATTAGGGGCATACTATGTATCATGCATTGTATTGAAAATATAATATGGATTATTTTACTTAAACTTATTATAATCTTATTACATAATTACTATTAGTAGCCCTATGTTACAAGTGCGATAATTAAGCCTTAGCGGGGGTCAATGGTTTGCTCAAGATTAAGCCTTCTGAGCACACATTTCTGAATGTTGTTGCCTCTGGAAGCTGCTCAGTGTCCTCTCTTTGAAGCAGAGCAGCCAGTGTCGTATCCTGAGGAGTCTGGGGCATTGAGTGCAGTCTCTCGCCCATGTCTGTGGAATTGGAGGTGCCATGAACTCTGCTAGGGTGGTATCAAGGAGTGGAGCTCTCTCACCTGTATTTGTGATGTCCCATGCATGACAGGCCTCCCAAGGCAGGAGCCAGCAGAGCCAGAGGCCAATGCTTGGTCCTGGAGTCCAGCCTGATCCAACCCAGGCAGAGAAGTGAGAGAGTCAAGGTCTGCAGTCAAAGGAGAAAGTGCCCAAAGCAAGGAAGAAAGGCTGGGGGCTTGGAGAAAGCCTTGAGTAAGGTACCAATTGTGGTTTGACTGCTGCCTGTGCTTACTATGGCCACAGGCAGGGTTATGCCGTTAACTAAATTGTAATGGGCAAAGAACAGTGGCTAGAGGGCTTTTTCCAGCTAAATCTAGATTTTGATGTAGAAAATCTGAAGCATGAATATTTCTTTAAGTTGATGGGGAAGGACTTTAGTTCTGATTCTCTGCCTAAGATAAATAAACGAAGAAGCTTTATTATATAACAAGATAAAATGTTTGAAATAAGGACATTTGAAATCAGATTTTTTATTTCCTGGTAGAATAACACACAGTATTTTCTAGGAAAAGGATTTTTTAAAAAATCAGTTCTTATCTTCAATTAGAAGATAAATAATAGCATTGTGTTGACCATGTATTACCCTTCTGATGTCTTCTGGATCTTGTGGGGAATATGAAGTTAGTTTTCTAGTTGTTTCCAGAGGAGAATGTCTGAAAGACTTTTTTTCTCTTCGAAAGAGTTATTTAAAAGTAAAACTTTAAAAAGTTGTTGCTCATTTGTTAGGGGTTCGGCTTAAATTCCTTATTCTCATAATTCAGCTTTAAAATTGATAGGATGTGTTTATATATACTAATAGGGAGATGCCATATATATATACTGTGGAGAAAAGAGCAAGTTTTAGAATATGCAAAATATGATCTCATTTTTAGGAAAAGATTACATATCAACATACATAAATAAATTATGCATAGAGAATTTCTGGAGGAATACACTTAACAATGATTACTTCTAAGAGCAGTATTGGGGATCTAGGGTAGAAATGGGGGAGAGGACTTCCACTTTTCAATTCATACTATTTTGCATTATTTGAAATTTTGCTGTGGTCATATATTGTTTTCTAATCTAAAAATTAAGAAAAGTTTCAGAATATTAAATTTCAAGCCATATCTGTCATAGATGTAAACGTTTATTCCTTGCACGGGAGTTTTGTATATGTTTTCTTCTTCAAACCAATGGAACTCTTAGGAAGGGTAGGAAACTAAAGCATGTGGTCCCACAACATTCCAGGCACTAGGGGTTATGTCTGTCTCTTTCTGGGATAAAGAAACAGACCACTTCCAACAATCCCGTTGGATTTTACTTCTTAGCAGATTTATACATGTGGAGAGTTTGATTTTGTCATTCTTGATGATATTGGTTGACCTTTGTCCTGAGTGTGTGTGAGTGTGGGTCTGTTCCACTGCCCTGTGGTGTTGTGCCTCTCACTGTTTCTTGGCACTCTCTGGGTTGCTATTTGTGTATTCATTTAATCATTTATCATTTATTTACGAATCACTTTCCATGTGGCACATACTGTGCTTCATTCTTGAATTTTTTTTTTTTTTTTTTTGAGATGGAGTCTCACTCTGTCGCCCAGGCTAGAGTGCAGTGCCACGATCTCGGCTCACTGCAACCTCCGTCTCCTGGGTTCAAGCAATTCTCCTACCTCAGCCTCCCGAGTAGCTGGGATTACAAGTGCCCGCCACCACGCCCAGATAATTTTACGCATTTTTAGTAGAGATGGGGTTTCACCACATTGGCCAGGCTGGTCTCGAACTCCTGACCTCAGGTGATCCGCCTGCCTTGGCCTCCCAAAATACTGGGATTACAGGCATGAGCCACCGCGCCCGGCCGAATTTTATTTTCTTACTGTTTACTTATGTATTTTTGTAGAGACAGGGTCTTGCTATGTCACCCAGGCTGGTCTTGAACCCTTGACCTCAAGTGATCCTTTGGCCTCAGCCTCTCAATGTGCTGGGATTTCAGGTGTGAGCCACGACACCTGGCCTCATACTTGAAATTTTAAAGGACAAGTGATACACTTATAGAAGCTTGTAATTTTGAGTAAGATAGACAATAACATGATGTGACCAGTGCAATGATATGGACAGAGTTCTAACCTAGCCTGCATGCAGGGCTGGAGGGTGAAGGATGACTGATGGGAATACAGATTAACCAAGAAAAGGGTTGGGGATGGGGTGTCCTAAGCACAGGGGCCACACTACCCTAAAGTATGGAGGTAAAAAATAACATGGAATGTGTGTTAGGCATTTGTGTCGCTCACAAATATTTCCATTTGTCCTCCATCTGGACACGTGACAAATTGCACTTCCCTGCCTCCTTGTGGTTCATCAAGGTTATGCAATGTGAGGAGAAATGACAAATGTTTTTTCTGGGTGAGATCATTTAACTATGGGTGTCAAGTTCTCCAGAGCACTCTTCCCCTGGCCTGGGCATTGTAGGAGTATCTTGACACAGAGAGGTATTACTTAGCCATAGTATGGAGGAGAGCTGGCCTAAAGAGTTGCCTGGACTCAGAGAAGAGGTGACGAGTGAAAAATGTACATTTGTTGTGATTTTGGAGTTGTTTGTGACCAGCCCATAACCTAGCTTCTTTGGACCAGTGCAGTATACGAGAAACAAAAAGCAGGTGGAGGCAGGGAGTCAGCAATGAGGCTGGAGCAAAACGCAGGGTCAGAGCAGGGAAGGCCTTGTCTTCCTTCTTGGGACAGAACATTGCCCACTTCTCACAATCACATCAGGTTTTATTTCTTAGCAGATTTAGAAGTACAGAGAATTCTATTTTGTCATTCCTGGTGATGTTGGTCCCTCTTTCTCTATTTGTCCTAACTTTTCCTCTGTTCTAACATTCTCTGCTCCAAAGGGGGAGAAGGACAAACTGGAAAAATCTTTTAAAAAATCTTCAAGAGGCACTATGTTTCTTCAGGGATGGCTCCTGGGGGCTGTGCAAGGAAACAACACTATGAAGTGGCATGTTTAAAATCCTTCCTCCTGGCCTTTCATCAGTGAGAATCAGGGCAGCAGTTCTCTCCCTTCATGGTGGTTGACTCCCTCAATCTAGCACACTGTGCAGAAAGTTTGGAGTGCCTGATCTCTTCTCCTGATGGGGGTACACCAGCTGGGGGTTATGCAGGAACAAGGCAAAGGTCAGGGTGCCTGAGGCCAAGGAAGACTGTTTTGAAGTTGTATCTGGAGAGTGTTGGGATCAAAGCTAAAAAATTCAAGTTCAGACTTGAGTTGGGAAGAGTAGAGGTAGAAGCAGATCACATGGAAAATAGTATCCAGGAATGGAGACACATTTAGACAGTGGAAGAGACAGGAAAACAGTGAGTGTGGGCAAGTGGAAAGCCACCTAAATTAAGTACAGAGGTAGAGGGTGAGTATATAGTGTATGTTTCTGTGGGAGACCCCACTTCATTTAAAGGAGCCACGTTTGAGCAGTCATAGCAGTGGGACTTTTCGTTTAGTACAGTCTCTGTTTTAGGATGTCTTAGCTTATTTTCTGTTGTTTGTAACATAATACCTAAAACTGGGTAATTTATGAGGAAAAGGAATGTATTACCTACAATTATGGAGGCTGAGAAGTCCAAGGTTGAGGGGTCACATCTGGTGAAGGCCTTCTTGCTGGTAGGGACTCTGCAGAGTCCCCAGGTGGTGCAGAGCATCACTCGGTGAGGGGCTGAGCATGCTAGCTCAAGTCTCTCTTCCTTTTCTTATAAAGCTACCACTTCCACTCCCATAATAATCTATGAATCCATTAACCCATTACCCCACTAATCCATTAATCCATGAATGGATTAATCCATTCATCAGGGCAGAGCCCTCCTGACCCAGTCTTCTCTTAAAGGCCGGACCTTTCAATACTGCCACACTGGGGATTAAATTTCAACATGAGTTTCTGAAGGGACAGACATTCAAACCATAGCACAGGAGGATAATCAAGAGCTCATTATGTCCAGTGGTCTACTCTGCTATGCTGAAATGGCTGGGTGGATAGAGTAATGTCAACATCCTTGTCCTTTGGAATCCATGGTTCAGCTAGTTAGAATCAACTTTAGGGGAAATGGAAGATTGAAGAACTGTAGGAAATTGTAGCCTTGGAAGTGTTCATAGAGGAATTTTCAGCATGGACAGAAGAGGAAGAGATGAAGGGGTGTGTGGGATTTGGGGGTGGTGGATAAGGAAGTGGCATTGTTACATCTTGCTACAGATTTTGATCTCTCATACTGACCCTATGTGCTTTCACTTCCCATCAGCTGTCACAGGACACAGCAATTAAGGACCCAACTCCTTGTTTCCCTGAATTGTGCAATAACCTCATTGTTCACAACTGCTGGTTATCTGGTTTTGTTTAGGATAGCAATGCTTTCAGTTGAGATAGTTGCCTCCCAGCCTCTCTTCGTGCTATGATGGTCAGGTTACACAGCCCTGGCCAGTGAGACCAAAATGAAATTTCTTGCAGGTGGCACCTGGAAAAGTTCTTAAAAATGGACAGACTTGGTTGGCATTATCTTTTGCCTTTTGGCCTTTTGCCTGTCTTCTTGCCTGGAACATGGATGGTGTACCTCTTTTTGTAGGAGGCATCTTTTTTTTTTTTTTTTTTTTGAGACGGAGTCTCTCTCTGTCACCCAGGCTGGAGTGCAGTGGCGTCATCTTGGCTCACTGCAACCTCCGCCTCCCAGGTTCAAGCAATTCTCCTGCCTCAGCATCCTTAGTAGCTGGGATTACAGGCGCCCACCACCACACCCAGCTAATTTTTGTATTTTTAGTAGAGACAGGGTTTCACCATGTTGGTCAGGCTGGTCTCAAACCCCTGACCTCGTGATCCACCCGCCTCAGCCTCCCAAAGTGCTGGGATTATAGGTGTGAGCCACCACGCCCGGCCTGTAGGAGGCATCTTAAGGCCACAGGTAAGTCTTTTAAAAATGGGAATTTAGAAGGATGTTGGGTCCTTTGGGTCGTTGACAGTATTGTAGAGTAAGTGACTATACCTGTCCTGGCCTGCTGACCCTCAGAGGAAAACCTTATTTATTTAAGCCAGTTAGTGAGGCTATTATATTCAGCCCAAAAACATTCCTATCTGATATATACTCACTTATTCTACAGAATTAATTGCTCTCATTTGCCATGCCATAATGAATTCTTGCCAGTCCTCAGCTAACTAAGACCTTCAATTAATTAGATTTTCTTTCCTTTGCCTCTCTGTATGTGGACAGCTATTATGGAATAACAACACTGAGACCGTGTAGCCTTTGTAATCAGCAAAGAAAATTCTATTATAGTCTGTATACCATACTTATCTAAGTGGATATCTACCTAATATATTTTAGAAAGATTTTTCACATTAAGGAGCAAAACATGAATCTTAGGATTCAAAAAAGAAAATGATCTTACTCCCTAAGTATTACTCTTAATCTGATATTTTCCACATAAATATTGGTTTTAAAATTTAAAAAACAGAACAAACTCATGTTCTTTCAACCTATGTGACATGTGAGGTATGAAGTTTAGGAAATTACCTGTATGACTAAATCAAATTTAAATTATAAACTTCAGAGAAAGAAGAAAAGGTTAGAAGCTTCGCATCTTGTCTAAGGTTTATAGAATTTATTCACTTATTAAAGGATATAAAGATTACCTACCTGCTGCTTTCTCAAATAAATATCTGTGAATTAGAGTTGGTCAGCATACATACATATGAGGGTGTATCTGAATTAAAACATTTGAAAATGAAAAGTTAGAGACAGCAGAAGAAGGAAACAGTGTCCATCCAACAGACCTGAGTGATATTGGATATGGAAATTAGCCAGACCTTTCATGATTAAAGTATTTACGAATTTAAGTAGTCAACTATTACAGACATGAAATAGTACTGAGAACAGACTGGGGGAACAAAGAGCAGGTAGACCCTATTGTCTACACCTGCCATATCCTATATGGTAGGCAATAGCCATGTGGGGCTTTTAAAAATTGGAAATGTGACCCATGAGAATTATGATGTGCTGTCAGTGTAAAATATTCACTAGATTTAAAAGAATTTATGCAAGAAATAGAATGCAAACTATCTCTCTAATAATTTTATATGTGGAAATTATATTTAGGATATGTTGTATGAAAAAATATATTATTAAAATTAATTTCACTTGTTTATTTTTACTTCTTTCTTTTACTAGAAACTTCAAAATACACATATGGCTCTCATTTGTGGTTTATGTTGTGTTTCTCTTGGGCAGTGCTGGTCTCAACCAAGTAATTGAAACATTCTCAGAGATACAGAAGAAAGTCAGTGAATAGAAAGCACTGTTCTTGTAACTGAAGAAAAATTGAACTGAGAAAAGCTGTCACAAATTCTTCAAGAATCTACTTTCTAGAATTTTGTCTCTATAGAGTCTGTTATCTACAGAACAGCCTGAGTGAGCACTAAAAAATATGTCAGGCCAAGTCTTCCCCTGCTCAACCCTCCAGGGCTTTCTTAGAATAAAACAAAAGGCCTCATAGTTGCCTGCTGGGCCCTGTGAGGTTTGGCTTCTGACCACTTTGGAATGTATCACTTCCCTTTCCCCTTGCGTGTGTGATGCTGGCCACACTGGCACTTTTGCTGTTTCATGATCATGGCCACATGGTGTTCCCTGTGGGCCTTTGCATGTAGGATTCTCTTCCTCAACATCTTCACACAGCTCCCTCTTTCACCTCTTGCAGGACTCTGCTGGGACAGAGACCTCTCAACTCGCCATCACACCTTACCCCCTCCCTCTATCCCTGTAATTGTCTACACAGCACCGAGCACGGCCTGAAATCACCAAGGATGATGATTTGTTTCCTTGCCTTTATCACCATCCTATCACTATTGCCTCGAAGAGCAGTGGAATGTAGTAGGCCCTCGACTTCAATAAACACATCAATGAATACATGGATGAAATAAGTTTAAGTGAAGCAAACAAAAAGGGAAAATTATTAGAAGGATATACATCAAAATATTAGTAAGACCTATTTCTGAGTGATGAGAGTATGGGTAACTTTAATTTTCTTCTGTTTTCTACCCAACGGCATATCTCATCTTCTTCGTTATTTAGAGAGCTTTATTTTCTTTAGGCAGTCCCTCTGCTGCACGCAGTCATGTTTCACTAAACCACTCAGGATTGTTTTATATTTTGTATATTTTATATTTCTACCTGTGATTCGTTTAAGAATGGGTATGTGATGTATTTCTTACCACTGCGCTATGAGTGGAGGGCTGAAAAGGCCATCTTGGAAAGGTTTCATTTCTTAAAAAGCGATGCTTATGAAGAAAGTTTGTCAGAGTTTTGCTGGTCTTGGTTTGTATGTGATGTTTGCAACTGCAGCAGCCATATTGTGGTCCTGGGGCTGTGGGGCCCATGCACTGAGGATGGCAGAGTAAAAAGATGGAAGGAAACCAAGTCCCTCACCGTGTCATTGGGCTGCCAAATTAACTATTTCAGATCTGTCCTACTTAATAAATCATTCTTATTTGGGCCATTTTGAGTTGAGTTTTCTGAAAAATTTTTCCAGCAAAGTAACTATATATCTGACTGATGCTATGTCATAACAAAATTCACATGAAGCAGCCTCCAAATTATAAACCTGTCAGATAAAACTGCAGAAGTCATAATAAGAGGTACTATTGTAGAATTTCTCCCCAAGGAACAAGCTGGTGACGTAATTAACACAAAATGAGTACTGAGTACTAAGGGAACTGACAACTCCAATAAAGAAGAAATACTTTGAATGATCAATATATTTATATAAAACTTGATTGATAAATATAACAGAAAAGTGGAAAAAGTAGAAAGCTGCTCCCCTTTTCATGTAATCTGTGCTGATTCAGACACATTTGGAGTCTGGAGTTCAATTCTGTAAAAAATTGATGCCATCTTCTGTGGAAAATTCTGATGGTATCATTTGAGCTCCTGGATCAAGATGGGCCTGAAGATAACCTGAGCTTTTTTTTTTATTCAGTGAGCCATTATGTTTGCCATCTTGCTTATTCCTGCTTGAGCTTAGGGTTATATCATCGCTAATGGAAAGGACCTAACTGAACAGAGGATGTGAAAGGAATGTATCACAAATGTCAGCAGTCATATAGTTGGCAGATCGGAAAAAAAAATAGCCTTATTTTCAATTGCTGTAAAAGAAGAACACCTCTGCACTCCCATGTTTGTTGCTGTTGTTATTCACAATAACCAAGATTTGGAAGCAACCTAAGGGTCTATCACCTGACAAATGGATAAAGGAAATGTGGTACATATACGCAATGCAGTACTATTCAACCATAAAAAAAGAAGGAGATTCTGTCCTTTGTAACAATATGAGTGGAATTCGAGGTTATTATGTTAAGTGAAATAAGCCAGGCACAAAAAGGCAAACATCACATGTTTTCACCTGTGGGATCTAAAAATCAAAGCAATTGAACATAGAGAGTAGAAGGATGGTTACCAGCAGCTGGGAAGAGTAGTGGGGGTTGGAGAGCAGGTGAGGATGATTAATGGGTACAAAAAAAAAGAATGAATAAGGCATCCTATTCGATAGTACAACAGGGTGAGTATAGTCAATAGAAACTTAATTGTACATTTAAAAATAACTTAAAAAGTATCAGTAGATTGTTTGTAACACAAAAGATAAATGCTTGAGAGGATGGACACTTCATTGTCCATGATGTGATTATTATACATTGCATGTCTGTATTAGAATATCCTATGTACCTCATAAATATATACACCTATTATGTACCCACAATAATAAAAAAAAAGAATGACACCTATAGAGGAAAATTCATTAAAAGGAGCATTTTTTCTTGACTTAATGTAGAACTTTTAAACACTTGTGACTATCCCACAGTGTAGCTGGTTGCTTCAAGCAGCTGCGACTTCTCTGTCAATGTATGAGTTTGACCGAAAGCAAGGGATGCTTTAAATGGGTATTTCTATACTGAGTTACTGTCAGGGTTTCTGAGTTTTTCCCAACTAGAAATTTCAGTTATTCTTCAACTGGAAATGGAAAATTGGGATTATATGAGAAGAGCATGTGTATGGATATACTTTGTAAATGATTATGTGTGTGTGTATTGGTTAAGAGGAAGCTCTGGAGTGAGAAAACTCATGTTGAAACCTAGTTTTGAGCTTTATTATGTGATGTTGGGAGAGTAAACCTTTCTGAGCCTCAGTTTCCTCATTTGTAAAATAGGGATGATAATAATATCTAGAGGGTTGTAAAGACTGAATCCAGTGCTGTAGATAAACTTTTATCCCAGACCCTGGCATGTTACATATGCTCAGTTAGCTAGTATTTAATAAAAACATGAGGCAGAATTAATTTTGTTCTTGTTCTGCTTTTAGTAATACTTATTCTGGGCATAAAAGGAAAATATATACCATGTTTCATTAAACTTAGACAAAGCAGTTGGGTTTCTGGGTAGATACATGTGTAAAATAATATGACGCCCTCACCACACACACACACTTAGAAATGGACGGTAAGTTTATTAGCTACAATTTTAAATTCTGGAAGATTTTTGCTTTATTTTAAAGATACGTCATGTGAAAAGGGACTACAAGGAAATAGGAGATAAATAGCAGCATCCTTTGAACCGAACTTGTGTGGTTTTTTAATGGCTAATATGTTAAATGGGAGAGGTAGAAGAGAAGAAAAATCTCCACTCTTATTGATAAATTTTTTATTTCCTAGAAGAAAAGTAAGACATTGAAATTATTAGACTATAACTAATGGCTCATATAGGCTACTACTATTGAATATTATTTACATCTATTATAATGATTCCATTTTAAAAGAAAAACATCAAAAGGATATGAGGATAAAGGATTAGAATGAAAGATGATAATAAATAATAAACTCTATATCTAATGACTATTTGCTTTTTTGAAAGTATTAAGTAAGAGTAAAAATTATGCTGCTATGACCTAGGGTTTTATTTTTAGAAATTTGACTACTGTCTGAATATAGTACGCTTAATAAATTTTATGGTAATTTTGTCATTGATTTTCTACTTCAACTAACTTCCTAAATACTTGTATACATAAATGGCTTATAGTTCTGACCAAAAGGGATTTTTTTCCTAAAAAAAAAGTTATTTTAAAAAATTTACCTTGAAAGTTAGGTATCTTTTACTTTTTTTTCCCTCTATTTCCTTTCCCTTTTAATCTCTCATTTTGTTATAGGATTTTTGGGTTGTCATTTCTCTGGCTGGAAACCTCTGTCTGGTGGTGCGTTTGCCTGAGTTTTGCTTGGGGCTGCTGTTCTTGTTCTGCCCACTCGGCCTGGCAGGCTGCACTTGGCTTGTGCTACCAGCCTGGATCCCACACCTTCAAGGGAGATTGTGAGTCAGGTGTGGAGTGGTGAGGGGTGTGTGAGTGAATGTGGGGTCTGGCCACTGCACAGTCAGACATGCTGGCTGCTGCCATGGGGCAGGCAGCTCCAGGTGCTGGCATGGGCGTCAGCTCTCTGGGAGGCTGTGGCTGGACCAGGCACACTGCAAGCAGCTTCCCTGGCTGGCATTGGGGAATGTGGTGGCACCCAGAAGCTTGAGGACACCAGGAATCACAGGTCTCAAAGAGGGAGTCACAGCCCTGGCTCAGGGAGCTCCTCAGGTCTGGTCTCCCCAAAGGGCCACAGCTCTTCTCTCCTTCTCTTTGCCTGCAACCTGGTGAGCAGTGGGTATGTTTCAGCCCTGTTTGTGTTATAGCAGCTCTTTTAGCCTCGCCATTTGGTGGGTCCTGAGTTATTGTTCTGCAAACAGGAAGAATGAGGTATGCGGACAAGTGAAGGGTGAGCAAGACGAAGAGGAGCTTTACTGAGCAATAGAACAACCAGCAGAGACCCACAGGGTGCAGCTCCTTTCTAAGGCCAGGGTGTCCCATTGAGTGTTCAGCTCCTAGCAGAGAGGGTAGCTCCTCTTTGCAGGCAGGTCTTCCCAACAAGTGTTTGGCTCCCAGCAGAGAGGGTAGCTCCTGTCTGCAGCTGGTCATCCCGATGAGTGTTCAGTTCTCAGCAGAGAGGGTAGCTCCTTTCTGCAGCTTGTGGTCCTGCCATCCCTTCTGCTCTGGCTGAGCCTGGGGCTTTTATGGGCCTCAGATGGGAGGAAGTGTGTGCCCATTAGTCCATGGGTGGCCATGGGTGGGTCTGAAAAAGGCACCACAAGTTCCCATCTCAGTCCGTGTGGGACTGGCAGCGTGAGCCCCAGTCTTCAGGCCCTCCCTGGCCCGAAGGTGGGGCCTCACTGGGAACCCACCGCCTTCTGCCCAGGAGCCTTTCTGCCTCCTGCTAGGGTCCATGGCACCCAGGCTGCTTGGGCCAAGGGGCACCTGCAGGCCAGTGCCGAGCTGCCCTCAGCACCCACCTTGGCTTCCCTGCAGTGCTTGTTGGTGCCCAATGTCTAGAGAGGGCCAGGGCGACAGGGGGCTGGCATGTCAGTGCTGTCCTGAGTGTGAGCACACCTGGCTGGGCTGTGACAGTGCCCGGGCTCGGCCCCAATCCCGCTCTGAGATGGGAGCAGGCACTGGGAGTGGGGAGAGGCCAGGCAGCAGGAGCAGACAACCCAAGGGGTTGGTGGGCCTTCTGGGCCCCTGAGGATACAGAGTCAGAGACCCCAGGTCCTGTGCCTGGGAGGGTGGGAGCCCCGCCCTCTCCATGGAGCCTGCAGGCAGCCCAGGCTATGCCTCCTTGCAGCCTGGGGTGGGGCCTCCAGGTCCTCTCTGGGCTCCTCTCTGCCTGCCCCTCCGTGCCCAACTGTGCTGCTCCAGTGCTGGCAGGTAGCTCGGCTCAGCCCTGTCGCAGTGGCCCCCAGGGCAGCAGGCTCTCAGAGGGTCCCTCTTATCCCTGGCTCCCTCCAGCTCCATGGAGCGCAGCACCATCCTGGGCCCAGCTCTGCCTCCTTCCCGTGCCCTCCCTGCAGGTGCCCTCCCCGCAGGTGCGGTATGCTAGAATGGTCATGCTGGGCCAGGGCTTCAGAGTCCTGGAGGCTGTGGGCCTGGGGGCAGGTTCCGTCTGGCTGCGCAAGGGTGGGTGCAGAGCAGTCAGCTGCCTTGGGGATGCGGGGCACAGGGGTCCAGCCACTGCCACTGCTGCTCCCGCAGCGGCTCCTGCTGCCACCACTCGCACCTCCTTGCTGCAGCCAGCGTGATGGCAGCGGCTGCTCTGGACTGCCTGCTGCTGCTGTCAATTTTGTTGCCTGTAAAAGGGATTTTCAGTTTTATTTATTTTTGTCAGTAATTTAAATAATAATAGTTTTATTTTTGTCAATAATGTTTGTTATTTTGGCAACTGGTTTTGCTGTTAAAGTTTTTGCTTTGGATTTTGGAATCTAATTTTTTAAATTCCTTTTCTAGGTTGGAATATATAATTGATTTTCTAATTCTAAAAATTCTTTTGTTCATTTATCCTCATGGCTATTTTAAAGTGCATATTTGGTTATAGTTGTAAAGTCTAAAGCTTATTATTTAAACTTTAAACCAGAAAATAATTTTGATAAGTATATAAGGATTTGTATTTTACTCTATTTTAGTGGAAATATATGAACATTTGTGATAGGCCTCGATCAGATAAGCAATTTAATTCAGAAAGAAAACACATTGAAAATATGCATACATATGCACATATAACATGCATTTAAATATTAAACACGTTTGTTAGTTGATTGCTTTGGGGGAAGATTAATGGAAATGGGCAAATTAATTAACAATTATCAAAAGTAATGAATAGGAAAGAGAGTATAGAGTAAATTTAATCCCAAACTTTCCATACGACTTCCTTAAGAAAGAGAAATGGTCTTATCAAAGTATGAAATATGGAGACAAATGTCTTACTCAAAGCTTACCCAGGTGCCACAGTTTTATATGCTTTTAAAAACTTGAATATGGATGGATTTAGATTACTATGCATGGTATCCTTACAGTTAGAAGTAAAATGTTTACATTCAAATAATTCAGCAATTGAGGAAATTTGAGGAAGCTCTTCTTTTCTGCAAAGATGGCTCTGGGACACACACCCTTAGTAATTGCAGGATTTTTTTTGGAACGTAGTGCTGTGGGCTGTAGTAATCAAAGTGTTCTTGGCTAGTGGGAGGAATCATCAGTACTGTGCTGTTTCAGTGGTACCTTCTGTAACTGAACACGAGCCTTGGCCAACAACATTCTTCCTTTTCTTCAAAGGCCAACTGAAGGACTGACAGCCACTAAGTTTTAGGGTTCACATTACCGAGGAAGAAGTTGGAGTTGTTTTATTCTTTATGTTTGATCTTTCTCATCTGAAGTGTGGATTTCATTTTGTCCTTGATTGGTGGACATGAGAATAAGAATGATGTGAATATCATTTGAATTCATTTATCCCATTGCTTATTTATTACTGGATAAATGAATGATGGCAAAGTCCCACAATTTAATACTTGCAGTTTTAAAAAAGCATGAGGGAGCTCTTGATGCACTAGTATGGAAGTATCTTGAGGATATATTAAGTGAAAAAAGCAACATGCAGAAGAGAGTATCCAGTATGCTATCTTACATTTAAGAAAGAGGGAGATAAGAACATATTTGTATTTGCTTGCATTTGGACAAAGAAAAGATGAAGGGCACACAAGATTTTAATAAAAGTGATACATATTGGAGGTGGGGGATGAAGAGGATGGAAACAGAATTTGAAGCAAGGTTTCTCAATATATGCCTTATATATCTTCGAAGTGTGTGAAAATGTTTCATATTTGATGAAATAAATAACATTAAAAGAAAGATCACCCTGGATACCTGAGGATAATGGGTTAGGAAGGAGAATAGTAGTTGCGAGGGAACCAATTTAGAGGCTATTGCAATACTTGCGGACAGAGAATGATTCTTAAATGATGGCAATGGAGACAGAAAAGTAGATAGGTTTTAGAGATATTGAGGAGGTAACATAGGCAGAGCTGGGTTAAGATGGTGAATGAGAAGGACTCTTAGATTTCTGGGACAGACTCACTAAGTTGGGGAAATGGAAGGATGTTCAGTTTTGTGGAGATGATATATTTGGACATGTCGAGATGGTGCCAGACTTATAGAAGTGTTTAATAAAAACTTGTTAGAGGAAGGAGTGAATAAGACACTTTAAAGATACCCAAGTAGAGATGTGAAGGAGGCAGTCGATTCATGGGTCTGGAGCTCCAAGGGGAAGTCTTGGCTGGGATCCAAATTTTGGGATAATCTAAGAAGCTTCCACCTTTACTGCTTGGAAAACTCCCCCTGGGAAGCCAGCTGATACATAAGAAGTCTGTCGTGCTCTGAGGAAGCCTAGGCTAACTATGCTAAGAAGGAAAGCATAATTGGGGAAGCACTGAGAATGTGAGTGAAGCATCCTACAGCCCAACCAAATACCAGCTAAATGCAGGGGGAATTTTCCAAGCAGTAAAGGTGGAAGCTGCACATCTCTTAAGGGTCAGCCTCAGAAGTCACATGGCATCACTTGCTGTACTCTCTGTTGGTAAAAACAAGTCACAAGGCCAGCCCAGAATAAAGAGAAGGAGAAAAATTTATCTATCAAAGAGGGATGGCAAAGAATATATGGCCATATTTAGTCCACCACAGCTCATTGGGAGATTATACCGTTAGGATGCATAGAACTTTCTCCCAACATTTACTTAATAAACTAAGAAGCTAACGAGAATTCATAGTGCAAAGATAATTTGCAAAAATTTCAGAGAAATTGAATATGGTTGAATCAGCTGTTAATTCCAAACTTGCCAAGTTCATGAAGAGATTTATATAAAGAAGGACTAATTGGCAGACAAATGAAATTAATGGCTGAAATTATAATTTTAAAGTAGGGTTTACCCCTAGGCCCCACCTAACCAGGGAGCTCAGCCAGCAACCCCACCCATCTGTGGAACCCAGCCTATGACCCCACTGAGCAGAGAGCCAATCCAGTAGCCCTATTCAATTGAGGAACAAAGCCCGTGACCTCATCCCACCCTGCCTGGCCATGGAGTCCAGCCTAAGGCTCTTCCCAATTGCTGAGCACAGCTTGTGGGTAGAGTCCAGCTAGTAGCCCCGCCAGACCAGGGAGCCCAGCCAGTGGCCCTGCTTGACTTCGGATCCCAGGCAGGAAACCCAGCCAGCTTTAGAGTACCTGCAGTGGCCCCACTCAACTAGAGATCGCAACAGGAAGCTCTGTCTGTCTGTCAATGCTACCAGTTGGCCTGTCAAGAACCATAGGCTGGACTGAGTAGTGAAGTTCTTTCCCTGCCAAAGTGAACCTATAAAGGTTTGAAGAGATGACTGTAGAGTTTTATGTGCAGTGGAAGTTAAGTTGTTATCAGCTTAAATTAGGGTGATGCTATAACTATAAGATATTTTATGTAATCCTTATGGTAAACACAAAGGAAAGACCTGTAGTAGATACACACAAGATAAAGAGAAAAGAAAGTATACCACCACTACAAAAAATCTTCAGGTTACAAAGGAAGACAGCAAGAGAGGAAGAATGGAATAAAGGAACTACAAAACAGGCAGAAAACAGCGAACAAAATGGCAGTGGTGAATGTTTACCTATCAATATGTAATTTCAATGTACATGGATTAAATTCTCCACACACAAAAGACATAGAATGGCTGAATGGATAAAAAATAAGAGCCAATAACATGCTGCCTACAAGAGACTCACTTGAGCTTTAAGGAGACACATGGGCTGAAAGTGGGATGGAAAATGGGATGGAAAAAGATATTTCATGCAAGTAGTACCAAAAGAGAGTAGCAGTGGATCCACTTATATCAAACAAAATAGACTTTATGCCAAAACAATCACAAGAGACAAAGAAGGTCATTATGCAATGATAAAGAGGTCAATTAATCAGGAAGATACAACAATTTAAATATTTATGCATTTAACATTGGAACACCTAAGTATATAAAGCAAATACTAATAGAATAGAAGGGAGAAATAAACAGCAATACAATAATAGTAGGGGACTTAAATATCCTACTCTCAACAATGAATAAATCATCCAAGCATAATATCAATAAGGAACCCCAGATATGAGCAGAACTGTAGGCCAAATGGACCTAACAGACATATACAGAACATTCCACCTGGCAGCAGCAGAATATACATTCTTCTCAAGCACACACAGAACATTTTCCAGGATAGATCATATGTTAGGCCACAAAATATGCTTCACAAATTCAAGAAGATTAATATCATATCAAGTATCTTTTCTGAACACAGTGGTATGAAACTGGAAATCAATCACAATAGTAAAAGTGGAAAATTCACAGCTATGTGGAAATTAAACAACATAGTTCTGAACAACCAATGGGTCAAAGAAGAAATGTAAAGAGTAATTGAAAATTCTGAAACAAACAAAAATGGAAACACAACATACCAAAACTAACAGGATGCCATGAAAGTATTTCTAAGAGAAAGGATAGGAATAAACACCTACATGTTAAGAAAAAAAGAAAGAACCTAAATAAACAATGCAACTTTATATGTCAAGGAATTATGAAATAGAAAAAGGCCAAATTTAGCAGGAGGAAGGACATAATAAAGATCAGAGCAAAAAAAAAAATGAAATAGACTAGATGAACAGTAGTAAAGACTAACAAACCAGAGCTAGTTTTTTTTGGAAAAGATAAATCAACAAACCATTAACTAGACTAAGAATGAGAGGGAATAATTAAATAAATCAGAAATGAAAGAGGATACATTAAAACTGATGTCACAGAAATACAAAGGATCATAAGAGACTATGATGAATAATTATAAAGTAACTAATAGGGATACTTCTAGGGGTAGCCTAGAAGAAATGGGTAAATTGCTAGAAACATACAAGCTATCAAAACTGAATTAGGAAGAAAGAGAAAATCTGAACAGACCAATAACTAGTAAGTCAATTGAATCAATAATAAAAAACCTCCCAACAAACTAAAGTCCAGAGCCAGATGACTTCACTGGGGAATCTACCCAACATTTAAGGAAGAGTTAATGTGAATTATTCTCAAACTCTTCCAAAAAGTTGAACAGGAAGGAACACTTCCAAATCCATTTTATGAGGCTAACATTACCTTGATACCATAGTTGGATGAGGACTGTATGAGAAAATAAAATTATAGGCCAATATCTCTGATGAACATAGATGCAACAATCCTCAGCATAATATTAATACTAGCAAAAGATGGTCCAATATATGCAAATCAATAAATATGATACACCACATTAGCAGGAGGAAAGATAAAAATAATATAATTATGTCAGCAGATGAATAAAAAGCATTTGACACAATTCAACATCCTTTTAGTTAACATCATACTCAGTGGTGTAAAGCTGAAATTGTTTTCTTTAATATTGGGAATAAGACAGGGTTGTCCACTCGCACCACTTCTGTTCAACATAGTGCTGGAAGTCCTAGCCATACTAATTAGGCAAGAAAAAGAAATAAAAAGCATTCAAATTAGAAAAGAAGAAGTAAAATTGTTTCTGTTTTCAGGTGACATGATGATCTTATATGTAGAAAACTCTAAAGACTCCACTGAAAAAAAACTGTACCAAAACTCTGCCAAAAACTAAGAACTAATAAGTGAATTTAGTAAAGTTGTGAGATACAAAAGCAACACATACAAATTAGTTGCATTTCCATAGAGTAATAACAAACTATCTGAAAAAGAAAGCCACAGAGTGATCAGACAACTTACAGAATGGGAGAAAATTTTTGCAATCTACCCATCTGACAAGGGTCTAATATCCAGAATCTACAAGGAACTTAAACAAATTTACAAGAAAAAAACAAGCAACCCCATCAAAAAATGGGCAAAGGATATGAACAGATACTTCTCAAAAGAAGACATTATGTGGCCAACAAACATAGGAAGAAAAGCTGCACATCACTGATCATTAGAGAAATGCAAATCAAAACCACAATGAGATACCATCTCCAGCCAGTCAGAATGGCAATTATTAAAAAGTCCAAAAACAATAGATTCTGGTGAGCCTGTGGAGAAATAGGAATGCTTTCACACTGTTGGTGGGAATGTAAATTAGTTCAACCATTGTGGAAGACAGTGTGGCGATTCCTCAAGGACCTAGAAGCAGAAATACCATTTGACCCAGCAATCCCATTACTGGGTATATACCCAAAGGAATATAAATTATTCTACTATAAAGACACATGCACACATATGTTTACTGCAACACTATTTACATTAGTAAAGACCAACCCAAATGCTCGTCAATGATAGACCGGATAAAGAAAACGTGGTACATATACACCATGGAATACTATGCAGCCATAAAAAAGAATGAGATCATGTCCTTTGCAGGGACATGGGTGAAGCTGGAAGCCATCATCCTCAGCAAACTAACACAGGAAAGAAAACCAAACACTGCATGTTCTCACTCATAAGTAGGAGTTGAACAGTGAGAACTCATGGACACAGGGAAGGGAACAACACACACTGGAGCCTGTTGGGGGATGGGGGGCAAGAGGAGGGAGAGCATTAGGAGAAATACCTAATGCATGTGGGCCTTAAAACCTAGATGATGGGTTGATAGGTGCAGCAAACCACCATGGCACATGTATACGTATGTAACAAACCTTCATGTTCTGCACACGTATCCCAGAACTCAAAGTAAAATTTAAAAATGACTAAGTTTTATCTATGCATCTTATAAAAAAAGAAATAAAACAATTCCAATTATAGTAGCATCAAAACCAATAAAATCCTTAGGAATAAATCTAACCAAGAAGGTGAAAGATGTTAGGTACTGAAATCTATAAGACATTGATGAAGGAAATTGAAGAAGACACAAATAAATGTCTAGATACCCCATGTTCATGGAGTAGAAGAATTCATATTGTTAAAATGCCCATAAAATCCAGCACAATCTACAAATTCAATGCAACTCCTATCAAAATTCCAATGGCATTTTTCACAGAAACAGAAAACAATCCTAAAATTCATATGGAATCAGAAAAGACCCCAGACAGACAAAGCAATCATGAGAAAGAAGAATAAAGCTCGAGGCATCACATTTCCTCATTTAAAACTATATTACAAAATGGTACTGAAAACAATATGGTACTGGCATAAAAACAGACACATAGATCAATGTAACAGAATTGACAGCATGGAATCCATGGAAACCTCCACATACACGGTCAACTTATAATGGACAAGGATGCCAAGAGTGCACAATGGGGAAAGAATAGTCTATTCAATAAATGATGCTGAAAAAACTATATCCACATGTAAAAGAATGAAATCCAATCCTTATCTTACACCACTCCCAAAAATTAACTTGAAATTGCTTAACGATTTAAATGTAGTATCTGACACCATAAAACTCCAAGAAGAAAACACCGGGTAAAAGCTCCTTTATATCGATATTGGCAGTGATATTTTTGAACATAACACCAAAGGACAAGCAACAAAAGCAAAAATAAACAAATGGGACTACATTAAAATAAAAACCTTCTTCACATAAAAGGAAACAGTTAACAACATGAAAAGGCCATGTACAGAATGGGAGAAAATATTCAGAAACCATGTATCTTATGAGAGGTTAATACTCAAAATATTTAAAGAACCCATATCACTCAACAACAAAAACCCATATAATTCCATTAAAAATGGGAAAAGGACCTGAATAGACATTTTTCCAAAGAAGACATACATATGGACAACAGGTACATGAAAAGGTGCTCAACATCACTTATCATCAGGGAAACATAAACAGAACCACAATGAGCGATCACCTCACACTTTTTGGGATAGCTGTTATCAAAAAGACAAGAAATAACGAGTGTTCGTGAGGATGCTGAGAAAAGGGAACCCCTATGCACTTGTTGGTGAGAATGTAAGTTAGTACAGCCTTTATGGAAAACAGTATGGAGGTTCCTTAAAAAATAAAAATACAACTAACTGCCATATGATCCAGTGCTTCTACTTCTGGGTATATGTCCAAAGGAAATGAAGCTAGTATGTTGAAGAGATATCTGCACTCCCATGTTAATAGCCCACTATTTACTATAGCCAAGCTATGGAAGCAATCTAAGTGTCTGTCAAGGGATGAGTGGATAAAGAAAATGTGGTATATATACACAATAGAATATTTTTCAGCTACAAAAGAAGGCAATCCTGCCATTTGCAATAACATAGATGAACCTTCAGGGCATTATGCTAAGTGAAATAAGTCAGATAGAGAAAGACAAATACTGCATAATCTCATTTGTTTGTGGAATCTAAAAAGTCAAACTCAGAAAGAGAGAGTAGCATGGTTGTTGGCAGGGGGATGGGGATGTGGGAAATGGGGATATGTTGGTCCAAACTTTTAGTTGTAGGATAAGGTATGGGAATCTAATGTACAGCATGGTGACTATAGTTAACAATAGTGTATTGTATACTTGAAATTTGCTAAGAGAGTAAACCTCACCACACACACACACACACACACACACACACACGCATACACACAAAATGGTAACTATGTGAGGTAATAGATGTGTTACCTCACATAGTAACACATCTATGTGGCCCATAGATGGCCACACGCTTGTGACGAGGAGGCCTGATTGCATCCTTAAAGACATCTACATGCCTGGAAAGATCCAGAAGCCTCCTTCACTAACTGAAACACTTGAGTTAAAATCCTGGAAGAGTCCATCAGAGTTCCATTCTGTACCTAACTTTACTGTGGTAATCATTTCACAATATATATGTATATTAAAAAAGAGAAAGTGATAAGGTAGAAACAGTCCAAAAAGAAAAAATAAAGCTTTGCAGTATTTTAGAGTAATTCTTTAATTTTTTGAAAACTGTCTGTGCTCATTATGAAAATTCAATTATAAAAAATATGAAGAAGAAAACAAATCATCTAAACTGTTAGGCAGAAAAATAAAATAAATAACATGTAGTAAGTATCATTTTAGATGTTTCTTTATGCTTATGTCCACTTAGGAGGATGGCTGGCTAGCTGGTTAGTTGATTCAATGACAGGTAGATAGAAAGTTGATTGATTAAAAAATTTATAAAAATGATATCACACTATACATGTTATTTTAACAAAATATTAAAACTAAGTTTACTTGAATTTAAAACAAGAAAAATAAACTGAAGTAGAACTTTCAGTCAGAGCTACTATTTTTTCATTTAATTTTTTTGACACATAATAATTGTACATATTTATAGGGTACGTGTTTATTTTATTTTATTTTTTTGAGACAGAGTCTCACTCTGTTGCGCAGGCTGCAGTTCAGTGGCGCAATCTCGGCTCACTGCAACTTACACTTCCCGGGTTCAAGCAATTCTCCCTCCTCAGCCTCCCAAGTAGCTGGGATTACAGATGCCCACCACCACGCCTGGCTAATCTCCTGTATTTTTAGTACAGATGGGGTTTCACCATGTTGGCCAGGTTGGTCTCAAACTCCTGACCTCAGCTGATCCACTTGCCTTGGCCTCCCAAATTGCGGGGATTACAGGTGTGAGCCAGTGCGTCCAGCCCATATTGATGTTTTGATACATATAATGTATAGTGATCAGATCAGGGTAATTAACATATCCATAATCTCAAACACTTATCATTTCTTTGCATTGGGAATATTTTCGATACCCTCCTTCTAGCTATTTGAATCTATATATGCATTGTTAACTATAGTCATCCTACAATGCTATAGAACACTAGAACTTGTTCCTCTTATCTAGCTTTAATTTTGTATCCTTTAACAAATCTTTGTATATCGTTCTTTCCTCCTACCCTTCCCAGCCTCTGTTATCCTCTGTCCTCCTTTTTACTCCTATGAGATCAACTAATTTTAGAGTGAGAACATGTGGTGTTTAACTTTCTGTACCTGGCTTATTTCACTTAATGTCTTCCAGTTTCATTCATGTTTCTGTGAACAACAGGCTTTCCCTCTTTTTATGGCTGAATAGTATTTAATTGTGTATATACACCACACTTTCTGTCTCCATTAAACTGTTGTTGGACACCTAGGTTGATTCAATATCTTGGCTATTGTGAATAGTGCTACAATAAACGTGGGGATGCAGATGTCCCTTTGATATACTGATTTCCTTTCCTTTGTACAGCACTAATTTTAAGAGGTATCTGTTCCTGAAAGATTGTGTAAAGATTATGGGAAAATATGAAAGCCATCAGGAGGTTGGATTTGTATAAACTATATGTTACAATTTTAAAATGTTACAACTTTAGGCAGTATCAGTTGATCTCTACTTTGAAAGTTGAATTGATTAGTGCTCTAACACTGTATCCTACCTTGCTTCCCCCCAGCTCCTGATTCTTGTGGCTTATATTATTTTTACTTTGTAAAATTTACATTCTGTTATGCTAATATAATTCCCATAGGTGTTACTGTTGCATTTAAACAAGTTCAGTAATAGCCATTGTTTCCCTGGTTTTTTTTTTTTTTTTTTTTTTTTGAGACAGAGTCTCGCTCTGTCGCCCAGGCCGGACTGCGGACTGCAGTGGCGCAATCTCGGCTCACTGCAAGCTCCGCTTCCCGGGTTCACGCCATTCTCCTGCCTCAGCCTCCCGAGTAGCTGGGACTACAGGCGCCCGCCACCGCGCCCGGCTAATTTTTTGTATTTTTAGTAGAGACGGGGTTTCACCTTGTTAGCCAGGATGGTCTCGATCTCCTGACCTCATGATCCACCTGCCTCGGCCTCCCAAAGTGCTGGGATTACAGGCGTGAGCCACCGCGCCCGGCCTTTCCCTGGTTTTAAATTCTTCATTTTGATTCATTTTTAGTTGGATGGATTTTATTTCCTCCCCCAAAATAGGGTTTATGGGCACTTTACTCTTCAAGTTCTTTCATGTTTGAGAATGTCTACTTCTTAGCTTTATAATCTTAGATAACAGGCATAATGCTATTTCACTTTTTTTTTTTTTTTTTTGAGACAGAGTTTCACTCTTGTTGCCCAGGCTGGAGTGCAATGGCACGATCTCGGCTCACCGCAACCTCCACCTCCCGGGTTCAAGCAATTCTCCTGCCTCAGCCTCCCGAGTAGCTGGGATGACAGGCATGTGCCACCACGCCCAGCTAATTTTGTATTTTTAGTAGAGACAGGGTTTCTCCATGTTGGTCAGGCTGGTCTCCAACTCCCGACCTCAGGTGATCTGCCCACCTCAGCCTCCCAAAGTGCTGGGATTACAGGCATGAGCCACCACGCCCGGCCGCTATTTCACATTTTATACACTCAATCTTTCTAGACATTTTCTATTATATTTTGGCATGGAATTCTGCTGTTGAGAATCAGCCTGATTTTTTTTCTACCTTGCATATTTTCTGATTTTTTTTTCTTTCCCAAATGCCTGCAGTGGTCTTTCCATGTCTTGAAGTTCAATAACTTTACTAGGATAAGTATCATGGATAATAATTCTATATCGCTTTTTCCCAACTATGTTATGTGTCCTTTTGCTGGTAAGATTCAGCTCTTTCACTGATTCAAGGAAAATGTCCTAAATTATATCACTGTATACTTTTTACATGTTGCAGCTCTATTTACTTAAACAATTTCCCCCCTACTTGTTAGGTACTTTTCTTCAGGGAGATGTTATTATTATGTCTTATCTTTGTGTGTTCTCCTTACCTGTCACCTTCTAATTGCTTGAATAAATTTTGAATAAATTTTTCCATATGCATTGATATGATTACCTCAAGCCTTTTTACTTCATGCCATTGATTTGCTTTTCAGGTGTGTCTGTTTCTTTTCTTTCCTTTCCTTTTTTTTTTTTTTGAGACAGAGCCTTGCTTTGTCGCCCAGGCTGGAGTGCAGTGGCACGATCTCTGCTCACTGCAACCTCCGCCTCCTGGGTTCAAGCGATTCTTCTGCCTCTGCCTCCTGAGTAGCTGGGACTACAGGCCAGCGCCACCACGCCCAGCTAATTTTTGTATTTTTAGTAGAGACAGGGTTTCACCGTATTGGCAGGGTGGTTTCGAACTCCTAACCTCGTGATCCGCCCTCCTTGGCCTCCCAAAGTACTGGGATTACAGGTGTGAGCCACTGCACCTGGCCAGGTGTGTCTGTCTGTTTCTATTCTCAGCTCCTGCTCATTCATCCATTAGATCTGCCCTGATGATGTTCTGGCCTCAATTTATTTTCTTAACTTAGCAGTCTCTTTTTATCTCATTCTGCTGTTTTAACATCTTTGAGCCTCTACTTCAGTGATCACATATATTTATTAAGGTCTCTTACAGTGAAAAGTACTTTTAGGAAAACAACTTCTATTCTGAATGTTATGTTTGCCTTTTGACTTGGTTCTTCAAGTCTTAGCCATGTTCTCTTTCTTTCTTTTTTCCTTTCATTGTTGTTATTGTTGGAGCATGTTTCTGTAGTTGCTGTAACAGTTTAATCTTGCTCATTCTTAATATGAGTTGTTTATTTAAACCCTAATGTTTGTTCTCACATACTGTGGTTGAATTTTCATCGATATTCTGCCTTATTTGATATGCTATTTTTCTCTTTTTAGGCTAGTATTTAGTGCATCTACTTTTCAGTTGCCCGGAAGTGTAGGGTTGCGGGGAAAGGAAGGGAGTAGATTCTACCGCAGCTGAGTGAAGTTTGTTAAGGAGGATTACTCTTTACTCTGAATACTCATTAGATGTCCTGGACCAGACAACATCCCGCTAAGCTCAGGATTTACCAGTCTTCTGGAAGTTGGCATACTCCCCTGGTTGAGCTCAGTGTCCTGAAAGATGACAAGTTCTGTTGGCCCTTAACTCTGCTAAAATGGTATGTGGGGCTTCTGCTCTTCATGGCTTTTCAGTACTTTTCTTTAGGTTGTCTTCTCACCCTCTTGATTTGCTTCTCCCCAGTATGAAGGTGTTATTTGGAATTTTAAGGATTTACTCACCCTGTTTCTTGAGTACTGCTTCTATGGGATGGGGTTGAAAGCCACACAGAACCATCATAAAACAGAATATTTTCCTTTCTTTTCCTGCCTCTAACCTTTAAAAAGTTTTTAGCTAAGGTTTTATGCCATTCATTTCTTTTATTATTGCTGATAAATTTTGGTTCTTTCTTTGCTGCCATCCCCGCCCCCTTTTTCTGAGGAATAAAAGGCCAAATTCTTTGGAAAATTTAGTTTATTGTGAATCCATATACAACTGAAGTAATTAACAAGTATAATTCAGGGGTCATTACTATTTCTCACACTATTCATTTTCATGACTTTGTATAATTGTCTAAAAATCCTTTAATAGACATGTATTTTTCTTTTTCTTTTCTTTTCTTTTTTTTTATGACAGGGTTTTCCTTGGTGGTGTTTTAAGCCACTAAAGTGTGGTAATTAGTTATGTAGCAACAGTTAACAAATATAATATATGAATTTTTACAGGCACTTTTAGAATTAAGTGACTTATTTTATTTTAATTAAATCTGATTTTCTCTCTTAAGGGAAACTCTCTTTTTTGTTTAATAATAATATCCTTTCTCAAAGAGGAGGCTTTGCTACTGTGTTTCCAAACTTGGTTGAATTTTGTTGCTTTCTTCCCCCCTCTCTCTTTTATCTACTTCTCTCCCTCAATGCTGAGGGCAGAATAAGGAATTTAAGTTGTTTATTGTTCCTAACTGTAAGTGTAGCTTAGAAACACTGATGGAAATGGTTTAAAAGTGTATTGGAACCCCACTGTAACATTGGTTTTAGAGAACAGGTTAGCATCTAGGTTAATGGCAAATGATAAGTTCAGTGTATTGTTAAAAATTTACTTTTAGTATTTAAAAAAACCTGATTTACATACATCCGGAACACTGCACAAATCATAACTGAATAGCTCACTTACTTTCTACAAGGTGAGCATACCTATGTAACACACCCAGAGGAAGAGAAAGAACATTTTCAGAACTCCAAGCTTTCCTCCTGCACCCTCATTGCTTAGGACTTCCTCTTCCCCGGAGGTAACTGCCATTCTGGCTTCTGTCACCAGCAGCTAGTTTTGCCTGGTTTTGAATAGTATGTTCTTTTTTGTTTTTTAGCTTCTTTAGCTCGAGCTTATGTTTGTGAAAATCATCCATGTTGACAAGCAGTAGTGGGTTCATTCTCATTGTTTTATAGAATTCCATTGCATAAATATGCCACAGTTTATGTACTTATTCTACTATTATAGAGTTATACTAATTTTACTTCTGTAGAGTGGATTAGTTTCATTTGGAGCTATTACCAACAGTGCTGCTATAAACTTTTGTATGTGTATTTTGGTTAATGTTCATTATATACTTGGAATTGCTAGATCATAGAGTGTGTATTATTTAGCTTTAATAGATATTACAAATAGTTTCCCAAAGTTACTGCATCAGTTTACATTCCCACCAGTAATGTGTGAGAATCACAATTGTTTCATATCTTCACAGAACACTTGGCATTATAGTTTTTATCATCATCATCATTAATTTTAACCACTCTGATGGCTGTTAGTGACATTTCATTGTGCTAATCTGCATTTTTGTCATGACTCGTGATGTTAAACACCTTTTGATATGTTTGGTGAAGGTGAGTAATTTTCAAACTTTAGGCCTTGATCCATTAATGGGTTATGAAATCAATTTAGTGAGTTAAGGCCAGCATTTAAAAAGTCTGAAATAGAATAGAAGAGAGTAGATAATGGTTTATAATGGTAAATACAGATTTGTGAAACTTTTGTTTAATTTCCTAAATATAAATATACACACATATCAGTTTATTATATAAAATGTTATATTTCTTTTTGTGAACCATGGTCAAAAAGGTTTTAAAAAACCTTGTTGTGTATTATGCATTTAAGAAAAATCTACAACTTGATTAAAATATAAAGACCACACATATCTCATTTAGCACAGGACTGGGAAATCTAATAGCTGAGATAATGGAAACATGATTCATAATGATTTTGTTAGGCTAAACTGGAAGCAAACTGTTCAGATGAAATATACAGTAAAGTAAAGCCCTTCATGTGGTAAGTATAAAGTCCTTGTAATTGAATGGGAGAAGGCTGCTTTGACAGCAGTGTGGGGGATAAAGACCCAGAACAGTCAATCCTAAACACAAAGTTCTAGGTCTCCAATCCTTGAATGAGAATAGTGGCTTGGGAATCTGCATGTTTCTAAAGCTCCTGAGTGATTCTTATAATCTGGCAGTTTCAGCAGCCACTGACATCAGCCGGAGATTCTAGTGGATTTTGCCAACTGCAAGGGAGGAATCTCCTGGAGGAGGTGTTCTAAGTGTGTGAACGCTTTTTAAGCTGAACGCTCTAAAAAACCACCATATTTCAGAATAATTCTACCTAGTTTCTTTTACTCCCTAAATTATCATTCTATAGCAGTGAAACTCAGAAGAAGCCATTTAATTAAAGAACCATTATCTACCATTTCTATACAGTTAGAATGGAAGACAGGCAGCAGAGTTAATTTACTTCCGATCCCTCTCTATGCAGATTATAACTCCCTAATCCTCTTTTTCTCTGAACCTGTACTTCAATGGCACCCCTATTGTGAGTTGCATATATTCCTCAATTATATAATACTTCAGTGCTTTCGTCTCTGAGATTTACTGTACTTTAACATTCGTATGCATTTTACAGTAAAATTTTGAAGGCTTTATAAGCATCCTGCTTTCTAATTAACAGTGAGGATAAAATGTTAGTGTGATTAAATATTAAACATGCATACTTAAGGAATGTTAAAAATCAGTCTAGTTTTTTTTTTCTTTTTTTCTTTCTCACCCTTGAAGGTAAGATTTATCCTATACAAGGTTTGGAAGAATGAATGTATAATTTAGAGAAACACTTCCCTGAATACCAATATTACTTTATGTAGTAATTATGGGATTTTAAAGGCCAATGAGTTCTTTTTCTTTTGTATAAACTTATGAATGTATTCTAATAAAGTACTTTTGACAAGCTAATCAAATAAAACAATGTAAGATTTAATTATCAGCTTTCTAAAGATTTTATGAACCAGATTGTTTCTATTGCCAGAATCATATAAATTAGGAATCTCAGAATCCTCTTAAATCTTTTATTTTGTTCTTAAAATAGTGTTTTTTTTACATGCTCACTACAAAAATATCAAGCATAGAAAATATAGAGGAAATTTAAAATCATTAAAATTTCTTCATCTCAGGTAAAACTACTATTGATATTTTAGTTGATATTCTTGTAGACATCTGAGCATACACAGACATGCTCACACAAGCATACACCCAGTTTTATATAGAAAGGTTAATAATATATGTTATATGATATTCTATTACTTATCTTTAAGAGCTATGTGTTTTTAATCCACTCTTCTGTTGTTTCTGTGTTAGTAAATACAGACGTACATCATCATTTTTAATGGCTGCATTATACATATTATATACAGTATATATATATATCATATCTAATCTCCTATTGATAATACTTAGATTGCATTCTTTTTCCTCTATTATGTGTTTAGTAACATGTCTGCACATTAGTCATTTTGCATTTGTACAATTATCTTCTTAAGACAAAATCCTAGATGTGTGATAATTGCCAAACTGTCTTCCAAAATTATTTCAGTTGACATTCCCAATAGCAACGTAATAGAATGATTGCTTTTTCAGTTTTCTAATATTGGATTTTGTCTTTCTTAAATATTTGCAAATGATAAAAATGTGTCATTTTAAAATGTGCATCTCTTTATTAATGAAGTTCTGAATATTTTTAAGTGCTTATTGGTCATTAGTTTCTTTCTCTCTCTCTCTCTCTCTCTTTAAAATAGAGATAGGGTCTTGCTATGTTGCTCAGGCTGGTCTGAAACTCCTGGCCTCAAGTGATCCTTCCACCTTGGCCTCCCAAAGTGCTGGGATTATAGGCATGAGCCACTGCGCCTGGCTTTGTCCATTAGTTTTTCTTCTTTGATCAATTGCTTAAATATTTTTATTGGGATGGTTGGCTTTTTGTTTTTTCTTTTACAAACTCTGAAGTTCTTACTATGGGATGGCTGTGTTTTGTATTGACCTGTAGGAAATCTGTGAATATTGTGATATTGCCATTTAGATTTCTAGTTTATGATTTGACTTTTAACTCTTCACAGAATGATTTTTGAATTAAACTAAATGTTGCTTATAAATGTCACTTATTTATTTTGTTTGTTACAAACATTTATTGATGTTTCATTTTGTACTTTCAAGCTTTTGTATTATAGTTAAGAATGGCCTTTGTCATCTCAGAATTGTGGAAATACTTGCCAATATTTTCTTAGGGTTTAATTTTTTTACATGATAATCTTTGATCCATGTGAGATTTATATTTAATCAAACGATAAGAAGCCAGTAATACTTTTACCTCAATTGCTGGCCAGTTGTGAGACTTCAAGAATATCCAATTTTTTACTAGTGATTTAAAGTGACTCCTTTTATATTGAATTCCCTTATATATTTGAATCAATTTGAACCTATCTTGTTTTATTGATATCTTTTTGAATAATTATTTTGGGGCTTTTATTTCTGTGGCTTTATACTTTTTTTTAATGGGATAAGTATCCCTTCATTATTCTTTTTCAGATTATCTGTACATTTTTGCATGTTGACTTGGTGAGCTTTAAAATCGTTAACAAAAGCCATGCCAGTTTATTCATTGGGGGTTATATGGTATTTATAGATTGAGGGGAAATAGGTACTTTTATAATACTAGAATTTCTTATTGAAAAAACAAGTTTTTTCCCCCATGGATTTAAGTATTTTAAAAAATGTACCTCAGTAGCATTTTGTATTTTCTTCATATAGACTGTAGGTATTATTTTTAAAAAGCTTTTTCCTAGGTGTTTTTAGTTGTTGTTAATTGCATCATCTCCACACTATTTTCTGATTGTTAATGGTTAAAACAAAATATTAACTTTTGTTTATTTATTTTATATCCAGACACGTTAGTAAGCACTCATTTTTTTTCTAGTAATATTTCAGTTGATTTTAGCCTTATGATGTCTCACCAGGTGGAAGTGAGGAGCCTAAGAAGTAAATATAACTACCTTATTGTAGGATGTCTTGAAATCATTAGAGAATGGTGCCTAATGTAGAACAGAGTTTATGAAATATAATTTGTACATCCAGGGCAGACTGAATATGGACTAATCATGATTGAAATATAATGTGTCAGCCTAAGTGTACTAGAATGAATAAACATACCATTTAAATGAGATTATCTAAAATTCTGAAATGTTCTTTGTACTCTATTAATCTCTCCGGATTAATCTTTGTGAATTCTGTATTATTTACTTAGCCAGGAAAAAGATGGGATTGTTATTTAAGTGGGAAGGCATAGTTCTAGTAAGGAAAGTGTGAAGAAATGGGAGAGAAAACAGATTTCCTCAAAATAGGAGTTTACTAGGTTGTGAATTCCAGGCATGCTAATTTTTTAAATGCTCCACAAATAAAATACAACCTTTTTTGTCATAATTTTTCCAACATAATACCTGTTACTTCAACCACCTACCCTATTGAAACACCCCCCTTCCCAGTAAGTAGGTGTAAAATGATCTGACAATGCCATCTGGTGGCCTCCTGGGGAATTGTGTAAAGTAACCTCTACCTGCTGGACTTCACTCCTTGGTGAACCTGAGGCACCATCCTGGGCTCATGTCTTGGATGCCACATTGAGGCTTGAGAGCAGGCATTTATGCTGGGGCTGTAGACAAAGAAAGACGAGAAATCAAAATCCATGTCTGGGAAAGGCTGCTGGGGAAATAAGGAAGGTGCCCAAAAGGCCACATTCACAGGAGCTGGTTGAGAACAAGGACTAGATTTTTCTTTTCCCTCCCTCTTCCCTTTTCCCTCTTCCTTACTCCTTCACTCCCTCTCTTCTTCTGAGTTACTTTCCCCCGCACTGCCCGCCTTTTTCTTAGCTCTTATTCTTGCATTCTCAGGAAAGCCTCCCTCTTTCTCTTCCCTCATTCTGTTTGGGAGCCACATCATAATCCTAACTACAGCTGATAAATCTAAGGGTAGTGCTTGTAGGTCAGCTTTATTAAGGAAAAGGGGAGGCGGAAGTTTGCAAATGAAGAACCAGCGTCATGAACGCCTGGCTCCTTGGAAGGGATCAGAAGTTCCCTTCAACATTACCATGGCCTCAGGTTTTCCCCTTCATCTGACATGATTTCCCCATTTGCCTGCACGCAGGATTTTCGTCTCTTCTACTCACTGTCCTATCCCCAACACCTGGAACAGAACCTGTCCAGTAAAATGAGCTCCATTAATACTTATTGAAGGAAAGAATTCTAGAGAAGTAAGAACATCTGGCTCATTATTTTTTACTATATTTCAGTGTTGTCTTCCTGTAAGTGTTATAGTGATGCTAATTTTCATTGTGAAAGTATGATTTTGGACTTTTGTGGGATAATTTAAGTATTAAAGGATATTTCTAGCAGAAATTGTTTTTTGAGTTCTAACCTACTAACTGACTAACTTTCAGAAAATAACCTGTTGGTAAGTTAGGGACTCTCTGTATCTTTCCTTTTTATGTTTCAAGAATGTATCTTTTATACACATAAAGGAAGTAAAAACAACAACAAAATGACCAGTTTTTTTTCTGTCTTTGCTTCTCAAGTGCTCCTAGCTTTCCAAAAAAGACTCTACGACTATTAAATATGAGGAAAACACAGGTTTGAAAAGCTGAAAAATATTAAGCATTTGGCAGAACATCTTTTCTGTATATGTTTTCTCTGTGTGCACAGACTTGTTTGCATTACAAATCCTTGATCACAGACTTGGAGTAATATTTATTCCCTCTATAGAACTAAGCACAGAGAAAATGTTGGATTTCCCTAACATTTTTCAGAATTGCACCCTTGTTTTGTGATTCTCCTAAGAACTGGAGAGAGAAGTCAGGCTGCTTTTATTTCTTAGATTGTTCCTCTGACATTGCTGTTGTGTGAGAATTTTCTGTGGGCAAAATAATAACAATAATAATGATAATAATAATGATCATTTTTTGCTAACCATTTCAACACTCTAGGATTCCCAAATTATCTCACGAATCTGTGTGATCTTAAAGAAATGCTTTTGCTGTAATGCAAAGGGAAAGCTAAAATGAATTAAAAGCTGGCCTAAATTAAGACAGCTGGGGTGATCACTGGGTGTATAATACCAGAGTGTGGTAGACCTTGGTTAAGTTTTGAGAATGTGTCACAACATCCTACATCAGAGTTGATATGTTGTCCTGGTTGATTTTGGTGGCTGTGGTCATGGGGACGGAGAGCTTTTTAAACTTTGTTGACTTCGTGGATTGTGAAAAACTATAAGGCATGCACAAAGCATGGACTGACTTTAGAGTCAGAGGGCTCTCAGGCTACAATCTGGCAATGCCTCTGTGTGACCCGGAATAAAATAGGTAACATCTCAGAGCCTTAGTTTACCTTTCTGCAAAATGGGAGTAATGATGCCTACCTAGAAGGGCTGTTGCGAGGACTGGCGCTGGTACCTGGCTGGCAGGACTTGCTTGGTTGACCAGTTATGATCACGGTGTTCATCTGTTATCTTTCCATCTCTCCACTAGGTACCTTGGGATCACAAGGCCCCTCACATACCCTGTGAGGCAGAATGGGAAATGCATGGCGAAGATGATTCTCTCCGTCTGGCTTCTCTCCGCCTCCATCACCTTACCTCCACTCTTTGGATGGGCTCAGAATGTAAATGATGATAAGGTGTGCTTGATCAGCCAGGACTTTGGCTATACGATTTACTCTACCGCAGTGGCATTTTATATCCCCATGTCCGTCATGCTTTTCATGTACTACCAGATTTACAAGGCTGCCAGGAAGAGTGCTGCCAAACACAAGTTTCCTGGCTTCCCTCGAGTGGAGCCAGACAGCGTCATCGCCCTGAATGGCATAGTGAAGCTCCAGAAGGAGGTGGAAGAGTGTGCAAACCTTTCGAGACTCCTCAAGCATGAAAGGAAAAACATCTCCATCTTTAAGCGAGAACAGAAAGCAGCCACCACCCTGGGGATCATCGTCGGGGCCTTTACCGTGTGCTGGCTGCCATTTTTCCTCCTCTCGACAGCCAGACCCTTCATCTGTGGCACTTCCTGCAGCTGCATCCCACTGTGGGTGGAGAGGACATTTCTGTGGCTAGGCTATGCAAACTCTCTCATTAACCCTTTTATATATGCCTTCTTCAACCGGGACCTGAGGACCACCTATCGCAGCCTGCTCCAGTGCCAGTACCGGAATATCAACCGGAAGCTCTCAGCTGCAGGCATGCATGAAGCCCTGAAGCTTGCTGAGAGGCCAGAGAGACCTGAGTTTGTGCTGTAAGGTCATTTATCACTATTTTCCTTTTATCCCCCAAACCCTTTTATGCAGCTTTTTGAGGCACATCACAGAAAGCTTCCTGAACGAGTAGCTAGCTTAGTTTTTACTAAACATACCAGATTTGAATTGACAACAGTATAGACTCCAGTCTTCCACCCAGTAAAATTCCAAAAGCCAAAAATAGGTACTTAGTTGGATTGGTAGATGAGACTAATTTGCTGATGAATTGCAATTGATGTGATTGACAACAAGGCAGGTGATATTTTCCCTTCTTTCTCCATAAATGACATCCAAATGATATCCTTACATCTGAATTTGTGTAACATTATTATTTTAGTTGTTATTATTCTTCTGTCCAGTAAAGCTTTTTTGATAACCTCATCCTTCACAGATAAATTCTTCTTTTGAGGTAGGAGGCACAATGATCTTTTTAGTATGCAGTTACATTCACCTGGGCTGAAAGGAGGCAGCCCAGGAAAAAGAAGAGTTGTTAGTGTGGGGAGATGCCAGGATGAGGCAAGGTCTTAAAAGCTACAAGAGCCGGACATGGTGGAGCGCCTCTGTAATCCTAGCCACTTGGGAGGCTGAGGCAGGAGGATAGCTTGAGCCCAGGGGTTGGATTATGCAGTGAGCTATGATCATGCCACTCCAACCTGGTTGACAGAGCAAGACTCGCCTCTAAAAAATAAAAGAAAAAGAGCCACAGGAGCTTTTAGGAAATGTTCCTGCCCATCTTGGCAGGTGAGAACCAAGAATTGGTCTAAGAAGTCTTAGTGACTTTCAAGGAAGCAATTACAATAGGTTCTTGGGATCTGAAAAAGGATCTGATGGTGATAGAGAAATGGAAATTTCAGAAGTGACCCACATGTTAAAAATTTGGCATTGTAAAGAAGGAAAGAGATAGTATACTAGTTAGAGGTGTCAACATGTCTGATGAAGACTTTGTTTTAAATGTGAGGTAGAGGAGATTTCTTCACGTTTGAAAGTCAGGGGAAAAATAAACTTGGAATGAAAAATTGGAAGGTTCTGGTGAGAGAATGAGCAGATTAGTGTTGGAGGTGTCGTTCTTCACTGAGCCTGGCAGGGAGGAGTAGACTAGAGAACCAGGGACCACTCTAGCAGAGAGGGACCTTCCTGGTCATCTTGTCCACCCCTGTCTTTCAACAGAAGAGCTAACTGGGAGTTGAAAAGTGAGATGTCTCACACTTAGCTAGTGTCACAACTAAGTCTAGATTCCACATCATCTGAATCCCAGTGCTACTCATTTTTCTTATACTGGACTGCCTTTATCTTACAACTGAAAGTTGGAAGACTACAGCTATGCTAATTCTTAAGCTGAGTGTAGCTTCACAGGCATTCATGTTTACTTCTATATACTCTTTTGTACACGAGATTGTTCACAATATAAAAAGTAGCATTAAAAAATGTAATTTTAAGTTCTAGAACATGTACTGTAAGCAAACCCAGAGATCTTACTATGCCTATAAGAGTTCGTTGAACTGACCATTAGGATTTTGAATTCCTTCAGAGAAGGAACAATGTCTTAATCAGATTTCTTTCTGCAGAATCTAGTACAGTGCTTGACACATAATAGATGATAAATAAAAGTAATAACTGCTAACCATTATTGAACACCCGCTACATGCTATGCAGCATGCTACCTGCAAAATAGGTGCTTCTAGCATCCCCACTTTTCAGAAGAACAACTTAAGGCTCAGGAACAAAAGTAACTGACCTATGTTCACACAGTCCCTAAGTGGTAGCTGTGATATGAATCACCCCGATGCTTGTATTGAATGTTATGCAGTTATACTTGTCAAGTGACTTCAGTATATAGGCAGTGAAGAGTCTCAGAATATTTTTGAGCTGGAGACTAGCCATAAGCTCTCTAAGAAGACAATGAGAATGAATTGTTACTCTAAGTAAGTAAAGTTTATTAGACTTACTGCACTACGAGTGGTATCCACTCCTAGACAGTCTTAGTAGTTTCTCAGATGAAGGAAATAAGGCAAGGATATTGATAGGGTTTTGGGGCTTGGGCTGGGTGATTTGAAGGTAGGGAACTGGTGAGGATTAGGCAGAGTTTATGACATAATAGCTTTAGACTGGTAAGTACAGCTAGATGAGGGCTGTGAAGTGAGTGTTAATGAGCAAACTAGTCTTGATAAGTAGGCTATTTTTGTTGGCATATAGTCTTCTGAAAGTGACTATTTCCTAGAACAAATAGCTAGGTTATTTTGCCTGGCTGCAGCATTTTTTAGCACAGGAAAAGGAAAGCGTGTTGGTTTTAGTTCTCAGGAGTAACATGGGAAGGTCTCTCTGGCAATAGTGAGGAGGGCAGACAAGGGAAAGATGGGTGGCAGGGGATCCAGTTAAGCAGCCAGTGTATAAAGTAGGAAAGAACAGATAAAGTCATGAGCAAGGAAACACTGCTATATTTGCATGCATCCATAGGGTCAAAAAACTTGAGAATCATTTTATTGATTATTTTAGTTAATGATTCATAGATAATTCAGATAGATCATAAAATGGTAATCTTTAAAATGTAGCACAAAAAGGTTTTCCAGTTTAAAATAATAACATGCGTTTGCTGAGGATTCACTCTCAGACACTTTGCTGAGCACTTTATGTGAATTTGATCAATTAATCCTCAAAAGTTTATGATAGGTTAGTTTTCTTCATTTCCATTCTGAAAATAACAAAACAAGGGCGTGGAGAAGTCAAATGATTTCCCCCACAGTCATATAGAGAGTGATAGAGCTGGATTTGAGCCCAGGACATCTGTGTTCAAAAGTGCTTTTAACTTCTATGCTACTGTGCCTTTTATAAAAATAAATCAGCTAACATAAAGTCTAAAGATATTTGCCTTTGTATCTTTAGCTAGTCTGGAGGCTTGGGTGTTGTTTTCCTGTAAGCTTAAGACAGAGGTCAGCAAACTTTAACTGTGAAGGGCCAAGTGGTAAATATTTTAAGCTTTGCTAGCCATATGGTCTCTATTGAAACTACTCATCTCACTGATGAGTAATTTGTCACTGACATAAGTAAACAGATAGGCCCGTGTACCAATAAAACTTTATTTACAAAAAGGGGCTGCCAGTTGTATTTGGCCAACAGGCCATAGTCTGCTGTATCTTCTTTGCATTTCTCTCAGTTTGAATTTATAATTACAGAATATCTACTTCATTAAGGACGATTAGCCTAAAAATATCCATCAACTTTAGGAAATTTCTAATATGGCTGCCATGCATTGAGGAAGATACAGAAAACAGATGATATCTTTCATGTCCTTATGCACATAATTTTGTTGGATATACCTTACACAAACAGACATATGTTGCTATGGCCTGAATGTTTGTGTCTCCTGCAAAATTCATATTTTGAAACCAAATTCCCAATGCAATACTATGAAAATGTGGATTCTTTAGGAGGTAATTAGGTCATGGGGGCAGGGCCCTCATGAATGGGATTATTGCCCTTATAAAAGAGGCCTGAGGGAGCTTGTTCATACCTTCTACCATGTAAGGAAGCAGCTAGAAGTTACCATCTATGAAGCAGACAGCGAGCCCTCACCAGACATGGAATCTATTGGTGGCTTAATCTTGGATTTCTCAGCCTCTCAAACTATAAGAAATAAATTTCTGTTGTTTATAAGCTACCAATTTATGGGATTTTGTTATAGCAGCCTGGCTAGGCTAAGACATATGCACATGGCAACCTTTCTGTAATAAGGAAAGGTGGAGACAGGAAAAACTATGGGATTCAAAGGAAAGGAAAATAACTCAGAGCTTACACTAACCCTAATCAGAGAAGACTTCCTGAAGGATATGAACTCAAGCATGTCTATGAAGTTGGTCAAAGCATTTATAGTGAAAGGAGAGCAGAAATGGTATTCTAGGTGAAGAGGACTTTTTTTGTAAAGGCACCAATGTGGGAGCTTATACAAAGGACCATCTGGCTGAAGCTAAGCATTTGGGTGCAGGAACTGTTAGAGATCAAAGCAGAAAAGTAGATTGAGATGAAATTATAAAGGCTCTTCTATGCTAGCTCCAAGAATTTGGACTTTTAATATTGACAAATGGTTCTTAATCAGGAGTAATTTTGCCTCCCATCCCAACTCTCTGTAGCCATTTGGCCATTTCTGGAGGGATTTTTGGTTGTCACAAGTCTGGGTGGCACACTACTGGCATCTACTGGGTAGAGGCCAGGGCTGCTCTTAAGGATTTTACAGTATACAGGCCAGCAACCCCCCGCCCACCCCCCAACAAAGAAGTACCTAATCCTTAATGCTAAATGTGGGACACTCTGTAGTAGTAAGCCATCAGTGAATCTGCAAGTAGGATCAGTGAATCTGCAAGTAGGGGAATGGAGTCATCAAAATGGTCAAGACTGATGCAGTAGCACTGTGTGGATAACTCCAAATGTAGAAAATGGATGTAAGGAGTCTCTTCATTGGCTTGTTTTTCCCAGAAACATTTGAGGGTCTGCTATGTACAAAGCATGGAACCAGGCATGGTAGGGTAGAAAGATGAGTAAGGGACAGTTGAAGTCTCTGGAAGCTTTTAATCTAGTGTGCTGGGGTGGCTGCAGAGGTGGTGGTGGCTAGTAGGAGACTTGTAATCAGAACCCTTTGCTCCCCCTGCCTCTCTCTAGCTCTCACTCATCTTGTGGCCACCGTGCAGATTCTGGACTCCTCCAGACTCAGGGCTTTCTCCAGCTCTTTTCCTCCCATCTAGCTTCTGGGCTTCTAGTCTCTCTTACCTTTTCGCCTTGCTCTGCCTTCTTGGCTCTACGTATTCTCCTACATAATAGTTTCTTTCTTTCCTGTACAAACCTGTAAGACTGTTCCTACTCCCAAATATTTACCCATTTCTCCCCATTTTCTTGATCAGCATAACCAGAACCTCAGGAGTTCATCAGGCACTCGAAAATTTTCCCTGGGGTAATGAAGTGAATAGATGGAGGAAAAGCTGTGAATACTTTTGCACTGGTAATTTTAATTTACTGCTATCAATTTTAATCCTTTTCACAAGTATTCACAGATTGGTAATATAAAACCAAATATGATAATGAAATATAATCAAGGATTCTTTTTTTCTTTTAAAATTTGATTTACTTATGGATTTGCTTTGAATTGCCATAAATTGCAGGAGGGCCTGCACAAGGAGGGTGCTGTTGAGACCAGAAAAGAGGCCACCGGTATCTGTGTGGGTGCTACAATCTCCAGACCATCACAATTGGTTAGCAGGTGGGTAGCAAGGAAAGGGAGACTTTGGAGATAGTGCTGTGGTCTGGAGGAATTCAGAACATGAACTATGTGAGCAGAGCCGTGCTGAGCTGGAGAAAGCACTGTCTCTCCTGTGCTGGGAAGAGACAGTGGCCCTGGGCTAGGAATGTGTCTGTGGAGCACAGATGGTTGCCAGTCCCCTCTTCAGATACGTGGAGCCTAGAGTGCTGAGTCTGGGCTGAAGTGCAGTACTTGTCCTCAGGTGTTATTGTGTGAGGCTGAGGGGAAAAGCTAGAAACCATGTCTCCAGCAAAATCCATCTATTGATCACCCATCTGAAGGGCTGGGCTGAGAGGGGGACCTCAAAGAAGGAAGAGCAGGACTGCAGGCAAGACAGCCAAATGGCAGGGTAGGGGGTGCTTTAGATGGGGTGGGTAGGTGGAGATTAGGGGCACAGTCCCAGTCTCTGGGTCCTCATAGACCTAGCTCTTAGGCACATGATGTAGTGTGGTAAGTTGAGGCCTGTGGAGGTGCAGAGTCAGGGGAGTGGCTTTACACCAGGAGAAAGGGACTTTTTCTCAGCCCTTGGCTGACACTTCTCTATCACTAATGCCACTTCTGAGCATCTAGGAACGAGGGAGAGAAGTGAAGTTTCTTGGTCCCTACACACATACCTTACAATAACACACCTTCCTAGGTTTGAGGGAGAGAGCACGTCTCATTGGTAATCATTATTTAGTCATTATTCTTTTCAAGTGGGGCAGGTGCAATAGTATTTTGCAAGGATTTTTGAGAGCAAAGTCATTTTTTGCTATAGCTGTATTAAAAAGGTGAATTTCTAAATGGGTTATTTGGGGCTGATTTGCAAATATATTAAAGCCTTGGCAACTTGTGGAAGTTATGAAATTTATGAAAAGAGTCACAACACTTTTTCTTTCCCTTGAAGGATACTCATAATCCCTTAAAAGCCACAAATGATTCAAATTACTGACTGCTGTAAAAATTAAGTCCACCTACCACAAAATGAAAACTCACATTTACAGTTCTACTAAATTATTTTCTATTTTTCTCTCTCTTTTTTTTAGACAAAATGCTGACTACTGTAGAAAAAAAGGTCATGATTCATGATTGAAAGCAGAACAATGGAGATGAAATAAACAAGGCAAAATAGAGGTGGAAACAGAAGGAAGTCATTTGCTGAGTCTGCAGAATGGAATGCAGCTTCTGTCCTTTCTTGGGATGTCTAAAACATGACAAACAGGGTGATCTGTTGTACACACTATCTTATGAGGGAGATGGTGACTTCTCCTTTTTTCTGTGGATCAGTGCTATTGTGTGTTCTCAGTTTAAGATAGCAGATCATCTCAGCAGTAAGCACACCAACAGAACTGAGTTCCAGAAAGGAAGCAGTTTCTGGTGCTTTGCATATGTCCAAATCCATGCAAGTGGGAGAAAGTTCCAGTGCACACTTCCCATGCTTCTGAGTCTAGGCGTTGTGGTGAATATGCAGGAATCATTCATGAGACAGAATGTATTTTGTTGTATGACAGAAGGCTTTTCCAAGCAAACTGCGGTGAGCGTAGTGTTGAATATGTTGCATGTCCATGTTAGAAAACAGAATCCAGTCATCAGCTAATACAAATGATTTCCCAGAGCAGTGTTTGTTTCAAGCTTCTGTCAAATAGTTTGGCTTTTCTGCAGGGTCTCTGTGATTTCCCCACCTATGTACTTTTCTGTGTTAACTCACTTATTATGGTATAACTCAGGAACAGGTCTCAGGATGGAGAGAAGCATACAACATGAGCAAAGCTTTTTCTCGTGCTCTGAAGGGTCTTGAGAGGGGAGTGGGATGCCTTCTGTGAGGATTTTTATCGCAGTGAAGCTCAAGTGGTACCCAACTGCGTTGTAATTAACATGATTATTGGCATGTTTTTGACTCTCATTTTCTACAAGGCTGCAGTGGGCCCACCCATGGGCTGGCCCATAACTGTATGTTATGTGGAAGAAGTGTGGGAATGATGGGTTTTCCATGAAATGTGATGCTTCTGGAGATGGGGCATAAACATGTTCATTCTTGTTGAGCTGCATTGTGTTAAACCAAATTGTGTGAAGCGAGGTCACCTGGACCACTCTTGGGAAATGCTTCAGAACACCAGTCTGTTCCTTCTAGAGAATTTGTTTTTGTGTTCTATGTATCTTAAATCAAATGTGTGCCTAAGCAATTCTGTCCTCTGATTCCCACCCCTACCCACCAAAAAATGGTAGACATGAAAGGCAGGTGAGGAAACAGAAAAGGTCTCTTTGCAGATATATATTTTTTAAATGGCACTATGTAGTAATTAAGAGCTAAGGAGACAGAAAGACAGTAGATGAGAATAGAAGAGTACCTGTACCTACAAGGGGAAAAATGAATGCAATTCTTTATTTGATAAGAGTGAACTGAAAGAGAATATTATTTTCCTACAATAAAGCAAGCTGTCCTCTCACAGGATAAAGTGGAATTCTGACATGGATTATGGACTTCTTCTAACTCCCATTGACATTGCTTCTTACCAGACATGGGGAAAAGCTACCTTTCCTGAAAGGGGAGGAGGGCACTGTCCTTTCAGACAAAGCTTGTACAAATTCCTGAACCGCAAATTTGCTGAAGTGACCGTATATATTATATTCATAATTTAAATGATTATTTATGGTCAGATACATATTGTTAAACTTGAAAATGTTTTATTACATTACATCAAATAAAGTTTATTTGTAGCTGAAATAAAGCAACGTAAGTAACAATTTTTAATTAAAGGTCTTATGTCATACATGTTGCTGTCTGTAGAATGGCTGAAGGGCAGACATTTTACGTGTTTGCTAAAATCCTAACAGGTAGCTAAGACAGCTCTGGTTTCAATTCCATTTCACTGTGGATTCATTCACTTAGTGACTTTATTTTTATAAAACAATGACTGTTCATTACTTGATCTGATTAATGAGCATTGTTTGGGCTCCTGGCACATTAGCATTGCTGGCATCAAGGGGACAAAGATGGGT
This sequence comes from Homo sapiens, assembly GCF_000001405.40. Taxonomy (NCBI): domain Eukaryota; kingdom Metazoa; phylum Chordata; class Mammalia; order Primates; family Hominidae; genus Homo; species Homo sapiens. Next base: position 90,740,574 of record NC_000010.11, on the reverse strand, counting down.
ATGGCACAGTCCTTGCTTTTAAGAGTTTGCCATCAGGTAGAAGGCAAACATGTCTCGATTTGTCACAATATAGTATAGTAAGTGCTGTAACAGGTTTTAGGGAGTGACTTTTTCTTTCCTGTAGTGTAAGACAGGGCACTATGGTTAGTTGGATTGATTCAGGTTTTCAAATGTGTTGTTTAATTTTTTATTAAGACCTTCATGATTCATATTGGCTCCTTATCCTGCCTGACTTGAATGCCCGACTATTGACCTCTCTGCTTCATTCTGGCTATAGAGGCTGAGCTTCATGTGTAGACTGTACTTTAAATATACAGCAGCAAATAAAAGGAAAAGGTAGAAATCGAAAGGGGATGAGAAAAATAAATCATTAATACAGTTTCACATATGACATAATTTGTGCCAAAGACACAGCTTTTGTTTTAACTAAGAATTGGGAAAATCATTGAAATGAACATTTTATATATAATGACTGTTCAAGCAAGAAGGACTATTCCTCTTCTCACTCTATGGTATCAGCTGTCATTTTCTGGCAAGGCTGAGTACTGGGAAACCATGCTTGAGAAGTAAAGCACTTACTTGTAAGAGATAACTGAATCACTGTTGCCTTAGCTTTTAGTTTTATTCTGTAAATATTAAACAGGAGACACTCAGAGTTCCTCGATTTTCTAGCAACTGTTTCATAACTGAAAGCATTGATTATGTTGTCATGGACTTGATATGCTTGTGCATGTATTTGATGATCATATTTTCATATAGTTTTATTAGGTTCATTGATTGCAGGCAGTGGGTCAAAAATATGAATGGAAAATGCAGGTAATTTTTTCAAATAGTTTATGCTAATATAATAATTGAATTACCATCTGGAGATAGTGGGAATTTCCCTTTCAGCATTTTCATTGTCAATTTAGTTTTCAATTTAATGGCTATAAATGTTGCTAAATACTGGAGTCTTGAAAAATTGTTCATGCTCCTTCTGATCTCAGGACCTTCACACATGCTTTCCCTCTTGGTTTGTGATATTCCTCCTGATCTCATTTATTTGATGTATGCCTTCATTATCATCCAGTAAATCTTCAAGGGTAGGGGCCATGTCTGTTTTTCTCAACAATATGCCCATTACCTAGCACCATGCTGGGAACATATATATGGTAGGCCAACAATGGGTATGTTTTAATGAGAAGGAGGGAGGGAAGGAGAGAGAGGCAAGAGTTCACTGGCACTTTTTAAAAATGTTTATATGAGGAAACAAAGAAGACTTGCTGTGATCCAGCGACATGCCCAGTGAGTGGAAGAGAAGAAACTGGAATTAAGCTATTCTGTGTGCCACTTAGGTCAGGCCCTCCACTACATGGTCCTGCTTCTCTTGCATGAGTTAGCTACTCATATCATGAGAGCATCCCTTTCTTAATTTTCTGCGCTAGTGGAGCAGAGCCATGTATGTGCTATGGCCCATATGTTGAAACTTGTTTATCTACAGCTAGCCAGATGGTCTGTAACAGCACACAAAGAAGCCATTTGGAAACTTTCAGAGGGTCAGCACGTTTTGAAAACAACTCAGAGTAATGCATATTGTGATGTCATTGCTTACTTTAAGCTTACAGTGAGGAATATCTTGTTAGGTACTGAATGTGAAACATGCAGACTTTGAGAACCAACTCAGAGGTCCTAGCCCCCAGAGACAGAAATTTATTTAATTGGATCACCCTTTAGACTTGTTTTGTCTACATGTTCTCTGAAAAAGGAATATAATGTCTTAATTTAAAATACTTTGTTTTTTAAGTTGCTGCTGGGTTAAATACATTTTTTTTTAAAGAAAACCTGCTTATGCAGTACATGTTAACAGATATGATGTGGTCATCAATAAAAATGTAAAATAAAATTTACTGTGGCTGATATGAAACAAAGTGAGAGAGGGTGACAAGTATCAGAAGTAGATTTGCAGCTAACAGTCTGTTTAGTCTTTGGTACATTAAAAAAGCCAAGATGAAAGAATTATACCTGTACTAGTGGAGGGGGAAAATGGTAATCTAAAATAGCAGATGATAAGAAATATCTGGAATTTATCTTTGATGTGGTATTAGGTAATATTTTTGGTACCAAATTACCTTTTTCTAATTACATTTTGATTGGGCTATTATTAAAATGCTCTTTATTCTTTAAACCCACACAATCTCACAGTAGGAGAAGTGGTTCAAAGCTATGATGAGAGGCAGCAGAAAGTCGGCTGTACATATAAAAGTTTGTTATGCATAATTCACAAAGTACATGAATCAGTTGTAGGAAAAATGAGCTATAACCATATCCACAGACAATCACAGAGCTGGAGAATCTTATGGATGATCTAATACAACTCTCTACTCTTTTGCAGGTGAGAAAATACTAAAACACTAGAGCTGTGTTTTGTCTGAATTCATTTAAAGAAGTATGGTATGGAGCAGTGCTTTGCTCTACACAATATTTGGTGAAGAAATAATTTTTAAAATCTGTTACATAGGTATTAATAAAAATGAGTTATAAGAAAAATGCATTGAGGCAAAAAATCTTGTTGAAGTATGTTGAGGCAAAAAAAATGAAGTGCAAAAACATGCAAAAGATTTAAAAGACATAAAACTACATTTCAATAAATATATTCAGAACAAATATAACGAAGAAAAAACAACAACAAAAGTGACCATTGTTCACTGAAAGTGAGCAGTTACTGAAGTAGGGAAAACCTAGCAGTTACCTAGATGAGAAATTACTGTAGCATGATCATTGCATGTGCATGACGCTAAGTTGCAAGGCTCACTGTGATGACTGCAGTATAGGGAGAGCATCCTGACAAGAAGGGTGAAGACCCACAAGGAACCCCTTGTGCCTGAGAACTACACCTGGAGTACTGACGCAGAGAAGCTGCCTGCTTCAGTATGTGCTCTGAAACAGTCAGGAAGCAGAGCCTGCGAACAACTGAAACTTTTTCTTCCTATGTTTTTCCTCTTTAGTTATCTACAATTAACTTGTATCCATAATGCTGATCTGAATGCTTTGAAAGGTATTTGATTTTTAGAATGATCATATTAATGAAATTTTTCTTAAGGACTACATTTTGACAAAATGTCCCCAACAGTTTGAAGGCAAAAGGTTGTGATATTGAGAGGTTACTATCAAGTAATCACATCATTTTATATCTTAAGCCCAGTTTTCAAACTTCACTCTGAGTAAGAATTATCCAAGGAGCTTGTTAAACATGCAGATTCCTGGGCCCCACTTCAAGAGACTCTTGTATGTTGTGTCTGGTGCAGGGGTGGGGGTGAGGTGATGCAGAGTGAAGAGGGCTTTTCAGCAGCCTAGCACATGATTCTGGTACAGGTGGTCTGGGATCCATACGTTAAAAACTGCTTTTCCCAACGTGCTGGCAGACTGAATTACCTAGCCAGTTCTGTGTGCTGTTAGTGAGGAAAAGCATGCTCAGTGTGAAATAATATCCAAATCATTAGTATATGGTTATAGAATCTTGCCAAAGAAATGCACCATTTGTTCACAAGCTCTCTCTTACATACCCTTTAGTGCTCAGTACTTACTGTTGGCACCAAAAATCCAGGAAGCTTGCAGAGGAAAATAATCCACAGATCACCTTAGATAGTTTACAAATATGATATTTAAAGACATATAGATGTTTAAGTGACATCTATTGTTATGGTTTCTTTCTCATTTGGTCTTAAGGCCTCTCTTGAGAGTGGCCATCAGCCAAGATAGCCACTCTCTAGAAGAGACCTGACCAGGGGAAAGTTAGGTTGGAGTGTGTTGGTCAAGTGAGGCACAATGAGGAGGTGAAACCAAAATGCATGAAGCAAGAAATTATTACAGGACCCAGAGAATTAGGGGTGCCGACAGGAGGCCCATGGTAAGTCTGGAGGTCACAGGGAGCTCAACCAGCAGTTGGGGAGCTAGACAGAGAGAGGACCTGTGGACTTTGTCCTTATCAAGGTCCATGGTTGTCCCTTAGGCTTTCCCAAGGGGATTGTGGATTGGCTAGTTTCAAGAAAACATCTGAAAAATTGGGGTGTGGGAACTTATTTATATTACTCTGGTGTCGACAATTAGGTTTTGTGTGATCAACAGTTCACAAAGGGAGGGGAAGTTTTCACTAGGCCAATGGTGACGGGTTATGACTAGTCAAAATAACATCTAGTTATTTTGAAATGTACAATTATTAATTGTAGTCACCCTATTGTGCTACCAAACACTAGATCTTATTTCTACTATATAACTGTATTTTTGTATTCATCAATCAACCCCTCTTATAATTAATTAATATTGGCACCAGCACAGGGTCAAATGAGAATCAATACATCACATTCCTTATAGCCAAGAAGCTGATCAAATGTTTGTCAACAAAACAAAGATAAGATCTTTATAAAATATGTGTTGAATATTAGCCATTGAGTGCAAGCTGTTGACATTGGCCAAGGTGTACACTTTTACCATTTTATGTGTGTGTGTGTGTGTGTGTGTATCATGTCAATGATAGCATCTCACATTTAATTGTTTATTACTCATCAGTCATTCTGTTAGTCTTCACAACAATCCTAAACACTGTTATCTCTATTTTATGGGTGAAGGAACTGAGGCTAAAGGAGCTCATGACATTAACTTGTAAGTAGAAAAATTGAGCTCAGCTGACTTGTACTTTTCATTGTTATGATTTTTTATTATTTAAAATATTTTAAAAATATTTTTGTAGAGATGGGGGGTGGGTCTCACCACGTTGCCTAGGTTGGTCTCAAACTCCTGGCCTCAAGCAATCCTTTCACTTCAGCCTCCCAAAGTACTGAGATTGCAGGTGTGAGCCACCATGCCCAGCCTGTACTTTTCATTATATTCTTCCTTCCTGCAAAATACATCTCAGTGGTTGATGACTGGTTTCGTGGACCTGGAAATCTGCAACTGAACTCTGAGGAGACTCACTCTAGGGTGTTCAAATATCTTCTTTATTATACTAAGTATGACAGAGTCCTCAAGTTCAGGGTCAAATACTAGATCATTGTGAAGGGCACAAAGATTATGATTCCTGCCTCCTCATCCTATTCTTGAGGTTTTCAATTTCCTGGGTATCCTGATGGTTTTTCCTGGTTATGCATTCTTTTGCAGCCTGCCTGTGATAGTTCCTTTTATGTATCATCTTCATTGGATCATGGGGTACCCATATATTTGTCTAAACATTATTTCCGGATGTGTCTATGGGGTGTGTCTGGGTAAGGTTAGCATTTCAATCAGTTCACTCATTAAAGCGGATTGCCCATTTCTGTATGGGTGAGAATCATCCAATCTGTTGGGGCCTGAATAGAGCGAAAAGGTGGAGGAAGGGAAAATTTGCTTTGTGTCTGACTGTTTCTCCTGCCCTGGGACAGGGACAGTCAGCACACCAGTTCTTAGGCCTTTGGTCTCCTACTGTACTACACCACTGGATTTCCTGGGTCTCCTGCCTGCAAATTGCAGATCATGGGATTTCTTAGCTTTCACAATCATGTGAGCCAGTGCCTCAAAATAAATCTCTCAATCTCTTCCCTTCTCATATATTGGTTCTGTTTCTCTGGAAAACCCTAATAACCTGCCCTAACTTCTATTGCCCTATAGTGTGTACCTTTCTATACTTTCCTCATTAAAACGTATCTGCCCTGTGTTCCATTCTGTCTTCTGCTGTCTCTTAACTGCCAATTAATCAAATACCCGAATCCGTTCAGGTGCAATATCCTCTTCTTACATGGCATATCGTTACATTGAGGCAAGCAACTTCTTTGATCAGTGTCTGAACCCAAAGAGTATTGATGGAAACTTCTCACAATGGGACAAGTTGGTTGTGGAGAAAGCAGCTCAAAGTGTGTGCCTCCTTGACTAGGATTCTGTAAATCCTAGAGTTGTTTAATTACAGACCTCCCAGGGGCCCCAGAAGCTGGAAGCCTGCTGTTACCCAAACTGATCTACATGACTTAGGCCAGGTCTGTTTTCTGCCAACATTAGAGCAGAGAACTGAGGGAATTCCCTATATTTTTAAAGCAAAACAAATGAAGGTAATTAGGTAACAGCTGAGATTTGTCAGGAAGTATTCACCAGTTGCCTCCAGCTCCTGGTCTTTGTGGAGATCTGCTTCTGTGGGGCAACTTCGGCGGCTCTCCCCAGCCCCAGAGAGCAATTCTAGTGACAATCAATTTCCTCATCAACAACTTTGTATGAAATATTAGAATATATTTTGAGTGTGGAGATAAAATTAACACCTGAAATTTTTTCTGAGCACATAAATCAGAGATTACTCTTCAAATTACTTATTCTCTTGGATCTTAAAATTTTAATTGCAGCAAGCTTTTACATATTGGCATTTAATTTCTCTGTAAAAAAACCTTACTTAATTCAATCAATTAAGGGAAAATTTGGCCTAATTTCCATCCATCCATTTGGATCATGCAGAGTACAAATTTTTTGGACAAGAAACACTTCTTAAATATTATAACATGAATTCTAGTGTGGGATGCAGTTTTACAGCAAAATTGTCTAATAAAGACAGATAAAATGTTTTTATTTCCATTTCACCATAGCAAACATTAAAAAGGATACTAATATATTTAATTTGTCTGCTATTAGTGAGGACCGTTAAGGAAAAGATGTATATTTTTTAAAGAAACCATAACCAGAATTTTAGAATGATCTTATTAGACAAATGTGAACTCATGAAAGAAGCAGAGTTTTAAATTTAATATTTCAAACAAATGGCAACAGGTGAAGTGTCTAAGACCCATTCATCTGTTGCATTATCATTTTATCATATTTACTTCAAATTATTTTAATAAAAGAAAAATTTAAATGTACAGTTTATAACTCATTTTGTGCCCTTTATGAAAGCTGTGTGACCTTGGATAAATTTTCTAATCTCCCTGTTTCTGGGCTTCAGATACTTCATCTGCAAAATGGAGATAATACTATCCAGTACCTCATAGAGTTGTTGAGAGGATTAAGTGAATAAAAATGTAAAGAACTGAGAACAAAACCTGATGCCCTGATGTCTGAAGGATGTGTGCTGCCAGTGTTTACTCCTCCTTCTCAATCTCCCTTCTTCCTTCAGTGGCAGGCACTTCTCTGAAGTTACTGTGCATCCTTCTAATCCATGCTTAAATGCTTTTAATATACAATATTTTTGTCTTTCAAAACCTTATATAACTGTGTAAATATTACACACACTGCCATATTGCGTGCATTCTCTTGCAACCTGCTTTTTTCTCAATGCTAGGATTTTGAGATCTCTTTATATTGGGAGATGTAGATAAAGTTCATCAATTTTCATTTACGATAATATTTGGTTAATTGAATACACTGCAATTCATTCATCCATTTTCCCTCTCGTGGACATTTTATTTCCAGATTTTTTTTTGGAATTATAAAGAATGCTGCTGTGAGCATTTATGGTTGTGTCACCTTGCACATTAGTGAGAATAGCTTCCATATGGGGCTTCCCAACCTTTTTCCCTTGGATTGCCCTGCCAGATGTTACTGTGCCTCTAAGCCACGGCTGCCCTAAGGGCTAAGGAGGTCAGTATCTTGTGGCATAAATCACAACCCATGTCCCCATTTAATGCAGACCTGCTGGGGAGCCCTGCCCCTCCCAGGACATTGGTCTTCAAATTAGGGTAAATGCACTGAACCAACGCCCCCCTACCAACATACACTCACATGCATGCACTCAAAAACACACATGAGAGCACCTACCTATACATGTGCATGCACACACAAACAGAGGCTTTTTCAGTATGAATGGTTGTTAAAGGAATCGGTTTTCAGATCCTAATATTGACAGCCTGAGAGCCACATGCAAGTTCCCACTTCCTTATTCGCCATCTTTTTCTCCCATACTTATATTAGAAAATTATTTGTCATTTACTGAAATTTTAATTTAACTGGGCATCATGTACATTTGTATGTGTGTGTGAGTTTGTTAAATCTGGCAAAGCTAGTGGAATTAGAAATGGTCTTTTGACCCATGAAGGAATGATCTGAATTCAGATATATTGTAGAGTGGGTTGGCAGGACAATTTTTGTTTAATGATCTCTTCTATTACTTCTCCTGATTGTTAAAGTACACATCACTCCTGAGTGGGGAGTCCTGTGAGAGCAAAACAGGTAAGAAATACAGAGGGTGTTGGTGTTGTATTTCACTGGGACAGTGAACTCATGACAAAGTTTTGGTATTTACCCATGTAAGAATATTCAGGAGTTGCAAAAGGCAATCTGGGAAACACCAGTGTGTTGAGAAGCACAGCCCGGATTTCTCATTCTGAGAAAGGAGAAAGACTTTGGTGACTGCTTCTATTTACTGGGCTCACCTGCATTATTTGCAAGTTTGAGAAGGGAGGAGGTAAGAACGTCCATGTTTGTCTCCTGTAGATCAATATTACACTTTTAAGTAAAGTAAACTTAGGTTAAAAATAAATTAGTGTTTTATATTTTCTTAAACATTTATTCAGGCTGAGAAAGATTTCCATTCCCTTTGACAAAATTATTGGATACTATAAATCTATATACACTTTTTATTTGGACTCAATGTCCCTGCTAACTGTTATCCATCAACCAATTCTTCACTCATTTGTTCATTCTTATCATGTACTTATTAAATTTACATAACAGGTATATGTCATGGATTTTACTGTAAAAAATACACTTCATCATTAATATACTGTTGGTAAGCCTTGTACTACTGGTAGCCTCCTTCTGTTTATTTTGCTATGAATTTACGGTGAACCCGGTTTCATTTTAGCAGTAAACAATGTTCATCTCTGGATATATAAACTAAATGAATGAAAAATTCTCATTAATTAAAAGATGCATTCTTGATAAAATTTTACATTTAATAATTACTTATGAAACTTTGTAATACATTTAGCTTTTGATCAACAGTAATTTAGTAGTAATTAAAGAGGAATTGCTAATATTTAAATTACCACTTAAAGTGGTAATAATTTTTTAAATCAAGAAAAATGTTTTAATCCTCACCATCTTAAAGCTATAAGAAAAATACTTTTTCAGTTTTTCGTTATATACACATTTCTGTAACAATATGTTACAGTGGTCAATAAAAGATATTCAAGCATAAAAATGTTACTATAAACTTCAGTAATAAAGTGGAATGGAAATACAAGTCAAAACAAAAAAGGAAACAAGGTAAATTTTTCCAAATGTTAAAGAAAAACTGCTTGTGTATTTTAAAAAAAAATAGATGGTAATGGTTATCTGATACCACTTTTGAAAGAATGGCATCACAGTTTTATTTTGTAAATGTCAGTATTTATAACAATTTCAAAATTATATATTTTGCAAGTATTTAAATTTATTATTAAAAATTACATCTCAATTTAAACATTTTCAAGTGACTGCGTAATTTTCCAAAATTATTTTATGGAGTACATGTGTAAAAAGCTTAGATGCCCAACAGTATGCTGAAAGTGGAGTTGTTATGTAGGAGGGTGTGTATATCCTTACCTAGATTTTTTGCCAAATTTTAAGTGGTTGCCTTACTTTGCACTCCCACAACAGTATATGGGAATTCTCTTATTTCCGTATTTTCTCAAACATTTTGTATTGTCAACTTTTAGGTTTTTGCGTGTCCAAAGAGTGTAAAATGCTATCGCTTTGTGTTTTTAAGTTTGCACTCCCCTGATTGCTAGTGAGTTCCTCTTCTGTGAACTGCCTGCTCATATCTTCACCCATTTTTCAATTGATTAATGTACATATTTGTAATGTAAGGAACTAGTTTTTATAGGATGTTGGCCTTTGCAGCTTATTTTGGGGAAAACACCTTTAAATTTCTTTTACTCTTCTAATTCTCAATCTAGTCCTTAGCCAAAAATATTCCCCTTAACACAACATTCTTATTTTTGATCTGCTCCCAGAGGGTTCCCTCTTTAGAAGTTAACTGCTGATTTTCTTTCCATGTAAGGCGTCAAACCATCTGGACACTTCTGACAACATGAAGAGAACTACATATTTTTACATGCCTAGATTTATAGGTGACTTGATACAAAGGAATAAAAAATATAAAATAAAAGCAATTGATCACTTTACTAAAAACCTAGGGTCATGTTGATTGGTTTAATAAGATCTGATTCTTTTTTTTATTTTATTATTATTATACTTTAAGTTTTAGGGTACATGTGCACAATGTGCAGGTTAGTTACATATGTATACATGTGCCATGCTGGTGTGCTGCACCCATTAACTCGTCATTTAGCATCAGGTATATCTCCTAATGCTATCCCTCCCCCCTCCCCCCACCCCACAACAGTCCCCAGAGTGTGATGTTCCCCTTCCTGTGTCCATGTGTTCTCATTGTTCAATTCCCACCTATAAGTGAGAACATGCAGTGTTTGGTTTTTGTCCTTGTGATAGTTTACTGAGAATGACTATTTCCAATTTCATCCATGTCCCTACAAAGGACATGAACTCATCCTTTTTTATGGCTGCATAGTATTCCATGGTGTATATGTGCCACATTTTCTTAATCCAGTCTATCATTGTTGGACATTTGGGTTGGTTCCAAGTCTTTGCTATTGTGAATAGTGCCGCAATAAACATATGTGTGCATGTGTCTTTATAGCAGCATGATTTATAGTCCTTTGGGTATATACCCAGTAATGGAATGGCTGGGTCAAATGGTATTTCTAGTTCTAGATCCCTGAGGAATCGCCACACTGACTTCCACAATGGTTGAACTGATTCTTTTAAACCTGAAATTATTTAGAAAGAAGCTTCCCTCTTGAGGTATTCAGTGATTATTTGAAATACAGGTAATCCTTGATTTATGAGCAAATTGGCTAAGGCAATGGTTATAAATTGAGCCAATGAAGTATTATAGAATTGGTTTATGGAATGGGCTGAACCTCATGAAGGATACAGCTATGTCCAGGATTTTCTTCTCACCATTCTTTTCTCTTTGGTCATCAGATCCCTTTTCCTGGTCCCTAAACACCAACGTGGGCAAAGCCCAAAACTTTCTGGTCACTTTCAGGGATAAGAAAATGTCCTTTCAATGATAAAGAATAAAGTATTAAAAAGTCCATTATGATACAGATGAAAGCTTCAGTGCCAAAGCCAGTTTAAGTCCTTTTTCTGAAGCTCAGCCCTAACCTGAGGTCTTTAACTCAGGGAGCTTTCGTGCGAAAGACAGTGTGGTCTCTTGTTTCACACATCCCACCCTTTCACTTTTTTCCCTGGTTGGAAGAGGAGGGAAGATGAGAGGAAATGGAACACATGAGGAAAAGGAACAGAAGTATTTTTAGTTAGCTGGCGTTATTGTTGTTCTTTGATATGGCAGGTGTCTTCGGGCTGACGTTTTGTGGGTTATGTTTTGGTTCAATTGGACATAAATCCATTCTGATGTGGGTTCTGTGCTCTCCAGATAACTTCTTCCAAGACCCCCTAAGCTCCATGACCTCCTACTACTGGGATTCTGTTTCTTACAGGCCATCCTTCTGGGTGTCACATTCAAGCCAGCTCAAGCCTACCTACTTCTGTGACCTATATTTTGCACAAGGGCAATGCCACACATCTTGGCCATGCCAAGAGCTAGAAGTGTGGCTCCTCACTGGGCACTACTGTTATTTCTTCCACCTTGCTTTGGAGGATTGTTCTAGCCAGCCTCCCACTTTCAGAATTCTGTAGGCCACGGCTACTTAAAGTGTGGTCTAGGGACCAGCAGCATCATGTGGAACCTTACTAGAAATACAAAAGAACCTCAGGCTCCACCCATGCCCCACTGAATTAGAATCTGCTTTTTACCATGATCCCCAGGTGATTCATGTGCACCTTAAAGTGTGAGAAGCTCTGACTTAGGCCAGAGGCAGGCACTGGTCTCTATATTCAGGTTGATCTCTGCACTCCAGGGAACTCATGTAAGGCTCTCTCAAATTCTCTCACAACACCCTATTTGGATCCACCCTAAGCTTCTGCAGCTCACTCTCATCCTGCTGGGGTACCTTATTGCTAGAACCTCCAGTTTCTTAAAATTTCTCTAGGAGCCTCTGTCATTTGGTCTGGAAGGGAGAGCACTTTCTTTCTTCATGAGCAGAGAGGACAAAATCCAAAATTCTTGCCCCTAAGGCCTGGAAGTCAGTACCACCCTGACCCTCTTAAAACATACTTGGTATTTTGCCTAGAAGGGCTAGGTAGGATGGGAATGGAGGGGCTTGCAGGGTCAAAGAACCAGTTAATTCTCACCAAGGCTTGAGGGGAGGTGTCTGGTGGATCCACAGTTCCTCTTCAGAATGTGGAGGAAACAGTCACCTCTTGTCTTTGGTTTGGGGCTTTATTCTGAAATTCCATGATAATTGGAAGAGTTATGTTCTTTTCGTTATAATAAGAAGGATCCTTCTATTTTATGAGTTTAGAATCATGAAATGTGATCTAATTTTGGAAATTCTTTTTGTATCAGAAAAATACCAAAGTTGATAAGAATAAATGAAAGATTCAAGTATAATTTGTGGGCTATGTTATTCAGACCAACGATTCTAGTAAAAAGAAATAAAATAGCTGGATAAAATTAAAATAGAAAAATACCTTGAGAGCACCTGACAACATAATAAAGAAACAGAGAGGGAAACGAACCCATAGAAGTAAGCAGAGCCTAAAGCTGTTTCTGTTCTGAGGGAACTGCCTGTAAGGGGCAGCTGGGGTTCACTTCTGTTGGGCTTCAAGTACAGAAATGAAGGGATCTCCCAAGAAGAAGAGTCAAATAGGAGACTCCCCAAATTAAGATCAGACCTTAAAGAGCAGAGATATCCCCAGGGTAAAAGTCCACAACTGATATGGTTTGACTCTGTGTCCCCACGCAAATCTCATCCGAATTGTAATCCCTAAGTATCTAGGGAGAGATCTGGTGGGAGATGATTGGATCATGGGGGCAGTTTCCCCCATGCTGTTCTTGTGATAGTGAGTTCGCATGAGATCTGATGGTTTTATAAGGGCTCTTCTCCCTTCACTCCTCACTCTTCTCTCTCCTGCCACCTTGTGAAGAAGGATGGGTTTGCTTCCCCTTCTGCCATGATTGTAAGTTTCCTGAGGGCTCCCCAACCATGTAGAACTGTAAGTGAATTAAACCTCTTTCCTTTATAAATTACCCAGCTCAGGCAGTTCTTTATATTATTAGCAGTGTGAGAAAAAACTAAATACAACTAAACCCACTTCAGCCTCCCTAATACTCAATTCCCATTTCCACCCTTTGGTATCTTTGGATAGGGTTGTCTTGAGTTGGTTGGAGGGAAGAAAAAGGGGGAAAAAAACTTTCCTGAGAAGTTGGAGCCATAGTCTGTTCTAAAACAGATTTGCAGGCTTGGTTTACATTGTCTAGGTGGTCTATGGGACCCCAAGCTTCTGAATTTGGTTGGAGGTGGGTCAGAGTGTATTGCTGATACTTCCAGGCACCTGAAGCTATCAGACATAAATCCTCTTTGGAGAAGTCTAGTCTTCAAAGGATTCCCATTAATATTGTTTCAAGGACATTATCAGTACCTAGTAAACAAATAAACACATAAGGAAATAAGTAAGAACCAGAAGGAAAAACTGACAGTAGAAACAGGCTCTCAAAATTATAATTATTAGAACTCTAAGACAGATTGTAAAGAAGAAATAAGAATATAATAAAGTAAAATATATGAATGTTCAAACATTTATTAGGTATTTAAAGTCAAATATTTTATATACAAGTTACATTAAATGTCACTTCTTAGGAATTTTTTTTAATAATTGGATGGGTACTCAGATGAGTACTATGTGTATGCCCAGAAGACAATCGCGTATCAGGCATAGGTATTTTTTTTATTGCTCTAAGGACCTTTTTTTTTCTCCTTTCTTTAAACTTTCTGGTGAGGTATATTTTATATTCAATGAAGAACATCAAAGTTTGGTGAAGTTTTACATATCCATATAACTACCACTTCCTTATTATTGAGCATTTCCAGCACCCTAGCAGATCACTTATACCTTCACCACTCAATAACTGCAAAGGTAACTAATATTCTGACCTCTTATCATAAGTTAGTTTTCCTTGTTTTTGAACTTTGTATAAATAGAATAATATAATATGTATTCTCTGGTGTCTAGTTTGTCAATGTTTATGAGATCCATTCATCTCGCTGTGTGTAGGACTAGCTGTTTCTTTTCAAAATTGTATGTATTCTATTGTATGGATATAACACAATTTATTCATTTTATTATTAGTAGATAATTGGTTCGTTTCCATTTGGAGACTGTTATGTATAATGCTGCTATGACTATTCTTGCACATATCTTTTTATAAACACAAGCATTCAGTTCTTTTGGGAACATACCCAGAAGTGGAATTGCTGGGCCATAGACCACATGTATATTTTGCTTTAGTAAATACTGCCTAATAGTTTTACAAAGTGGTTAGACCAATTTATATTCCTAGCAGCAATGCAACAGTATCCTCCAAAAACCTTTTATTTGCCTTCAAAATTAAATCATCTAATATCATTGCCAATTTATGTTAATGAATTTCCCTAAAGTTTTGAATGGTAAATACTTGAGAAAAGGAAGCTTTCATGGTGACTTCTGCCTTGCCGAGGTTGTCAGCTGCCCTGCAGAGAAAAACAGTCAGGAGGTGAATGAATTCAAATAACACCATAGTTGTTCATTTAATTCATGGTGCCTGAGGCCCACATTACCCCTGACCTTTCCCAGTTTTACAAGCGAGTAGATTTCGTTTTTTTTTTTTTTTTTTTTTTACATTTTATAAAATTAAATCCAAATTTTATTAAGGATTTCAGGTTACATACTTCAAATTTCTAGAATGGAATGGAATCATTTTGGAACTGGAAAAATGGCATAAACACTGACGTCCCTTAAAACTTCAATTTTATAAAGAAAATTCTTCTGCAAACCACAGAATTGGGTTTCTGACACCAGCAACTAAAATAATTCTGCGTAATAGAGAACTTGTACTGAAAGAAACATGGCAAAAGCTCGTTCAGTTTTCCCATTTCTAATATCTCAAAGTTTGAATTTTAAGAGTGAACGTTTTGCTTCACTGACTGTATTGTGTAACATTTTATACTTATGTACCTATTAATTATGATATAAAGTGTATACATCAAACATTGCACATGTGGACAATTGAGACTCCTGGTAATATTTATCCAGGGTTGCTGCCGTAGGTAGGTGGAGTTTTGGAGACCCTCATGATTTTAGGTGGGGGCCGAGTAGTATGAAGAAACATCTATTTCCTTACCTTCCACAACAAATGTATCAATCCATTAACACATGAAAAGAGGAAAGCCTCAGAATGAGGGGAGGTGTCTTGCAGATTATTTTTCAGATAACTCTCATTTGCGTTTGAAATACTAAAGAATTATGCTGGAGAAATTCACATTCAAGGGAGGTGAACACCTTTGGCAAAATACAACATCATAGCTTATCTTTAGGAGACACCATAAATATCCAGGTAAAAGAAGATAAGTATCAACTACAATTGGGGAGTCAGAGGATCTTTGCATGTAGAAGAAATGTTTATAATCTGGCAAATAGGAGAGAGTAGAGAAGGAGAAAGTTGCAAGAGTTCTATCACCATAAACTGTGCATGGTGTGACAAAGCTCTGGCTTTCCTCAGGATCCATTTAATTAATTAATTAATTTTGGTGATCAGTGCATTTTTTTACTTGATGAATTTTAATAATTAGAATTATTATATTAGAAAAAATACAGTTCATTTTTGTTGAAGTTAGCTTATCAGTCATCTATGAGATAATGGTTTTATTCAAAAAAGTTAACCGACTTTTTATAAAGCAACTTCCCACAACCAATCAGAGTCTGGATACTCTTTTCTGGTAACTTTCAAAAGAATCAGATGAAAGTAGGAAAATGTCCCTTCTTCCAATCCTATTTGAAAAGAATATGCCTGGTTTTCAATGCAATGAATGTCTGGTGTATCTGGGAGTATTAAATTGCTAACTGTGAAGCAGATTTCAAGGTGATTTGGGAAGTTCTAGCTTGCTCCCACCACTAAAATGCATATACCTGGCTAAGAATGGGCTCATGCACAAGAGCATTCAAGAAATACATTCACCTAAATATGATTAAACCTGTAGGAAACCTAGGCGTCCCAGTCTGCAGGGATCCCCTTCTTCTCTCCTTTGGCACCCTGAGTCATATGTGGCAGAAGGGGGTACTGTCTTTTACCTTTTCCGCCCCAGATGTCGGGGACACCGCAGAGCATTCATGTCCTTATTCCACTCTGCTCATTACTTGTCAGCTCACTCAAGTGTTTCTATGTAGGCATCCTCTGCTTTTTTAGGTCACTGCTTGCTGTCTGGTAACCAGTTCCCCCTTCTTGCTGTTTTTCTATTTCTGTTACACAGCAAGGGTGGGTTTAGGCCCTACTTAGGCCATAGATAAGATCAGGCTGTAACACTGAGAAAAATATTACTGCAACACATAAGAATTGTGCTTTAGCACAAGGGAATTCTAGCATAGAAGATACTACAGTGCATCATTGCCCTGAGTCCAGTAGCCATGGCCTTCTACAGTGGGGAATTTTTCTCATGTCTCTCCCCTTAGCTCTTGCCTACCACCAGCCTACCTCCCGACAGTGGGAAGGCCTTGGACAGGCCAGTCTCTGCACATCTTGCTAACATGTAAAGTGAAAGAGAATGAGTCAGTTTTAAAGCTGTACTTAATTTTTTCTAAGATGCCATTACTTGTAAGATGCGGCATTGTTCTGTGCACCTCTCTACCGGCAGGGGATTTATTTACAAAGGTGTAGAGGAACCACAAAAAAATGTGCAGGAAGCTGGGGTTAGAATTTAAAAAGCTGTCACTACCTCACCACAAAAGAATGAGAGGAGGAAGATGTTACAGACACCTGGAAGGGGAGAGCTTTGTCGAGCAGATTGAGTGGGTCAGGTAAGCTCCCAGGAGGGAGCAAGGGAGCAGCCAATGCTCTGCCATTACTCCCCCTCTCCCTCCCATCTCCTGCCAGGCCTCCTCATTGGTCCAACCCAACGTGAAGCCAGAGGGCACAGGAGCACGTCCACATTGTCTAACCATCAGCCTCACAAGGAGTGTGGGAAGTGGATCTGCAAGGGGAAATGAAAGACATCTCTGGTACAGCTACTAAGCAAGAATAAATTCTGGTGATTGAACTATGAGACACTGCTTTCTTATCACTTAGAATTTTTATTTTACACTTATTGAAAGAGCTCTGTTCAACAAAGAAATGGATTTATTTTTATCTTGCAGTACCTTTCTGGATTTAAAATAACTACATTTCAATGCTAAATAATGGTGTAACATTTTTGAAAACACTTGTGATAGATATTTTTTCCCCAAAGATGACTACAATAATAGCGCTTGTTGCACACATGCTTCTAGAACCTTACTATATCCACATTAAGAGGGGAGGCTTGGTTTCTCCCCACTTGAATCCAGGCTAGTTTCTGTCTTGCTGGTAACCAAAAGAATGCCTCAGATATGGTACGGTATGACTTTTGAAGCTAGGTCCGAAAAGATGATGCAACTTCCACCGTGCTTGCTGGAACGCTTGCTCTGAAGCCCAGAGCCTCCATGTTAACTGTCTGACCACCCTATGGCTGCCATGCTGTGAGGAAGCCCAGACTAGCCCAACTCCAGAGGGACTACATGGAGAAGCCCTGAAACTACATGACAAAAGATGCTTTGCCAGTTTCCAGCTGCTCCTGCTTGCTCCACTTCTGCTGTACCTGCTCCAGCTAGTATTGAAGAGCTCATGAGATATTTCTTAACTAGAACCACCTGACCAAACCCTTCCCAAATTTCTGGTCCACAGAAACCATGAGAGATAATAAACTGCTTGTTGTTATTTTAAGCCACCAAGGTTTGAGGTAATTAGTTATGTACCAGTAGTAACCAAAGTAATTTTAAATACCAGTTGTACTCAATAAATGCTGTACAGTCATGTGTTGCATAACTCAAGGGTGGACCGCATACATGACAGTGGTCCCATAAGATTATAATGGCTATCCTGTATAGCCTCGATGTGTAGCAGACTATACCATCTAGTTTCAGTATGCTCTGTGATGATGTTTGCACAATGACAAAATTGCCTAATGATTGCATTTCTCAGAATGTATCCCTGTCAGGTGACATATAACCATACCAATAATGCATTAATTAATTGATGACAATATGAATAACCATGACCAAGTTTGTACATGCACAGGCAATGACAACTATGTCGTGATATCCTGCTGGCCAACAACGATTGTGAGATGCCATCTATTTTTTTTTTTTATGAGACAGAGTCTAGCTCTGTTGTCCAGGCTGGAGTGCAGTGGTGTGATCTCAGCTCACTGCAACCTCCGCCTCCCAGGTTCAAGCAATTCTCCTGCCTCAGCCTCCTGAGTAGCTGGGATTACAGGCGTCTGACACCACGCCCGGCTACTTTTTATTTTTAGTAGAGACGGGGTTTCACTGTGTTGGCTAGGCTGGTCTCGAACTCCTGACCTCGTGATCTGCCTGCCTTGGCCTCCCAAAGTGCTAGGATTACATACGTGAGCCACTGTGCCTGGCCGATGCCATCTATTTTAAGATGCATCCTGGTGAAAGAAAATGTGAAGAAAATATATCACAAGATTGATAAGGTGTGGTAGTATTTATGTAAAGGGAAGGACAAAGACAATGCAAATAGTGATCTTGTTGGTAAGGCTATTTATTTTGAAAAACTAATATTTTGTAGTTAGGACGACATACTCATTGACAAACTAATTAAATGCAGAAAAAGCTACTAAGAAGACAATAAAATCACAAAAATCTCACCATTCAGAGATAAACTTCCAGATACCTAAATGTATATAGACACATATAGCTATGTGGACATAATGCTTTGTAAATAAGTTTATGCTACATTGCAGGTTAATTTTTTCACACTTAAAAACATGCTGAGAGGTCAGGCATGGTGGCTCACGCTTGTAATCCCAGCACTCTGGTGGATCACTTGAGGTCGGAGTTCGAGACTAGCCTGGCCAACATGGTGAAACCGCATTTCTACTAAAAATACAAAAATTAGCCTGGCATGGTGGCACATGCCTGTAGTCCCAGCTACTCGGGAGGCTGTGGCAGGAGAATCACTTGAACCTGGGAGGTGGAGGTTGAGGTGAGCAGAGATCGCACCACTGCATGCGCCATAGCCTGGGAGACAGAGACAGACTCTGTCTCAAAAAACAAAAACAAAGCCAAACAAACAGATAAACAAACAAAAAACATGCTGAGATTATGTTTCTACCTCAGTAAATAAAAAAACACACACTCTTATTTTTTAATGGTAGCAGAGTATCTCATGTTTTTAACCAATCATCCAGTGATGGAGATTTTGTTGTTTCTTTTCAATTTCGCTTTTATGAATGCTAAAATAATAAGCATATTTATGCATTTATGTTTTCCCTGTTGTGTTATTATCTCTTTGTGGAGAATTTGTAGTTATAAGACTGTTGGATTGGATGGGATTTATTTATCATGGATTACAAAAATAGCAACATTTATGATGATGATATGGATTGACCGACCTGCCAAAATTGTGTCTATTCATACTCTATCAAAAGTTTTTGATAATGCCAAATTTCCTTTCCTTTTGCCAGTGTTAGGCTTTTGACATTTATCTGATGCCAATCTTATGGTTTTAAAAGATTTATTTTTTTATTGTTTACTTATATTTGAGAAAATAACGAAACTGAACATCTCTATTTTTTGATCTACTTTAATTTCTTCTTTGGTAAATCAACTATGCATAGTCTTTGACCATTTTTCTTTTTATAATTGATTTTCAAGAGCTCTTTGTACAGTAGTAATTCTTTGTCCAATATGTGTGTTACTAAACTTTTCTTCTGTTTTCCAAATGTCTATAATAATTATGATTCTTTGTTTTGGTTGCCCAGAAATATTTAATTTGTATGTAAATTCATTTTCACTGATGGCTTCTGGCTTTGGTGTCAAGTTTAGAAAGACTTGTTCCATTCTATAGTTTTTAAAAGTGTTTACTCATACTTTTGCTTCACTTTTTACATTTATTAAGAATTTTAATCTAACTGGAATTTATGAAATTTAATTTTTCCCCTAATGTGGCTAGTTTGTTGTCTTCAATTATTTAGTGAGTAATCAATCTGTTCCCTGTGATTTAAAATGCCACATTTGTCATACATTAAATCTCATAATATGTGAGATTGGTGTCTGTTTCCGGGATTCTCTGTCCCTTGGCAATTTGTCTTTTCCTGCACCAATGCTATTCATGTATTGTTATTGTTATTACTGCTAAATACAAGGTGTTACTATCTAATAGAAAAAGTGTGTACCCCTCTCTTCTAGTCCTTTCGTAATTTTTGTTACCATCTTTGCAGATGAATTTAAAAATAATTTTTGTTAAATTTTAAAATAATCCTGTTGTAATTTTGACTGGCATTACATACAAGTTATGGTCTGTTTTAGAGAAAGAACTAAAGAACTGACATCTTTACAACACCAAGTCTTTCTGTCCACAAACAAGGTATGTCTTTCATTTATTTGACAATTCTTGTGTATTTCTTGGTAAAATGTTGTAATTTTTATCGCTGCACATTTCTTTTTAGTTTTTGCTCTTTGTATTTTTGGTGTTTATTATGATTGCATATGTGGTAGCTTGATTACTGATTATCTCTGGTATGTGAAGAATGATTGCATATTATTGTGTATTTATTTTGAAGCTAGCTACCTTACTTATTCTCTTAACAGTTCCAGAAGTTTTCCAGGGCTTCACAGAAAATTATAAATTTTTAAAAATTATATAAAATTTTATTGGCTGGAAATAATTTTGCATCCTTCCTTTAAATATGTATACCTCTTACTTCATTTCTTTAATAGCATTGGCTTGAGGTTCAGAAAAATATTAAATTATTATGATGATCTAAGACATCTTTATTTCTGACTTTAATGGAAATACTTCCATTATTTCTTCCCTGAGCATAGTGCTGGCCTTAGATTTGCAATATGCATTTAAAAAATATATTCAGGTGGGATATATCCAATCCTATTTCACAGTTTGTTATTTTTAAAACCAGGAATAGATTTGGAAATAGACAAATGTTGGCAGCTAAGAAAGTATATTAATTGACTTACTAATATAATATCTTTGCAGTCTAGAATGATTAATACGTTTTTGCAATCTAAAATCCTTTCAGTGTCTTATTTAATTCTATTTCCCACTATTATGTTTAGGATTTTGGGTGTCAATATATTTATAAGTGAGATTGGTCAGTAGTTCTCTTTTTGTTTAATAAGATTTGGCAATAGTGTCATGTATTGACACATTTTTGAAATATTCCTATTTTTCTATAAATTGTTCCAGGCTCATTAGAGAATTTTATTTATATAAGTAAACAAATGTTATTTACTTTAAAATTTGCTCACAAAATTATCCTACCAGATCTTTTTAATAGGTGTCTTTTAAAAAGCTTTTTTATTTTCTTCTGCCTTTGGTATCAAATTAAGACTTTTTCCACCCTATTCTTATTAAAAGTGTATACTCTTTCTTTTGTATTACTCTGTAAGTTATCTTCATTTAATTAATTTTGTGTTTGTGCTTCTTTAAATATTTATTTTAGCATTAAATATTAATTCAAAACATTATATGGTAATATTTTGGTAAAGGATGTATTTTTCAAACAGCACAACAAGTAAGACAACAACAAAACACTCAGCCATGTTGGCCACACCTGAGGTGAATTTTAAAAGAATGTAAGCTACTTCAATTTCACAGCTGAATATTATTGTATATGAATTGTTCTAGATATGCAAAGCTAAAAAAAAAGGCTTTTTCTCTCAGTAAAAATCATGAATCCCTATATCCCCAAATTTCCTATTTCTTAAGCCAAGAAGACAAACCAAATTCTCTCTGAATTTGTCTACATGCAACAACAAGACCTCATGGGCAATTTCATAAAGACCCGACTGACTAATGTGGACTGATTCTGTTGTGGCCTGGTGCTTTATGGAGGCTGAGAAGTTACTACGTAGAGGAAAAGAGACAAACAACGCTGAAGGGGGAAGGAATGGCCTCTGCTAAATCCCAGATCTGAACTGACTGTAATGGAAACCAAACAAGCCACAGAAGCCTGCACTAATGATCTAGTTACACTCTTCCCTTCCTCCCTTTCTCTTGCAACAGAGGGCACCACTCTCCAGGAAAGCTCATACTGTATCTAGAATTTCTGTACAGATTTCCTCAAGGCACAGTTAGGTTCATCGATATAACTTTAACATGAGCACTGTGTTGTGTAGTGCTCAGGTATGCTTTCTTCTGTTTGCTATTACATTAATGCTGAAAACACAATTTTCTAAAGCTGAAATGGAATGTGTATCATATGAAAAGATTAATAATATTTAATTGACTGAAGTACATAATTAGTATTACTATATTTTAATAAACATACATTTGATCTAGGCATTTGACCTAAGAAAATAATCAGAAATAGGGTAAAGATTTTTGTACAAATCAATTTATCTTGACATTATTTGTGTAAATCTTATAAAGCCATCATCTGAGAGTAGTGTTGTGAACAGAGAAACACATATCAATAACAACTGAATACAATTTTAAAACACTGTAAGTTCAGTATTAATTAGGTTCCTTTGGTTACAGGCAACAAAGAATAATTGTGGATAACATACAAAAAAAAAAAGAATTATTTGGAAGGATGTGGGTAGTTCACAGACATGAAGGAAAAGCTGAATAGCCCTTATGAAAGATAAGTATGAGGCTGCACTAAGGGTGTAGGTTTTAGGAACACATAAAGGATTTTACAGGGTGTTACCCTCAAGATGAGCCAACTGCAAATACTTTCCTTTCTTCTGTCACTGTACTCAAGATTCAAATACCTGAGAAAGATCTTCCAAATAGCCTTACCAAGGCCCTATGTCTACCATTTGGCCAAGGGAACATAGGTACCTCGAGTTAACAGTTTTATCAAGACTTCATAGCATAGGAAATGATAGCAGAGACTATCTCTGGAACACAATGAACTACATTCTTGATTTGCCTTGCAGCTAGGTGGGGACCATGTGACTGAGTTCTGGGCAATGGAATGGGGGCAAAAGTGATGTACGCCACCTCTAGCCTGACCCATTAAACTCCTGCAGATCCTCCATGCTCCTTTTCCTTCTTCATCTCAAGGCAGGTTGCAAAAGGATCAGTGCAGGGCTCAGAGGCCCTGCAGGATATCAAATCCACCACACGGAAGGAGCTGAGTTCTCTATGTCATCACATGGAGTCCACCCCTGTACCACCATTGGACGGAAAGAGACATGAGAAATAAACTGTAATGATGTTAAGCCACTGAGATTTGGAGGTTCTTTATTTCAGAAATGGGGCTACCCTAATATTCAAGGGTGTATATTTGACAGACAAAAAACAAAACAAAAAACCAAAATTTGATTCTGTAATTTCTGTACTTGCGTTAAAAAACCTCAGTGAGGAGGTTACATAGACCATGGTAATTTTTTTTAATTCTCCCATCTAATTCCCTCACACAGTTACTCCCACATCTTATCCTTCAAAATTCTCAGAAAATTTATCTTCCAGTCCTGCCCACATACCTCTTGTTCTTCAACTCCAGCCTCACTTCTTTCCCTCTGAATCTGCATCACAAAAGCTCAAATAATCATCAGGCAAAACAGAACTCCCCTTCGAGGGTGGGAGAAGATGAAAATTAAACATCTGTCAGATAAAGGGGAATGTCAGAGAAAGGGAACATTCATGCATTAATAATATTGTAACATTTATGGCAATGAAAACTTGGAAACCACCTGAACGTCAAACATTAAGGAAGTAGTTAAATAAATTATGGCATACTTGTTACTGGTTATAAGAACAAGACAGATTTAGTCACTGTGCTCGTGGAGCTTGTATACTAACAGTAATATATTATGTTCATCAATAATCATATTTTGGAAATAAATAATATGAAAAAAACAATTTCCAATGAACTTCAGGTAAGAAGCTACATATATAGTAATTTAATACCAATTTAAAAATTTATGTATATATCCTTGTATATGTATGTATATGTACATATATGTGTGTGTGTATATATCAAACTGTTAAAAGTTATTATCTCTGGATATTGATATTACAGGTGATTTTTATTTCCATTTTATACTTTTTCATACTTTCAAAATATTATAATAAGTACATTTTTAATAGTAAGTGGGATTTTCAGATTTTCCTTATTCCTTTTCTGATTATTTTCCAAGTGTTAATGGAATATATAATGAGAAAAAAACATCAATCAAGTCACAGTATTTGATATCATTATGAACTGAGAAACCATTTGAGGAGTGGCTTCCTGGCTTAGTAGATTTTTGCTTCCAATAACCCTGTGGGCCTGAATTAACCTACTTGTAATGACTTGCCTACTGTATTAGTCTGTTCTCACATTGCTATAAAGAACTACCTGAGACTGGGTAGTTTATAAAGAAAAGAAGTTTAATTGACTTACAGTTCTGCAGGTTGTACAGGAGGCATAGCTGAGGAGGCTTCAGGAAACTTACAATCATGGCAGAAGGGGAAGGGGAAGCAAGCACATATTCACATGACGACAGGAGAGAGAGCAAAGGGGGAATCGCTACACACTTTTAAACAACCAGATCCCGTGAGAACTCACTGTCACAAGAATAGCAAGGGGGAATTCCACCCCTATGATCCAATCACCTCCCACCAGGTCCCTCGCCCAACACTGAGGATTACAATTCAACTTGAGATTTGGGTGGGGACACAGAGCCAAACCATATCACCTATCAAATAATATCTTTGGCTTTTGAGTAATATTTTAGACATTATATATCACTTTCATACACACATACGCATACACACGATCCAACTGCATTTTTGCAACATAATGGATTATTTTTAAAACACAAACAATGTGCATATGCTTACCTTTACTGTGACATCAAAGACCCTAATGCCATTGAACTTACCTGTTTTCAAAATAGAAGTACTAAAATTTCATCAGGTGGTTTTTAAACAAGCAAATTTATATCTTTAAAATATGGAGGTGAAATTATTAATAACACTAGGCAATTCTGTTCAAGTTTATTTAGTAAATCTGCTGTGCTTTCCACTTGTTAATATGGAAATCTATAGAGATATTAAAATGCAATTTATATTGTGTTTAAAGAAAATGATTTTTGCTTAATACAATACAAAGCCGTTGAAGGCTAATCCCATGGCATATGCCCCTCCTTGAACTACCAAATACCATTGAGAGGAGTGAGTGAATTATTGTAGGTGATTTTAGTTTAGATTATTAAAACATTTCCATAGACATAGAAGTCTGAGTTGATTAAACTTTAAACTTATCTGATTAAAGCACTTATTATATTATAGTTGAAGTTACAGGAAAATATTTCAATTGATTGGATAACTATGAATAAATAGGGAAGGATATGACTTAGAAAGTTTGTTTCAATTATTTAAGTGATTGCTATATGAAAGAAATTAAGAAACTGAAATTATCTTGACATTGTATCAAATTGCCAGACAGAAGTTTTGAAGGTGAATAATTTTCTGATGTCTATCATGCCATGAATTTAAAAATCTATCCGAATTATTTTTTGAGATAGTTTATTTAGTTTAAGAAATAATAAGAGAAATAAAAAATATGAAAATTCAACCAATAGAAACATTTAAGCAGTTGAATGTTATTGGCAGTCTCTAGCTCATTTCCTCAGTTGTTTTTAGAGAAGGCTTCCAGCAAAGGTGCCTAAATGAATCTCAGAAAAGGGAACATGAACTGTATTTCTACTGGTTTGATCTCAGACTTGTAATTTCCATTGACAGAGGGAACTTTGTATTAGATTTTGGAGGTGGGTGGAGAAAATAGTACTTCTTGAGTATTGGCCCAGTGCTCAGTGTTTTATGGGTATTACCTCATTTAATTTTCATCCCCAAATCTATAAACTCTTTTTTTTTTTTTGAGATAGAGTCTCGCTCTGTTGCCCAGGTTGGAGGGCAGTGGCACGATCTTGGCTCACTACACCCTGGCCTCCCAGGTTCAAGCGATTCTCTGTCTCAGCCTCCTGAATGGCTTTGTTTAGTGGAGTCCTATTTTACATAGAGTTTAAGTTTTAGTGTCATTATATGAAATGAAAATCATCCCCCGTCTGAACTGCTCTTGAAAATTATTTAAATTGTCCATCAAGTAAACAGGGTTTCAGGTATTCAACTGAGGTAGACTGGTTTAATAACCATGTACCATAATATACACTATAGAATAAGCAGTTTATATGAAAATGAAAATGTTAAACAATTTTAAGAGAGAGAGAACAAAGAAAAAACCCTCCAGTGCATATGCTTATTTAATGGACTGGCAGCACAATTCAAATAATAAATTTCTGTGCTTTTCCCATCACCTTACATCTAAATAATTGATTAAACTCATAATATAAACACTCATGTGATGTGATTTAAATGAATTCTCTTTTTACTGAGGAAAGCAGAGGCTGTGAGTGGTTGCATCAATTCCCAAGAACATATAGGAAGTGGTGTAGGAGCAAGTCAAAGGCTGCTTTTTAGATTTTAAAACCCAAGCTTCCTCCCAACTCCCAACATGCCATGCTGCCATGTCCCATTGCATCAGACTATGATCAATTCAAGGACTTTCCTCTAGCACATCAGATCCTTCTTGTCACATGACTAAAGAGCTGCTCACAGCATATTATGTGCAGCTATACCATGATCCCCCACTCCTGCAATTCTTTCATTTATTCCATAAACATTTATTGAGCAACAACTTTGTGCTGGCAATTTTCTAGGCACCAAGGATAAAGCAATGACAAAATTTCACTATCTTTCTTAACTATGCACATTATTCAGCATTTGGAAATGTATTTAGTTTCTAATCCTTGTGTTAGTCAAACAGTCATTTATAAATAGAAAGCTTTAAATTTTCCTATAACTTTTTCTGTGTAAAAATACATGCTTTACATGGTGGTTCAGTAAAAATATAATGTTGGTCTGGTATTCAGAAGAGCTCCTTTTGAGGCTTAACTTGATAATATTATTAAAAGCTTTGATTCATTGGTCAATTTTACTTTGACTCTCAATGACCTAACACTGAAGAACTTTCATTTATGAAACCAGATAGGCTACTTCTTGGGGTTGGAAAGATAAAATATGACAACCAACATGTAAGGGCCTCATAAACTATAAAATGCAACACAAATATAAAGCATTAATAATATCTTTGTAAAGTTATTCCATGATGTTTGTCTAAGCCCTGGGAGATGGTAAACATGGTGGGTAGGAGCCCAAGGCATGAGGTCAGACAGACCTGGGTTGGATGCCTGCCCAACCACCTGCTGGCTGTGTGACTTTGGGCAATTTTTTAAATCTCTCTGCCTAACTTTCTCATCTGCAGCATATGGATAACAATACCAACCGTTTAGGAGTGTTTTAAGGATCAAAACAGATAATACATAAAAAACAATTAAGATCATGTTTGGCCTATAGTAACCCCCCCCCCCCACCGCCAAATGTTACTTATTGTTGGTTTTACATTATTCTGTATAGATATCACCTGGTGTTAGCATTATGCTTGAAGAGAGTGACCAAGAATCCACTATTTGTGTAAAGGAGAATTCTTATTTTTAATTCTATTTCAGTGCTTCTCAGCTTTAGTGTAAGATGAAAACTTTTGTACTTTTCCAGAGAGCTTTATGCCTGCAAAACCGGTACTGGGTGGTAGCAATGCATGCGGCAATGATGAGGAGTTGTGGGATAGTAACGTCCTAGGTGCTGATTTCAGAAGTTGTCACAGAGGGCAGCACTTGCCTGCCTGGGGAATAACACACAACAAGTACAAAGTAGCAGCTCAAAGTTCTATTATGGGATAGATACTTCAGGATGGATCCACAAGCAATGCCTCAACTGCTGCTGGAAGAGCCTGTCTTGTTATTTTCAGTGGTTGATTTAGCCTATGGTCCACAGAATACTAGAAGGACTGGAAGTGTTGGAGGGGCCCTGAAGGGACTGACTGAGATGATGCTGTGAATGTGCAAGGGACTCTATGGTGTTGCTCAGCTAGGGAGGACTCTGAGAATCAGGGGACACTGGGGAGGGCTTAGGCTGGTATTTCTTTCCAGTGACTGCAGTCTGCGCTGAGAGAGAGCTACTCTGGAGCCCAAGCTACTTCTTCCGTGGCCAAGTAAAGTCTGTTTTAGTCTTGAGGCCTGGAGTAATAAACCATCTTCTCTCTTTATTAGGAACCCTTATTTTGTTTTTATCTCTTAAGTTCTGTAGTTGCTCTTCTTCATTAATGAGCACAATTAGTGGACAGTTTTACATTTAAAGTGCTGGCCTCTTTGGAGGATGTTTAACAGTGATAGGCTATTGTCAACTCAAACTGAATCTGGGAATTATGCTTCTTGACCCAAAGCTAAGAAGCTAAAACTTCCTCTCTGCTGTGAAATGAATTAATTCAGGTAGATGGACTAAACAGAGGTGGAAGAGCAAGAGAGAACATCTTTTTGGGAGAAATCTACTTAAATATTTTCTGCATGCTTAAGTTAACAACTGTAAAACTGTACACAGATCTTATTACAACTTCAATCAGTTATTCTCATAAAATTGTTGGCATCTTCATAAAGTCATGTATTAAAGAACTCTTCCAATTATTGTGACTGGCATATTTGCTCTAGGTCTATACTCAACCTGCTCTAGATGTCAAGAGTTTTGGAGTCCAAGGAGGAAAGTCCAGTTAATAAAGCTCATTCTTTTTACCTCATGTGCAGCACTGCCCCAGCCAGTCTCAGCTGCTACCCATTAGTGACACAGCTCTCAGTTCCCAATGACAGCCTGACATTGAGCAATTTGTAGGCTGCCATTTCTAATACCTCTTCTTGCCATCTCTTCAAGCCTTGTCCTTTTTTTTCAGGTACCGGGGGAAGTTTGAAGTGAATTGATAATGTCAGGCATGGCTATAGGTTGGTTCCACAAAGATTATATAAAATAAAATTCTTAAACTACATCATTCAGGTCTGCGAGAGCCTAAAATTGACTATCAGCTTTTTAAGGACAGAAGTAGGGTTTGTTTATCTCCCTTCTTCCTTCCTTATGTAGGATTTGAGAAAATTTCTATTAACTTATTCTAAGCCTTCCTAAGTTGCATGATTATAAAGAGGAGAGGCATGTGGGCCATGTCTGTTTTGGTGTTTTATTTCCTCCAATACTTTAGGGAGGCAGAGGATGACTTGTTTCCTTAGCACCGCTGCTTTCCTCTTATGAGGGTCCATGTGTCCTGATGAGAACAGAAAGAGAAAAGTTCTAGTTTGAGACCCTTACTGTGAAATCTCAAACAGATCACTTTCATTTTTTATCTACCTATAATGGGAATAATAGATGTCTGCTTCAGAGTGCAGAGTGTTATTAAAGCATCAAAATTGATAATAAATATGCAAGCGACTTATAAAGTGCCATACTTTTATAAAGGGTTGGTACTACCTGTCATTGATACATTTGCGGAATAGAACTACAGGGAAGTGTTGCATATTTTTCCTTCTGGGGAAAAGGATGCTGTATTTTCTTACTTGGATATAAAACTAATTATATTAGATGATTAATAAGTCTACCTAGACGTAGATATGGCAAATCAACCAATACTTCATTGTTTTTTAAGCCAGCATTTTCTAATAAAAGAGAACAGTTAAGGAAAATTTATAAAAATGGTAGTATTTTTTTGGTGCTCCTACTATATGCTGGATGTTTAAAATGAGTTATTTTGTTTAACCCTGAAAGTAAGTTTATCAGTAAGATCCTATTACCTACTTTTTTTTATATGGGGAAACTGAGACATAGAGAGATTAAATCACTGGTTCAAGATCTCATGAGCGATAGAAGCAGGATTTAAACTGACTTGAGACTCCATGCTCTGAGCCACCAAACTTTCTCTGCACATACACTGTGAATTGTAATCAAAATGCACTAAATGTTTAAATCACACTTATAGCGTTTCTGATTAAGTGTGTTCTTGTAAAAGCATTTTTGCTCCTCTTTCTTCTCTTAAAACATATAAAAAGCAATAAAAAGAATGAAAAATAGGAAAAAGAGAAGCCTGTTTATATTCAAAGAAACAAGAAAATGGCCACAACTCCAGCCTGCAATCTGTGAGGTATTCCTGCCCCAAAGTGTATTCTCGACCTGAAGAAGTAGGAACAGGACAGCAGAGGCATACAGATTTTCCTCAAACCTGTAGCCCCATCCTACAATTCTAAGGATTTGTAGAATATCGATGGCTGTGTCAGGACTCAGGTTACTAAGTGAGGAATACCCCTGTGGAGTTCCAGTTTAGTGATTTTCAATGGCAGGGATGGCATCTCTAAAAAAGGAACCTCACTGACACTATTTATGGTCTAAGATCCATCTCACCAGGAGCAGTATGGAGAGCAGGGAAACCATGTTCATCTACCCACAATATAGAAAGGACTTGATTGTCAGCTGCACTAAAGCTTCAAGGGCAAAGCATTAGGTCCCTCCATCTGCGAACTTGCCCTCTGGCAGATCTCAGCAGCCATGCCTTCCCTCTCTGCATCTATGTTGCCCTTGCCATGGCTCCTCAGGTCCTGGTGCAGGCGGAGGCACTGGGGAAGGAGCAGAGCAGTCAAAGCTGTGATTTTAATCTTTGCTCTGCTTTTGGCTGTTCTGTGTAGGTACTGGAAATATGAGCAAGAGGATGAATGTGGGTAATCAGAGCTTAATTGATTGTCTGACTAGTGGCACAGATTGGTTTTGAAATGCTGCCATACTCAAACTCTAAATCCCAATATTAGAATTTCTTATACACTTAACTCTGTCTCCTGCATAATTTGGAGCATGAGTCATCCCCCTTTTTTCTCAAGCATCCCTTTCAGTTACACATCTTTTGGTCCTAAATAATTTTGCCCTTGTTTATTCCTGGTTTCTTATTTGCCAACTGTCTTCATTACCATTTCAGTATTTCACTTGGGAAGAGGAGATATTCCACAGTGATGCTGAACAACACTGAGCAGAAGTGTTGCCTCCATCGATTTTGCTCCTATGGGAAACTTGAAAATGACAGAGAAAGGTCTGTCTGTTTCTGGGAGTGTTGGGTCTACAACAGGAACTATATATATTTCAATCTCGTTTTATTTGTTTTATCAGCAAAGAATGTTAAAGACAAGCATGTCTGTGAGGTGGATGAAGGTGTCCAGATGGCTCTTTCCTTTTATTCTCATTAAAACTGTTAGCTTAACATGTATATATATATATACTCAAGAGCTTCTTGCCTACCGCGTAGGTAGTGGCAGACTTGGTGAAACTGTGCCCACAACAATAAACCTCAATTTACATTGTAAATAGCCTTAGATCCTCTTGCCCACATTATTCCTTAGCTAATAGTTGGCCCCATTTAAAGAGGAATTATTGTTTTCATTTTAAGGAAGTAGCCTAGAGAATATATCACAAAAAGAATTACCCTAAAACATACAGTAGAGTTCAGAAAAATAAGTTTGAATGTTTTCAAAGAAATCATGATGTTTTCTCTAAAAAGAACTCAAAGGGTTCTGAGAAGAAAATATAATACATAAGCAGGAAGTTAATAGTGTGCCAGTAGAACCTAAGGAAGAACTGCAAGAAAATAAAATCATTATAGAGATGAAACATACTTTAGAAGCAACAAGAATAATGTAAATGCTGAAGACACAGATAAAGATAAGAGTGCTGGATAGGCTTCAGAAATCACAAAAACAAAACGGAAAAGACAAAGATATTTAAAAGATTATAAAAGGTGATCAAACTGGAAGACAGAGAAAACATCATCAACATAAATATAGTTGACTTCCTGAAGAAGAGAACAGAATAAATGAAACAGAAAAAGTATTCAAACATATTTATTCATTCAAGGAATATTTATTGGAAGCCTATTATGTTAATTTAGACATGGGGCAAAAGTATTTAACAAAAATATAATAAAAGACAACTTTCCTGAACTAAATAAAAACATGAAATTACAGATTAAAAATACCAATTTATTCTAGAAAGCAAAAAATACCTTAATATAGTAACAGTAAAACATACGTAAGCTAAATTACTAAATTTTAGGAATAAAGAAAATTTCAATGGTCAAACAATGAAATCCTGTACAAGGGAAAAATATGTTTGGCCTTGAGCTTGGGCTTCTTTTTTTTTTTTTTTTTTTTTTTTTAGACAGTGTCTCGCTCTTGTTTCCCAGGCTGGAGTGCAATGATGCTATCTCTGCTCACTGCAACCTCCGCCTCCTGGGTTCAAGTGATTCTCCTGCCTCAGCCTTCCAAGTAGCTGGAATTACAGGTGCCCGCCACCACACCCAGGTAATTTTTTGTATTTTTAGTAGAGACGGGGTTTCGCCATTTTGGCCAGGCTGGTCTCAAACTCCTGACCTCAGGTGATCCACCTGCCTTGGCCTCCCAAAATGCTAGGATTACAGGTGTGAGCCACTGCACCTGGCCCGGGCTTCTTAATAGCACTACTCGGTGCCTAAAGATAATGGAACAATAGTTACCAGTAACTCAGTAACTTGGTAATTTAAATGGTAAGTTACAACATAGACATTCTAAACTTTGTAATCTCTGTAAGCCAATCTTGAAAAACTGACTTGATGACAAAATACAAACATAAAGAGATGAATGATGATGTCATGATGTGTGGAGTACTGGTGGAATGTTTGATAACAGAGACCAAACAAAAATGGGGAATTATGTCTGTAGGACAGATCATAATGCTGTAAGACTTGGCAAAATGAAATAATCATATAACTAATAAAAAGTGTGAATTGAGGGAGGAATGGTGGAAGGAAGTATAAGTGTTAATTTCCATGTCTTTCAAAGGATTGCATTAATAAATATTAACTAAACATAAAATAGGTTAATTGAAAAGGAATCCTAAGCACAGTTTACAGAACAACCCTATGTGTTTTGTTTTGAAAACTGTATTAGTCTATTTTTACACTGCTATAAAGATACTACCTGAGACTGGGTAATTTATAAGCAAAAGAGGTTGAATTGATTCATAGTTCCACATGGCTCAGGAGGCCTCAGAAAACTTATAATCATGGCAGAAGGCAAAGGGAAGCAACCACCTTCCTCACAAGAAGGCAGGAGAAATAGAGAGAGCACAGGGGAAACTGCCACGTTTAAAACCATCAGATCTCATAAGAACTCTCTCACTATCACAAGAATAGCATGGGCGAAACTGCCCCCATGATCAAATCACCTCCCAGCAGGTCTCTCCCTCTATACGTGGGGATTACAATTAGAGGTGAGATTTGGGTGGGGACACAGAGCCAAGCCATATTAGAAAGTTTTCATAAATAAAATCTCTTGTAAATCAACATTAATTTGAGATTTAGTAAGTTTTCAGTTTCTCTTCAGTACCTTCTAGTAAGTTTTTAAAAATGTACAGTGACAAATTTCATCTTGCTCAAGACATAGGCTTTCAAATGATCTCTGAATATGAATATTACATATAGTCAAAATTTTCTCTGAAAATCTCATAAGAAAGTGCATGGCAGTGAAAGTCACTTGCTGAGTGAGCTCAACACAGCCAATTTAATCTCCAGCTTTGGAGGAGATTGCTGATTTTTCAGTTGATTACTGGATAAACTTAATGCCTACTGTGGTCTTTGAGGTCATATTATGCAAAGAATAATTTTAAATACCAGAGCCCATATTCAGTGCAGTGAAATGCTTGCATTGTAAAAGGTACACTGTCATTGAAAGTGAATGGAGAACAATAGATGAACATCTCATTCATGCTCATTGTGTGAGGTGAATGTAAGTTAAATTGTCTACATTATATAAATTTTTAATTTTCCTCTCTGTCTCTCTTTCTTTATCTATCCTAGTGTATGACTGTACATGTGTAAGTTAAATAAATGCTTAAATAATATGACTCCACTGAAATATTTTTATTAAAAATAGCAGGTAATATAAGTCCATTCTGCATGTCTGTCATCTATCATCTTTCTATCCATCATTGATTTTTTTTCTATTTTTCTATTGTTATATGCACATCTTTCTATTTCTCCACCATGCATTCTTTTATGTGTGTGTGGTATATATTTATGTAAGTATGTGTGTCTAGAGAGAGAGATATGTGCTTGTGTGTGCATGTATGTATATGTGTGTGTACATATATGTTACACATATGCTTATGTTAATACCTATATCTACATGTAGAGAGATATTGATTTAGCTGTTTTATCTGAAATGATGTCCACTACGTGTTAACAATGCTTATTTCAAGTAGGTGGGATTTAACTATCTCATTTTTTTCTCTTTTTTACAATTTTTATTTTACTTTATGTTCCTGGATACATGTACGGAATGTGCAGGTTTGTTACATAGGTATACATGTGCCATGGTGGTTTGCTTTACCTAACAACCTGTCATCTAGGTTTTAAGCCCCACATGCATTAGGTATTTGTCCTAATGCTCTCCCTCGCCTTGCCCCCCATCCTCCAACAGGCCCTGGTGTGTGTTTTTCCCCTCCCTGTGTCCATGTGTTCTTATTGTTCAACTTCTACTTATGGGTGAGAACATGTGGTGTTTAGTTTTCTGCTCCTGTGTTAGTTTTCTGAGGATGATGGCTTCCAGCTTCATCCATGTCCCTGCAAAGGACATGATCTCATTTTTTTTATGGCTACATAGTATTCCATGGTGTATATGTACCACATTTTCTTTATCCAGTCTATCACTGATGGGCATTTGGGTTGGTTCCATGTCGTTACTATTGTAAATAGTGCTGAAATACACGTACGTGTTCATGTGTCTTTATAGTAGAATAATTTATATTCC
The DNA here is from genome assembly GCF_000001405.40 of Homo sapiens. NCBI lineage: Eukaryota > Metazoa > Chordata > Mammalia > Primates > Hominidae > Homo > Homo sapiens. Next base: position 90,705,690 of record NC_000010.11, on the reverse strand, counting down.
TTTGGGTATATACCCAGTAAAGGGATTGCTGGGTCAAATGGTATTTCTGGTTCTAGATTTCTGAGGAACTGCCACACTGACCTCCACAATAGTTGAACCAATCTACATTCCCACCAACAGTGTAAAAGCATTCCCATTTCTCCACAGCCTCGCCAGCATCATTTCTTGACTTTTTAATAATCGCCATTCTGACTGGCATGAGATGGTATCTCATTGTGGTTTTCATTTGTATTTCTCTAATGATCAGTGATGATAAGCTTCTTTATCCTGTTTCTTGGCCACATAAATGTTTTCTTTTGAGAAGTGTCTGTCAATATCCTTTGCCCACTTTTTGATGAAGTTTGTTTTTATCTTGTAAGTTTGTTTAAGTTCCTTGTAGATTCTGGATATTAGACCTTTGTCAGATGGGTACATTACACAAATTTTCTCCCATTCTGTGGGTTGTCTGTTCACTCTGATGCTAGTTTCTTTTGCTGTGCAGAAGCTCTTTAGTTTAATTAAATCCCATTTGTCAATTTTGGCTTTTGTTGCAATTGCTTTTGGTGTTTTCACCATGAAGTCTTTGTCTCATTTTTTTCTTCTACTATTTAGTATTGCTGGAATTGTTTTATGAGAATTAACAGTTTTATGAAAATAATTCATTCTTTTCTACTCTTTACACATAAAGAATCATACAAAATTAACCTACAATATGTTAAGCCATTATATCTACAGGTGCACCTGCACAAATGCTGCATTTTATGCTTAGATGACCAGAGAGCTGGCAAAAGCTGGTCAGCCAAAGAAATGGGTTTCAGTCTCTATTCCCTGTGCTCCATCTCATCTGTTACACTTTTCTGTTGATTTCTCTTGTTGAGCTGGCTATCATTCCTAAAGATGCATTGTTCTTGTTACTTCTTAGGCTGCAGTCCTGGAGGTGACTGACTCACACTAGGAAGGACTCACTGTCTGTTTGTCATTATCAGCTTCCTAATCCTTTGTTCTCTGTTTTCTCACTTTCCTCTTCCTATGCATTTATGCTGCTTCTGCCTTTTTCCGCCTTGTTTTTCTTCCACTTTTCTCTACTTTTTCTGTAGTGCCTTGCACTCCATACTCTGACCTCCATTTATTCCTTTCGGACTTTTTCTTCCATATTGTCATCCATAGGATGGGGCCATACACTGCATTCCTAATTTTAAAATTCAATTTAAATTTAATTTTAATTCATTTTGCCGGGAAGGGTTGACATTGTGACTCTGCCATCAGAGTTGGTCTCCTGTAGAAAAACATTCTCCATCCTGACTTCCAGGAATAACTGAAAGTATCTTTAGTAGACACTACAGGGCATGGGTATCAAGAAGGAAGGCTGTGTGCTGACTTACATCAGTGGTCTACCGGGTTCTCAGGCCTTTGGACTTGAACTTAGCCATGCTACCAGGAGCCCACGGTATACAGCTTACTGATGATCTCTCTTGGATTTCTCAGCCTCCATAATCATGTGAGCCAATTCTTCTCCTCTTACATATCTATATCTATCTTATTGGTTCTGTGTCTCAGAGAACCCTCACTAATACAGATTTTGGTACCAGGTATCGTCCTAGAGAAATAGAATTTTAAGGATGAGTTTTCTTAATTGGTTTTGGAGTTTCCTGGAATTGGCTCTCTATCCAATTAGACCTAAAAATGCTAAGGACTCTACTTCTAATAGTACAAAGTGCCTGGTGTGAACTGTTTACAGAGACATGCAGAAAATGCATTTGATACTTTTAATTCACCATGTATAAAAGGCAAGGAACTTGGTGACTTGGCATGTGATATTTTGAACATTTGTGGAAAACCAAGGAATATAATGATATTGGTTGGTTACTCCTAATGTTGCTGGACGAAGCAATGAAAGAAAAGGATGAGCTTATGAATTTGATTTACCAGCTGCAGCTGTGTATAAATAGCCTAAGAGCTTCTGAATGTGCCCTGAGTTAGAATCTTCTTTGCTGTAGATATAGGGCTGAAATTGCTGAAAATCAACACAAGCCCTTGTCATGCAATTAGCTGCATTACAGCAAAAGTTGAACTCCCAGCCTCACAGGGTGTCTGCTGTTAAAGAGAGGGCATTGGTTGGGAAAGAATGGGATCCTATAAGTTGGGATGGGGATGTGTGAGAAGACTCTGATGAGGCTGGGAACATTGAGCTCTTAAATCTCCATGAGTCTTGTTTGCCAGTGGAAGTGGTCTCTCCACCTTCCAAGGCAGTGGCATTCTCACCCACAGTGGTATTGGCCTTTCCATCTCTTTCTGAAAGGATGATCTGTGCATTGCCTATGGAAAAGGTTAGTGGCCTCCCTTGAGGCAGTTGCCAAGAAAGACAATGCTGATTCTCCTCAGGACTCATGCCCACCATCCCTCTTTGCTTCTATCCCTGTAACTAGACTTGAGACCCAGCAGGCCCCTAAAAGTGATGTAGAGAGTGTGACCCATGAGGAGGTGCCCTATACTCTGATAGAGTTTTCTAATTTATATAAGCAGGAAAGGGGGGATATATATGGAAATTGATACTAAAGGTGTAGAATAATGATGGAAGGAATAGTGGGATAGGCTGAATTTATTGATATGGGCCCGCTAAGCAGAGATTCTGCATGTAACATTGCAGCTCAGGAAGTTAGTAAAGGCAGTAGCAGTTTGTTTGGTTGGTTGGCTGAAACATAGATCAAAAGATGACCCACTGAGGGCAAGTTGGATAAGCCTCATCTCCCTTTCGTTAACATAAAGGAAGGGATTTAGAGGCTTAAAGAGACTGTAATGCTAGAGTGGATTTTTTATGTAAAACCTACTGGCCTACACTGGGAAGGTCCAGATCAATCTTTCACGAATACTTTGAGAAACAGATTTGTAAGGGGAGTTACAGCATCCTTGAAGAGCTCTGTGATTGCACTTCTCTGTAGGCCTGACCTTATGGTGAGAAGCTGTGTCACTCAATGGGAAAACTTACATGCAATGGGGATAACTGGATCTGGGGTGGCAGGGGCCAAGTGGTGGTTCCCAACAGCAAAGGTAAAGTGGATGTAGTTATTGTAATGAATAGAAGAGGCAAAGCAACAATCAGAATAGTCTGACTCATGTAGACCTAAGGCATTGAGTAGTCAATTACGGTGTTCCTAGATATAAAATAGATAGGAAGCCTATTAAATCCTTACTTTACTATATAAGCAGAACACTTTCAGGTCAAGCAAACAAAAAGTCTAACTCCAATAATAAAAACAGAGAATCATGGCCCCTCAATTAGTTCCAGACATGAGTCAGTTTAAAAAACCCCTTGAAAGCAGAGGAGACCAGGTCCCCTCCAGGAAGGACCCTGGTACACCAAAAATTTGTACTGATAATGTTTCCTTTAGCTTTCCCCCAAAGACTTATGGCATTTTGCCAGGGTAACTGTGCACTGGGGAAAAGAAAATAATCAGACCTTTGGGGACTATTGGACACTGGCTCTGTACTGACAGATTCCAGGAGACCCAAAATGTCACTGTGGCTCGTCAGCAAAAGTAGGAGCTTATGGAGGTCAGGTGATCAATGGAGTTGCAGTTCAGGTCTGCCTCACAGTGGGTTCAGTGGGTCCCCAAACCCAGTCTGTGGTCATTTCTCTAATTCTAGAATGTATAATTGGCACAGACATACTTAGCAGTGGGCAGAATCCCCACATTAGTTCCTAAACTAATGGAGTGAAAGGTAGTGTGGTGAGAAAGGCCAAATTGAAGCCATTAGAGCCACCTCTACCTAGGAAAATAGTGAATCAAAAACAATAGAAATTAGTGCCACCACCAAGGACTTGAAAGATGCAAGGGTAGTTGTTCTCACCTCATCTTTATTCAACTCTCCTATTTGGCCTGTAAAGAAGACAGATGGATCTTGGAGAATGACAGTGGATTATTGTAACCTTAACCAAATTGTGACCCCAGTTCCAACTGCTGTACCAGTTGGCATTTCATTGCCTGAGCAAATGAACACATATCCTGGTGTGTAGCTATTAATCTGGCAAATGCCTCATTTTCCATTCCTGTCCATAAGGCCCACCAGAAGCTCTTTGCTTTTAGCTGGCAAGACCAGCAATATACCTTCACTGTTCTACCTCAGAAGTACATCAACCCTCTGGCACTATGTCACAATTAGGCTTTCAGGGATCTTCATTGCCTTTCCCTTCCACAAGATATCATACTGGTCTATTATGTTGATGATGTTATGCTGATTGGATCTAGTGAGCATGAAGTACCAACCAGTCTGGACTTATTGGCCAGAAGTTTGTGTGTCAGAAGATAGGAAATAAGTCCCCCTAAAATTCAGAGGCCTTCTACCTCTGTGAAGTTTCTAGAGGTCCAGTGGTATGGGGCGTGTCAAGATATCCTTTCTAAGGGGAAGGATAAATTGTTGTATCTGGCTGCTCCTACAACTGAGAAAGAGGCACAATGCCTAGTGGGCCTATGTGGATTTTGGAGGCAACATATTATTAATTTGCATGTTTTACTCTGGCCCATCTACTGAGTGACCCAGAAAGCTGCTAGTTTTGAGTGGGGCCCAGAAGAGGAGAAGGCTCTATAAGAGGTCCAGGCTGCTGTGCAAGCTGCTCTGCCACTTGGGCCACATGAATCAGCAGATCCATGGTACTTGAGCTGTCAGCGGTAGGTAGGAATGCCGTTTGAAGCCTTTGGAAGGCCCCCATAGGTGAATTGCAGCTGAGGCCCTTAGGATTTTGGAGCAAGGTCCTGCCATCATCCACAGATAACTACTTTCCTTTTGAAAGACAGCTTTTGGCCTGGTGCTGGGCCTCAGTTGATACTAAATGTTTGACCATAGGCTGTCAGGTTACCACGTGACCTGAGCTGCCCATTATAAATTGGGTGTTATCTGACCCAACATATTGTTAAGTTGGGCATGCACATTAACACTTTATTATTAAATGGAAATGGTCTATATATGATCCTGCTTGAACAGGTCCTGAAGGCACAAGTAAGTTATATGAAATGGCCCAAATGCCCATAGTTCACTCCTGCTACACTGTCTTCTCTCTCCTAGCCTGCACCTATGGCCTAATGGAGAGTACTCTATAATCAATTGACAGAGAAAAAGAAGACTGGGGCCTCGTTTACAGATGGTTCTGCATGGACAGCTTGCAGCAATACAGTCCCTTTCTGGGACATCCTTGAAAGACAGTGGTGAAGGGAAATCTTAGTGGGCAGAACATATGGCAGTGTAGCTGGTTGTGCACTTTACTTGAAAGGAGAAATGGCCAGAGCTGTAGCCAATGGTTTGGACAAATGATCAAGGAATCAGGGAACTGGAAGGAACATGATTGGAAAATTGATGATGAAGAAATTTGGGCAAGAGGTATGTGGATACAGGTGGATACAGTGATCCATTCTGTGACTAGTAGTTAGGCTCTTTCCCCAGCCACCTCTATTATCACCCAATGGGCTCATGAACAAAGTGGCCATGGTGGCTGGGAAGGAGGTTATACATGGGCTCAGCAACATGAACTTCCACTCACCAAGGTTGAGCTGGCTATAGCAGCCACTGAGTGCCCAATTTGTCAGCAGCAGAGACCAACACTGAGCCCCCTATATGGTACCATGCCCTTGGGATGATTGGCTAGCTACAAAATGGCAAGATGATTACATTGGTGGCAGGATGATTACATTGTATTACTTTAATCATAGAAGGGACAGTATTTTGTCCTTACTAAAATAGACACTCACATAGATTTACCTTCCCTGCATGCAATGCTTCTACCAAAACTACCATCTCTGGACTCACAGAGTGCCTTATCCACTGTCACGGTATTCCACACAGCATTTCTTCTGACCAAGGAACTCACTGTATAGCCAAAGAAGTGTGGCAATGTACTCATGCTCATGGAATTCATTGGTCTTACCATGTTCCCCATCATCCTGAAGTAGCTAGCTAGCTTGATCATGCAGTCAGATGGTCTTTTGAAGTTGCAGTTACAGCACCAGGTAGGTGCTCTGTAGGGCTGGGGCAAGGTTCAACAGAAGGGTGTATATGCTCTGAATTAATGTCCAAGATTTGATACTATTTCTTCCATAGCCAGGATTCATGGATCCAGGAATTATGGGGTGGAAACGGGAGTAGCACCACTCACCATTATCTCTAGTGATCCAGTAGCAAAATTTTTGCTTTCTGTTCCCATGACTTTATGCTCTGCTGGCATGGAGGTCATAATTTTGGAGGGAAGAATCATTCCGCCAGGAGACACAGCAATGATTCCAACTGAACTGGAAGTTAAGATTGATACTCGGCCACTTTGGGCTACTGGTGCCTCTGTGTGTCAACAAGCTAAGAAAGGAGTTGTGACTCTGGCTAAGATAATTGAACCTGACTACAAAGGGGAAACTTGACTACTACTCCACAATGGAGGTAAGGAAGGGTGGGTCTGCAATACAGGAGATCCCTTCGGGTGTCTTTTAGTATGACCGTGACCTGTGATTACCATCATGGGAAATTACAACCACCCAATTCAGGCAAGACTATGAATGGCCCAGAATCTTGGCATGAAGGTTATAGTCACCCCACCAACAAAAGAACCATGACCAGTTGAGTTGCTTGCTGCAGGTAAAGAAAATACAAAATTTTTAATAGAAAAATGTTGTTATAAATGCTAGCTACAACCACGTGATCAGTTACAGAAATGAGGACTGTAGTTGTCATGTATTTCCTATTTTGTGAAAAATATATGTGCATATGTACATGTGTTGTTTTTGTTTTCTTATTTCTTTATCATGTAATACAAGATTTATTGCATTTATATCAGTATTTAAGTATAGTTAATTTTACATCAACATGTTTAAGTTATGGCATATCAGAAGAGTAAACATTGCCTAAGGGATTTGCCTCCTATTCTGGGAAGAGATTAGTGCATTTTTGGTTACACACGGGATAGTTACATCATGTTAGGCAGACGATTACCCTGTTACTGTCTTTATTTGGAGATTAATAAATCTCCAAATAAAGATAACTTTTTTTTTGTTTTTTTTTTGTTTTCTTTTTCCCCACCAGATCTTGATTTTATTTAGTAGTACTGATCAAGTTTAACTCCATATCAAATGTAAAGGTTGATATTATTTATGATATCTGTCAACTGTACAAAAAGTGAAACATTTAAAAACAACCATCTGAATGTCAAGTTTTCTCTCCATAAAGGATTTGCCACCTTAAGTACTCCCCATCTGCCTGAAACATGAGCCCACATCAATGGAGGTAAAGACCTGCATAACCTACATCAGCCAGTCTGCATCCTAAAAACCTCTCTTGCTTGGGGCACCCCACACTAGCTGGTCTGCTGGGAGAGTGAGCAGGCAAGTTTGGGGAGTCAAGCACAAGCTTGAGCAAGCAGCACAATAATCCATCTTCAGAATCCTCACTTTGGGATGGCTCCACAATTCTTAAGGATATGCATATGGGTGCCAAATTCACAAGGGACGTACTTCTAATGATTAATTTTCTTGTCACCACTAGTTAACTAGGCAATAATCATGGTAAAGTAACTAGAAAGCACATTCCCTGAGGGTAAAGAATTTTATGCATTTTGTTTACTGCTGTATCCTCAGCACATAGTAGACTATCTGGTGAATAAGAGTTGCTCAATATTTGTTGATTGAATTAATTGTATGAGTAAATAAAATAGTTGGAGAAAGTAGTGCTACAGGAAAGAATAATAAAAACATGGACTTAAACTTAGAATCTCCTTTCTAGTCTCTTGCTTCTAGGACTCCTAGATCCCATCTTCTAAAATAGAAGAAAAGAAAGTAAGGCACTTACTAGCATGAACCAGAAGGAGTCTGTGTTAGACAAGTAGGTTAAAGACAAAAAGGCAGGGAGCACCATACTGTCTTTTGTAACTGGGAACAGAGAGATGAGTCTAGGGAATCAAATCAGCTTAAAGACTGTGGTTCTTGTGGCCACTACCATTTTCTTCAGCTTCCATCATAGTTCTTGACCTCTTTATTCTGTTGCCTCCACACAGCAGAGGGCAAGACTGATGAGAACTCCAGGATAGTATAATTATAGCTCCCAATTGAGAGGAAAGAGTATTTCTCTTACTGTTTGCATATAAAATCCTAGGAGATAACTCCAGTTGGTCTAACTTAGCCAATTCTTCCAAATAGGCCTTAAGCTGCAAGAAAGCCGGACATTTCCTCAACTAAGAAACTGCAGCAACACGGTGGGACAAAAAATGGATAATAACCTCCTAGAAAGGATCACTGTGGAGATCAACATAACTGAGACTTCTGGAGACAGCTGCAAACAAGGAAGGGCAAGAGCTATTTATTGGCCATGCAGTGGTTGCCAGCACATCCCCAAAGACTGGCTCTGTGGAGGACTCTGGTGATCTTCATGCCTGAGACCTCCACAGCCCTGTGGCAGCCTTGAACTCCTTAGTTCCCTCCTAGTATTTAGTGGAGGCATATGGACCCCAGTAGCTTGTGCCATGAAAGATACCAGCAGCTTTCACCACTGAGGTAGCCAACAGCCAATGCCACCTTGTGTCCTTGGGTGAGGGAGATATTGCTGCACTCCCTGACTCCCAAGAAAGAGCTGCTCTTGTACCACCCTGGGACAAGGCAACCACTCTTGCCAACCTTGGGCTTACCCTAACCGCAAGTGGTGGTTGCTCTAGACCCTGGCTCCTATGCAGCCTCCCCATCTCCAGCCTCAGACACCAGAGCCAATCCACAGCAGGCGCCTCCACACCCCTTGCTGTAACTCTGCTTCTGCCCAGGCTCTAGACACTAAATTCACGGCTGCCCAACAAGCTCCCATGCCTCATACACCATTACCAAAGAGGCAGTGGGAGGCCCTGCACCATGAAAACAAGGGCCTCTGCTGTCTCAGACCCAGGAGGCCTGAAACTCCGTGACAGCCTGGTTCTAGACATGGGCTTCCTGGCCACTCCCTGGGCACCATGCATCAGGCAGTGTCCCTATCATATAAGCACACCTGTGAGCTATACCTGGCACCAAGAGGGATTCCTTCTTCTAAGACTTCCTCTATTGGAGAAAAACAGATCAGGACGACCTCAGCAGTCTTCACCACCTAAGACCCCAACAGCTGTCCTCAATGCTGTGGACATAACAGCATTGGCCACTGGGACCCTGCAATCTTCAGCATCACTGCCCTCAGCTGATGTAGCTGCACCTAGACTATGTAGACTATGCCCAAATCAGAACGGGAACCACATCATCCCACCCAGTGCACAAATAGTCTTAACACATTTAAGAAAGTTGAAATCATCTAGTATCTTTTCCAACCACAATGGTATGAAACTAGAAATCAACAGGAGGAAAACTAGAAAGTTCACAAATATAGTCATGTGTAGTATAATAACATTTCCGTCAGGGACTAACTGCATATACTACTGTGGTCCCATTAGATAGTAATCTAGCTCAAAAAGTCCTGTTTCCTAGTGGCATGGCAGCAGCCTAATGACTCAGCACAACACATTACCTTTTCTTTGTTTAGATACACAAATACTTACCATTGTGTTACAATTGCCCATAGTATTCAGTACAGTAACAGGTTGTACAGGTTTGTAGCCTGGGAGCAATAGGCTATACCATATAGCCTGTTTGTGTAGTAGGCTTTATCTTCTAGGGTTGTGTAAGTACTCTCTATTTTGTTAGCACAAATGACAAAGTCGCCTAACAATGCATTTCGCAGGATGTATCCCTGTCGTTAAGTGATGCAGACTGTTTGTGGAAATCAAACATCATACTTCTGAACATCCAATAGGTCAAAGAAGAAATCAAAAGAGAAAATAGAAAATAAGAGAAATGAAAACAAAACACAACTTACCAAAACTTACGTGATGCAGCAAAAGCAGTACTAAGAAGGAAACACATAGTGATATTAAAAAAGAAGAAAGATCACAAACAACTGAACTTGACATCTCAAGGAACTAGAAAAAGAACAAACTAAGCCCAAAGTTAGCAGAAGGAATGAAATAACAAAGATCGGAACAGAAATAAATTAGAAACTAGAAAAACAGTAGAAAAGATCAATGAAACAGTTGGTTTTTTGAAAAGAAACAAAATTGACAAAACTTTAGCTAGACAAAGAAAAAAGGAAGAAAAATAAAATCAGAAATGAAAAGGAGACATTACAACTGATACCAGAGAAATATAAAGGATCGTGAGATGACTACGAAAAATTATTTACCAACAAATTGGATAACCTAGTGGGAATGGATAAATCCTTAGACACATAGCACCTACCAAGACTGAATCATAAAAAACCAGAAAATCTAAACAGACTGATTATGAATAATGAGAATGAATCAGTAATAAGATGTCTCCCATCGAGGAAAAGCCCAGGACCTGATGGCTTCATTGCTGAATTCTACCAAATATTTAACGAGCAAATATCAATCATTCTCAAACTTTCTCAGAGAAAAAAAAAAAAACTTAGAAGAAGGAATATTTCCAAACTCATTTTAAGAGGCCAGCATTACTATGATAGTAAGGTCAGACAAGGACAAAACAAGAAAATTACAGGCCATTAATGCTGATGGACATAAATGCAAAAATCCTCAAGGAAATATCAGCAAACTGAATTCAACAACAGTTTAAAAGTATCCTAGTATCCTAGGGATGTAAGGATGGTTAAACATTCACAAATCTATAAATGTATATGTACCATAGTAACAGAATAAAGAAGAAAAACTATATTATCATCTCAATAGATGCATAAAAAGCATTTGACAAAACTCAATGTCCTTTCATGATAAAATTCTCAATAAATTAGTGATAGAAAAAATGTACCTCAACACAATAAAAGCCATATATTACAAACCCACAGCTAACATCATACATAACAGCAAAAAGTGGCAAGTTTTTTTTTTTTTCTAAGATCAAGAATAAGACTTGAATGCCTACTCTCACCACTTCTAGTCAAGATAGTTCTGGAAGTCCTAGACAGAATAATTAGGTAACAGGAAGAAGTAAAAAGTATTCAAGTCAGAATAGAAAATGTTAAATTGTCTCTTTTTTGCAGACAACACGGTAATTTATATAGAAAACCCTAAGAACTCCACTAAAAAACCTTACAACAAATGAATTCAGAAAACTTGCAGAATAAAAAATCAACATCCAAAAATCAGTTTCATTTTTGTATACCAATTTTTGTACACAAATAACGAGCTATCCAAATAAGAAATCAAGAAAATAATCCTGTTTATGATATTATCAAAAATAACAAAATAGGAATAAATTCAACCAAGGAAGTGAAAGTTCTATATGCTGAAACCTACACTATAAGACACTGATGAAATAAATTGAAGAAGATTCAAATAAATGGAAAGATATTCCATGTTCACAGATTGGAGGAATTAATATTGTCAAAATGTCCATACTACTCAGAGTAATTGACATAATCAGTGAAATTCCTATAAAAATTACAATGACATTTTCACAGAAATAGAAAAAATAATCCTAAAAATCATATAGAACCACAATGACCCAGAATACCTAATGGAATCCTCAGCAAAAAGAACAAAGCTGGAGGTCACATATTACCTGAATTTAAAATATGCTACAAAGCTATAGTAATCAAAACATCATGGTACTGGCATTAAAACAAAAACAACAACATATAATTGAATGGAAGAGAAATAAATCTACTTATATATGGTCAACTGAGTTTTGACAAAGGTACCAGAACACACAACAGGGAATGAGCATCTCTTCCACAACTGGGTATCTTCATGCAGAAGAATGAAATTAGACTCTTTTCTCACACCATATACAGAAACTGACTCAAGATGGATTAAAGACTTAACTGTAGGACCTGAAATTGTAAAACTTCTGGAAGAAAACATAGGGGAAAAGCTCCATGATGTTATTCTGGGCAATTATTTTTTGGCTATGAACTCCAAAGCACAGGCAACAAAATTGAAAATAGACAAAGAAATTACATCAAACTACAAAGAAACAATCAACAGACTGGGGAGGCAACCTACAGAATGGGAGAAGATATTTACAAATTATACATCTGATAAGGGGTTGATATTCAAAATACATAAGAAACTCAGTCCACTCAATGGTAAGAAAACAAATAACCTGATTTAAAGATGGGTGAAAGGATCTGAATAGACATTTCTCAAAAGAAGACAAACAAATGGCCAACAGGTATATGGAAAAATGGTCAACATCACTATTGATTAAAGGAATGCAAACTAAAACCTAAAAGATATTGATACACAAGCTAAAAAGAAATTATTTAGACAAATAGTGAGAGTAAAAGAGTCCTCAGTAAGGTTTCCCTTTTAATAAAAAGCAGCCCCCAAATCATTTGTTTTCTAACAAAGAGGAGCTTGATTTTTCTTTTCTAACAAAGAGCAGCCTGAAAAATCAAGCTGGAGACATAGAAAAGCAAGGTAGAAGCTTGCACAGGTAAATGCTGGCAGCTGTGCCAATAGGAAAAGGCTACCTGGAAGCCAGGTATGTTCAACATGGAGGCCCCATCTTCCTTTTTCTTTGTCAACCACATGTAGTAAAGGAACAGGCAACATGGTGCTGGCCAGGTAGAGAACCCATCTGCATAATAAAAGATTAGGGTGGGGCAGCCAGCTTCTTTGCACGTTATGTAAATGGTACACCTTTTGGGCCTGGTGTAAATCAGACACTGCCTCCTTAAGCTTATCTATAAAACTCTGTGCATTGGCCAGGCGTGGTGGCTCACGCCTGTAATCCCACCACTTTGGGAGGCCCAGGCGGGCAGATCAGAGGTCAGGAGATAGAGACCATCTTGGCTAACACGGTGAAACCCCATCTGTACTAAAAATACAAGAAAAAATTAGCCGAGCATGGTGGTGGGTGCCTGTAGTTCCAGCTACTCCTGAGGCTGAGGCAGGAGAATGGCGTGAACCTGGGAGGTGGAGCTTGCAGTGAGCCAAGATCATGCCACTGCACCCCAGCCCGGGCGACAGAGTGAGACTCTGTCTCAAAAAAAAAAAACAAAAAAACAAACAAAAAAACCCCACAAAACCAAAAAAACTGTGCATTTCACCACAGAACTGGAAGACCCACTCGAGAGCTCCCCTCTCTCTGCAGGAGAGAGAGCTTTTCTCTTTCTTTCACATATCAAACCTCCACTCTTAGCCTTACTCTTTATGTGTCTGCATCCTTGATTTCCTTGGCTTGAGGCAACAAACCTTGGGTATTACCCCAGATGACTGATGCCACTTCAATATCACCTCACATCTGTTAGAGAGGCTATTATCAAAAGACGAAAGAAAGTGTTGGTGAGGAAGTGGAGAAAGGGAGCCCTTGCATGCAATTGGTGGAAATGTAAATTAGTACAGCCATTGTAGAAAGCCAAGATATGAAATCAACCTAAGTGTCCATCAACTGGTGAATTCTTAAAGAAAATGTATATACACACAATGGGATACTATTCTGCTTCAAATAAGAAGGAAATCTTATTTGTGACAACATGGATGAACCTGGAGGAAATTATGTTGAGTGAAATAGACCAGCCACAGAAAGACAAATACTACATAATCTCACTTATCTGTGGACTCTAAAATAGCCAAACTAATAAAAACAGAGTACTATGGTGTGCCAGTGGCTCGGGGGTGAATGTTGGGGAGATGTTAGTTAAAGCATAAAACCTTCTGGTATAAGATGAGTAAGTTCTGGGGACTTCCTGTACAGCATGATGACTGTAGTTAATAATGTATTTTGTACTCAAAATTTGTTAAAAGAGTAGATCTAGAGTGATTTCACCATACACACACACACACACACACACACACACACACACACAATGCTAACTATGTGAGGTAGTAGATATGTCAGTTAGGTTAATTGTGGTAATCATTTCACAACGTATATGTATACAAAAACATCACATTGTATACCTTAAATTTATAGAATTTTGTTTGTCAATAATGCTTCCAAGAAGCTGGAAAAAAATAAATAAAATTTAATATAATTTTCATAGATTAAATGAATGACATGTCCTTCATGGACATCTTGACAACATTTTCTAAACATCTTTAAAGTACTGTTTGGCTAGCAAAATCAGTAATTTTTCCAGAAGTCTCTCTTAAGGAAATAATAAGGGGCATACAAAAATTTATGTAAAGTTGTAATTACAATTATGTGTACTAAAAAATCCCAACTTAAAAACAGGAACTAAATAATTTGTGGTATATTAACATATAGAATATATGGCTGACAAAAATCACATTTTAGGAACCTAATACCACAGGAAATTGTTCAGAGTGTATCTTTAATTGAAAAAAATCAAGGTTTAAAACACATGGAGCATGATCCTTGTTTTGTGAAAACTAAAACTAAAACCCAAAAAAGCTCTAATAGAAAAATATTTAAAATATGCATAATATTAATAATGTGGTTCTTTCTATGTAAAAGATTAAAGGATTACCAGTGGATTTTATTTTATTTTCTTCCTGGTGCTTTTCTGTTAATTTGAAATTTTTATAGTGAATAATGTATTTAATTTGTCACAACATGAAAGATAAAAAGATCTTAACATTCCTATTTGCAAATTTTTATCCAATCTTCTTTGTATATACCTTAAATAGCTAACCAGCCTTCTGAAGCGCTCCTAGTTATATTTGGCAATTTATGTAGAGATATTTCAAAGTGCATGTATCTTATAGAACCGTGTATTTATTTATTTTTTTGGGTGAAGAAATTTGGTCCTTTAGGTTTTGTTTCTGCAATAATTGCATATTTCTCCCCCTTTAAATGATCTGCACTGAAATTCACTGAAAGAAAGCATTTTCTAGGAGTCAATTGCAGGGAGGCCGCAATAAACCTTTATGGATGTGAAACTTTAAATATAACAGAAGTCTTGATTTGCTTTCTTTTATAAAACCTACCATCAATGGGATGTTAGCAAGCACTGTGAATGGCTCAATAGGATCTATGGATAGTTTTCTCTATTCATGAGATGGGAGGAATATAAAATGATTTCATGATGACTGATTAATTAAAGGAGTATAGAAGAGTAGCAGAATGGTGTTATGCAGGTGGGAAACCAGAAACGTTTCGTTTTTATGCAAACAGGCTTAGGGAAAAAAGACAGAAAATAAATAGAGGCAGAGCAAACCCACTGTGTTACTCAGGAAAAGGTGTTACTAAGTCAGTCTTCAATGCGCAGGAATGATTCCAGAGGCCCAA
This sequence comes from Homo sapiens, assembly GCF_000001405.40. Taxonomy (NCBI): domain Eukaryota; kingdom Metazoa; phylum Chordata; class Mammalia; order Primates; family Hominidae; genus Homo; species Homo sapiens. Next base: position 90,690,502 of record NC_000010.11, on the reverse strand, counting down.
GATATTTCGCTGTTTAATTCAACACTTAGTGTCTCCCATTACTGATTCATTTTTTATGTTTAGCTCTTATATTTGGGTACAGAGTGGCTTATTGTTGTTAATGAGCCCACTTCTGTACACCAAAAGTTGACAGAAAAATATATTATTTACTTTGCAGAGGAACAAAGCAGTCAGAGAAAATTGTGGAGGACTAGTAACTCAAGAACAGATGTAGATTTAAACAAGTGACAAGTGCAGCAAAACTCTTTATTAGGATTTTAATGATCTTAATTTTGCAATGATCTGTCATAATTTCAACAAGAAAGCTTAAAGTCAAAAGAAGATAAATTATTAAAAATAGGCTTCTAGTAACTACTGTAAGAAAACAACAGCAATATGAAGAGATAATTATATACAATATAGCCGAAAAGTTGGAAGACTGTGTGTCTAGTAATAGGGCATTTGTTATATGATACATTATAATCATATAGTAGTCACCTACTGTAATATGATATAAATACTAACAAGATGGTTATGAATACTGTACAATAGCATGTTAATATTTATGCTCTAATATTACTTAAAAACCAGAATATTAGGCTGGGTGTGGTGGCTCATGCCTGTAATCCCAGCACTTTGAGAGGCTGAGGCAGGTGGATTGTCTGAGGTCAGGAGTTTGAAACCAGCCTGGCCAAAATGGTGAAACCCTGTCTCTTCTAAAAATACAAAAATTAGCCAGCTGTGGTGGCAGGTGCTTGTAATCACAGCTACTCAGGAGGCTGAGGCAGGAGAATTGCTTGAACCTGGGAGGTGGAGGTTGCAATGAGATGAGATCCAGCCACTGCACTGCAGCCTGGGCAACAGAGTGAGACTCCATCTCAAAAAAAAAATCAGAATATTAAATTACATGTATTGAAATATATGTAATCACAGCACATATAGGAAAATTAATGGAAGGAAAGACTCCATTATATATTCCATTGCACTATTTTTTTCCTGTGCATACTAATAGCATCAATTAGTACAGTGGTTTTTCGCAAAATTTCCAGATGGTGATTATATGAAAAATTTAAAAAATTTACTCGTATTCATCCTCAAACTTAAAAAATTGCTCTAAGTGTCAAACACTTTCAAGTATCCTTCTCAGATGATCTCATTAATTTTCCTGTTTTATAAAACATAAGCAAAGTATACAATTAATTTTTTTTACATTGGTGTGGGACTTATTGTTTCTCAAAGAGCCTAATTTTTCAAAAAGAAAATCAAAGATGTTTCTTCTACTTCGGATTAGATAAGGTAATACATTTGGAAATTATTTTAAAAATAAAAGCTTGTAAAAATGCAAGCAAATTGTCATCAACATCTCTATTTTCTATGGTATAAAGTTGCACATACCACAGACATGTGCTCAATAGGTGCTTATTAAATGAATGAATAAATTCATAAAGACTAATGGTACATTAGTCAAATGATGATTTTTCATGATTGTTTAAAACCTGGGAGACCTTGGCTGGACGTAGTGGCTCACGCCTGTAATCCCAACACTTTGGGAGGCTGAGGCAGGCAGATTGCTTGAGCCCAGTAGTTTGAGACCATCCTGGGAAATATGGTGAAACCTCGTCTCTACAAAAAATACAAAAATTAACCAGGCATGGTGACGTGTACCTGTAGTCCCAGCTACTCCAGAGGCTGAGGTGGGAGAATCACTCAAGCCCGAGAGGTCAAAGCTGCAATGAACTGTGATTACACCACTGCACTCCAGCCTGGGGGACAGAGCAAGACCCTGTCTCAGAAAAAAATCTGGGGAGACCCTAAATGAAAATCAAATTACAAAATTGTCTGTAGAGAGGATTGCTTGAGCCTAGAAGTTCAAGGCTGCAATGAGCTATAATCACTCCACTGAACTCTAGCCTGGGCAGCAGAACAAGACTCTTGTCAAAAAAAAAAAAAAAAAAAAAAAAAAAGGCTCATATGAACCTCAGTTCTTTAATTATTTTTATTTAGCAACACCTGGAAAAGAAATGTGCTCCCCTACAGGCTGTATCTATGTGGAAATGTGAGGGCCTGGGCAACAGAGCAAGACCCATCACTGGAGACTTACCCTGCTTGCTGGCAAAGGTTGCAACCAAGACTGATCTCCAAGCCCTCAGTCTGATAAAAGGAGACTTGAGGTAACCACCTGGATAAGCTGGATTTTCATTTATTGTTGTTTAGGATAAAAACTCTTTCTGCCTTGATAGGATTGACATGAAAACAGTGTCTGTTGGGTAAGGCCTAGATAGAAGCTGGCCTGTTTGAAACACTTAAATAATTTAATGAGTAAAAAGATACCTCATTTTATGAAACAAAAGTAGAGTTTCTAAATCTGAGTGTTACAAAAAGATATGAAACCAACCTATGTGCCCATTGACCAATGAGTGGATAAAGAAAATGGGGTATATATACATGATGGAATACTACTCAGTGATAAAAAGGAATGAAATAATGTCTTTTGCAGCAACTCGGATGCAGTTGGAAACCATTATTCTAAGTGAAGTTACTCAGGAATGGAAAACCAAGTATCGTGTGTTCTCACTTATAAGTGGGAGCTAAGCTATGAGGATGCGTAGGTATAAGAGTGATATAATGGACTTTGGGGAGCCAGGGTAGGGGAAAGATTGGGAGGGGGTTAAGGGATAAAAGACTACATACTGGGTACAGTGTACACTGCTCAGGTGACAGATGCACTCAAATCTCAGAAATAACCACTAAAGAATTTATCCATGTAACCAAAAACCACTTGTACCTCAAAACTTTTGAAACAAAAACATAAAAAAGAAGCTGGCCTGTTTGAAAAACTTAAATAGTTTAATGAGTAAAAGGATACCTCACTTTTAGCAACAAAAGTAGAAATTACAAGAATTGAGCATTTGTTACAAGAAATGATTATTCTTCAGCAGATGTGAGGTCACACTTCCCCTCAGTACCCAATTTTGTCTGCCTGTAGGAATTCCAGTGTATCCCAGCTTTCCCCACTTCAGCATTTCTGGGACCCCCAGGTAAAGGTTCACATGTTAGAGAAATTGGGAGTGGGGAGTGTTGTCAGTTTAGTTATCTGGCTGCTGTCTGTGCTCAGTTTCCCCTCTCTTCACCCTGCAGCTGCATGCGTCTCGACCACTTTCCCCAAAGTGGGCAAACCACTTCCCTTAAACCCCCCATAATTGCTTGTTAGATAGTCCAAAGCTTTGTGAAGGCTTAGGGGTTTCAGAAGTGAATCACAACAGAGAATGCAAAAAGGATTCCAGACATGGCAGTTTTCAAAGCTCCTCTGTGAGGCTATCTACTGGGTGTACCTCTTTTACAGCTCTCAAAACCACCCACGCATTACCCAACCACTCACCGTGGACTGCCCTTGAGCACATCTCTCTTACCTGGAGGCTAGGCCCACAGACCCTAAAGGCCTCCAAATATCCACATTTCCTCACTCCCCTTCCTGGATGATTGGGAATAGTCATTCTCTTTTCCCTGACAGGAAAAGGCCACAGAAATAAGGGTTTCCCTGAAGGCTTCAGAATAAATCAGAACAATATACATTTTCCCAATTCAGCCCATTCAATCTTTGATAACACAAACTGTGGAATAAAGAGCTCAGGTTCAGGATGGGCTGCCTTCTCCAGACCTGTTTTTTCTTTTCCTTTTATTTCTTTTTGTTTCCTACAGTCTCTCTTGTAGTGTAGGCTGAAGACAGAATCAGGATTCCATTCTGGCCTCTCTCTTGCACTGGCTCCTTCACCCTGTCTCTGCAACTCCTGGGCACAAATTCTGCCAGGGCAGGAAAACATATTTCTCTGTCACATGAATTCATATATAAGAATAGGATATTATAAATCCATGCTTAGGGAAGAAACAGTTCTCTATTGACTATATAAGTAGAAACAGTTCTGCTAAAAGATTTGCCCAATTTATATTTCTAAACAGAACATTTGGCTTCAGTTGGAACAGAACGCATCCGAGTTTGCATTGAGGTCTTCCCCAGAGCTATAGGTAAGTGTTACATAACCAGAGGACCTATTCAAATGGCTTTTCACAAAGCTCCAGCATAGTCATCCTTCAAAGCAAATGCAAACTTCTACCTTTGAAGAGAGAGTCTGCTTCTAACTTTTCCAGCTTGAAAATAAAATATACTAAAGAAGAGTTATGAGGAAAGACTAACCCTAGCAGATACTGAAATGTATAAAAAGTTACAGAATTAAATCAGTTTATAACTGAGGTAAAAATTAAAAAATCAATGAAACATATTACAGAGTCTAGAAAAAGACCTGCATATGTTTTGGCATTTGACAATTGAAATAAGCGGCGCAGTCTACAGCCATACCACCCTGAATGTGCCCAATTTCATCTGAAATCAGTGAGGCAAAATTAGATTAGTAATAAATTAGGTTTGGACAACTGAAAATTTTGGGAAAATATACAGGTAGATTCTTACTTCATGTCTTACACAAAAGTAATTCCAAATAATTAAAACATTTATACTTACAAAAGTAAAACATGATCATACTAGAAGAAAATACCAGTGATTTTAAAAAATAATTTTGGAGTTGGTAAGCCCTTGGGGCCTGACATAACACCCAGAAGTTATGAAGCACAAGATCGATGAATTGGGCTACTGAAAAAAGCATAAAAACTTCAGTATTAAAACAGTACTATAAATAAAGTAAAAGCCCTTTGATAAAAATGCAGTAATTTCATATTATATATCCTTACAAATTAAGAGGAATGAATGAACAATACAAAGGAAAATGAGTAAAGGATATGAATAGGTCCTTCCTGGGAGAAATGTTTCTGTGTATATTTATGTGTCTGTAAATAGGGCATTATAAATCCATACTTAGGACTTGTAATGAGTGGGTATATACCCAGTTTTATTCATAATTAAAGAAATGTAAATGAAAATAATACAGTACAATTTTTACCTATTAGTGAATATTGGGTATTGGCAAGGACATTGGAAAGCAAAAACTTGTAAGCAGTATTGTTGGGAGCAATCCGACATTACCTACCAAAATTTACAATTTATATACTTCTTAAGCCTAGGATTCCAGTCTTCTAAGATATACTCTCACAGGTACACAAAGATGGATGTACAAATAACTTAACTACAGCATGGCTTGTAATGCAAAGTAAGTGGAAGTTATCTAATGGTCACTTATGAGAAGACTCTCATGGTATGGTCTGCCCAAACACTATGCAGTCCTTAAAACAGTGAATTTGGTCTGGTGTATGATTATGGAAAAATGTTCAAATACACTGAGTTAAAAAAGCAAGTGACAGAACAGTATGCTTTACGTGATTCTCATTTGAATATTTTTTACAAAAGCATTATATATAGGTGCAGTTTCATATATGAATAATTTCTCTAGGGATATAAAATAAATTGTTAAGTGTGAGTTTCTGTAGCAAGGGCACATGAGGGGAAGTCAGGTGACAGGCAAAGGAATTTTACCTTTCATCATATGCCATTTTGCATAATTGAAGATTTTACTCTGAATATGTAATATTTTTACAAGAAATAACAGATTTAATTTTGGGGTCCATTCCTGGCTAGGGCAGCATATTATATGGAGGAGGTTTAGCCATTTGCGTTTGCATGGAGGTTGAGGGAGCCGAATGAGGTAAAGAGCTTGTGTGGTTATTCCAGAATGTAGGGCCCTTCCCCTCTTCCCTCATGCCACCCCAAGAAATGCAGTGTCATCAAGCACCTTCCTTGTTATTTCCTACCTCCGCCTAAGGAGGGAAGGTAACCAGATTTTGCCAGACTATGTCCTCTAACTTCCTCTTTTTCCATCTTTGGTCAGCCCTGGCCTTCCCTCCTTTTTCTTCCCTCCTACCTTCCCTTATCATAATTCTCCCCTGCTGTTATGCAGTACAAAGGGAAGTGCTTGGTACAGTTCTCACTTTCTGGGACTCTATGGGGAGCCAGCTCTGCCTTGGGTTTGGTCCCAGCTTGTCATTGTACCCAGGACTCTTCTTGAAAAAAAAAATGGTACAAGTAAGTAGCCCTTGTAAACTGAGAAGACTCAGCCAAAACTTCCTCTACTAGGCTTCAATATTGAAGTTCTAAAATGGTAAGCAGCATCTCATGCCTAATTACTAAAATGCTCTTGTGCATTAGAAAACATGAGCTGCTTATGGCAACAGCTTGAGAATTGCTCAGGGAGTGTTAGGAAAAACTAAAAATCTTTGACATAGCCTGCATTTGTTATCACTATGGAAAGAAAGTACTGACTGAACGAATGCCGGAAGGTTACAGCTCTTGAAAGCTTTTTTCTCTCCTTTCTCTTTGCTGCCCTGGGAAGCCAGACATGACCCTTTAAGTTGAGCTTTCATAAGTGCCTAAGGAGGTGGCTGCTGAATATTCCTTAAGCTTTATTTCCTTTACTTCCATACCAAAAGCAGCATTTAGGCTCCAGTCAATGGTGTGGAAATGATAGGATTCTCATGAGAGGATGGGAGGCTAAGGACCTGGAAAGTTTCACTATTGATAAGTCACTGCCCTAAAGGAAAAGCAGAAGGGAGCTCTGTTCAGCTTTGCTGCTGGTGAAGAGGACTCTCCAAGCTCCACTAGGCATAGAGGGCAGCTGTCTCTTGCCTGCAGATTTTCTCATTTCAGGGATATGTCCTTGATAATTCACTCTCCACTGTTGCAGTGACTTTTATTTGAGGTGCACAGTTCCCAGAGTGTGGTAAAATATAAGCTAGGTGCTGCGTGTGTGTGTGTGTGTCTCTGTGTGTGTGTGTGTGTGTGTGTGTGTGTGGTGTATGTGGGCTGTCAACAAGAAAAACGGGCACCAATTCTATTATTTCTTTTTTGGGTCATCAAGGGAGACTCCTCGGTTCAGATGGCTTGGCTGGGAAGGAGCAGACTCAGTCTCTCTCAATGTGATGCTGTGATACACCTACATGCTCACAGTATAGTGTGTGTTTGTAGGAAAAGAAAGAGACAGTGAAGGAAAGAAATAGAGTTAGAGATACTCTGAGAAAGAGAGGGGTTTGGATTCTATGCAAACTAATTCAGACAAGTGAATTTTTGGCATATATTATATTTGTCAGGTAAGCTCTACATTAATCAAGTCATAAACCAATTTCTGATAAAATTGTTATTTATAGTTGTTTTTAAAATCAAAAGAGATTCTCTAAACCATCCTATTGGTATGGTATTATTGGTGATGGTAGAGTGTTAGAGCCAAGGGATTCAGAACATCTTCTTCCCACCCAGGCCCAGCCTCCTATCCTCCTTGGAAGGTCCTCTGGGAAGATACATGCATGTGGAACACACAGAGGGGAAATGCACAAAGCTACATGTTTGACAGTTGGGTTTGAGCTTGAGGTCTTAGTCTATAGAACTCTGGTGAAACTGATTGGACTGTATGAGGATATTTTTTTTTCCTGTCAGATAGTTATATCCAATCTATCATATCTTCCAGCTGCATGGGAGTGGAACTACACAGATAGAGACAGGAGAGTGTAAGACTGTTAAGAAAGAATGTAATTGTTTCCAATCCAGTTTCTAAAATGACTAGCCTTTGAATAGAGTCATGGGCTCAGGCTGGCAGTTCATGGAGAGGAAGAGAGCGCAGAGCAGCATGGAAAGAAAGCTTGGGGGCCCAACTCCCAACTCCAGCTGCACAGGGAATGGTGAGCCACCCCCAAGTGCCTTCCACTGCACAGCGACCCTGTCCAGTAGTGTCCTGGAATCTGGAAATCAGACCAATCCCAGTAGTCACCCTGCTTCCAGTGGTGTTAAGCAATGGGAAGGGGAAGAAGTGAAGAAGGTGTGTGTATATGGGGTGGAGGAGTAGAAGGAGGCTTTAGAGATTTCCCTCTTCCCTTTAGGCTTCTTGGGGACCTTAGAAATTATCTAGCTCAATCCATATATTTTAGAGATGAGAAAATATGTTTAAATTAGGTGAATCCTACCAACTGAGCCAGGATTAGAGCCAAGGTCTTTGGTCTGGAAACTCTTCCAGCTTTGCTAAACCACTTCTATATGTGAAAGCCGCAAAGGCCATTATAAATCCCAAGACATAGAAGAGTTCTGCATGGGTCCACCTCCCAGTCTGGAACACATTTTAGGAACCCATTATAAAAACAAATATCCCACGAACTGACCAAATATCACATAGTTTAATAGTCATGACATTGTTGTAGGATGTAAATCTGTATATTTATAAGGACTTTTTTTTTTCTGAACTCATCATAGCATCCTGAACATTGTGGAGAAAAGTTAATACATTATAGCTACAGATGGATATCTTTTCCAAAGTCAAAGTGGTTTAAACTTTGGGATTTGAGGTCATGTCCGTAGAAATGTGTAAGAAACCAAACTGGACTTTATTAAATGTGTTGGTTTTAAAATCTTACAACTGCCTTTTCAACAAACTGCTGTTTTCATTTAGCAAACCCATGGAGATGGATAAAGTAGAATCTTCCCAACATAATGACTGTTCTTCAGAATAATTTCATGAAAACAGACCTAGCACAGACCAATTATTTTCAGTCTTGTCTGAAAAGCAAGTGAAGGGTCTGAAGCATGCCTTCAGAAACCAGTCCCAGTGAGTTGAGTTGGCATGAATTTGATTCTCTTTTTATTTCTGATTATGAAACCTACTTATGACAATACACAGGAAAGGTTTTGGAGAAAGAGTCATGGGCTGGGAGAAGTTGGTGAGTGAATAAAGAAAACTTATCGTGTGTAACCTGTGGATCTGAAATTGGATAGTAATACAAACAAAACAAAATCATGATAAGTGAAAACTCCACAATTGCAGAGTTCAGTTAGAACCAGTTGATCTGCAGAGAGATTGAGATCTACTTTCTTCCTCATTTGAGAGAGGATCCAAAGTGCATCTTCAAAACTTCAGTTCTTGAAGAGCCTGTGAAATGGTCGTCCTATATGACAGTGTATTTTGCTGTATATTAATCATAAAATTAGATCCTGTACCCCTAATAATTCCAATTATGAGGGTCAAGATTTTATCATCCTCTTAATTCAACAGGGAACATGAAATGGTAGCATAAGAAATCTTAGACTTGGGATCCAGATTTTTGGGGTATAAGTTCTGAACTCACCACTTCTTAAAGGACCTTGGGCAAGTTATCCCTTTTGTGCTACAGTTTTCTCACTTGGGATAGATTTTACACACCTCAAAGAATAGGTGAGCATTAAATAAGAGCATGGGAATAAAATTACTAAGCACAGAGCTTGGCACGTACTAAGCTCAGTAAGTGCTGGTGGTTAAATATCCTAGCTTCTGGTACATTACATAAATTTTAAAACATTAGCTTCATTTCCCTTCCTTTCTGCCTTGAATCCAACAGTCTGCTTCTCTTAGGATTACATTGCTAGTGATAACACTAATTATTGTAAGCTAATGAAATGATTTTATGTCCAATATGCATCTTTTATATTTTTTGGTTTATATCACCAATTAAACACAATTTTTTTCTGTGACAAAAATTGTCATATTTCCCCAGTACGAGCAACAGAATTCCTGACTGGGACAAGAGAGTCTAAGAGGCTCTTCCACACGTTAATATTTAAAATAATACATTATATTGGAATCTTTAGGGTATGGGACAGTCAAGGGCTCTTTTCATTAGAATTACTTGGAAATACAGCTTGACATTAATTTAAACGAGGACCCGGCCCTAGCAACAAGCTAGAATCTATATAATTCTTTCATTTTGTGAAACATATTCTCATTATGAGTATGAGATTTCTCAGTGCCATGGTGATGAGATCCACTCTTGCCAAGCTCCCCTAGCAAATTACTAGAAGTTATCACAATTCTTCTCTGAGACTTTCAGTGACCTAGAGGAGCACAAATAGATTCTTTGAAAGAAAAATTGTGTTTTTAGGGATAAAAAGTGAAGATTTTAAAAATTACATGGAGAATGAGCCTCAGAATGAAAGAGGGTTCAGCATGTTCCCACTCCACTCTTTCCATCCACTTATTAGGCATTTCCTGTATGCCAGGCACTGTGCTAGCCCTTTTGATATATTATCTAATGTAATGCTTACCGTAACTCCTGTATGCATTCTTACTGGATTTTAGAGTTGAGAAAGCTGAAGTTACAAGAGGTTCAAAATGCAGTTCTTAAGTGGTGGAGTTTGAATTTAAGCTTAGGTCTGATTCGAGAGACCACTTTTCACGTGAGTTTGGGGTATGTGTTTTGGGTGGGTGGAGGCTTTTATCTTCAACCTGTTGCCAAATGCTGGTAGTATAATTGACAAGTCCTGGGACAACTGAAATAGTCTTAGATGTACAAATTTGAACAAAGATTTCTCTTGCCTACTATATTTCAGTTTGTGAATCCTGCAGGAATTATATAATAAATTTGAATTAAAAAGTCTTACCTGGTTACCTTAAATGAAATTAATGAAACCAGACTCAAAGATAACTCTTTTGTTCTAACTGGTCCATTCACCAATATGTACTCAGTGCCTACTATCTGCCAGGAACACTTCTAGGCACCTGCGACACATTACTGACACATTAATGGGTAAGATAAAGAAGACTTGGGCTCTTCTTATACTCTGACTTGTAATCTGGACTCTGAAATAGAGAATCATCCTGAATTCCCACAGAGGAATGAAGTTTGCTAGTTTGAAACTGCAATGGAGATGGTCCAATGACTTGATTGCTTTTGTAGCCTACAGTGAAATTTCCTCTTCATTCCTTGAGTTTAAATAAATGTCAGGAATACTGAAAAGGTTGAAACTGACATATTTCTATTAGCGAATTCATAGTGGTTGGATGTAGTGAGATAAAATGGGCTCAGAAATCACCCACTCTCCAGGTATGCTGCTCTGCTTGTATCATTTGTGACCTATGTTGATGCTTTTTGTACTCATTGGATTCTTAAAGTGTCACAGATATAAGTACAAATGGGATGCATTAACTACTCTTCTTTTTTTCTTTTCTTTTTTTTTTTTGTTTTCGAGACGGAGTCTTGCTCTGTCGCCCAGGCTGGAGTGCTGTGGCGCAATCTCGGCTCACTGCAAGGGATGGTCTTGATCTCCTGACCTCATGATCTGCCCTCCTTGGCCTCCCAAAGTGCTGGGATTACAGGCGTGAGCCACCGCACCCAGCCCACTAACTACCTTTAATTATCCAGAGGTTCTCTGCTAGAAAAATATGAGAGTTATAAGGGGTCTTTTTATTCAGTAAATGTTTATGAGAAAGTTTCAAACCATCCCACCCTCCAAAAAAAAATACAACAGGAGATTTCTGAAATTTGTCTTTTCCATAAATCTGAGTAAGGAGCTGATAAAATACTTCTTCATCTCTGAAGCCAGGAAGAGAAGGACAGTCAACATAAAACTACTCTGAGAGGCAGCTGGAATATAATGATTAAGCTCAGGGATTCTGAAGCTGTAACACCTGGGTTCAAATGTTTGGCTCTGCCTCCAACTAGCAGTATGATCTTGACAAGTTATTTAACTTCTCTGTGCTTCGATTTTCTCATCTGTAAAAAGTGGATGAAAAGAATAGCGCCTATATCATAGTTTCCCTATGAAGACAAAATAAGTTAAAATGTGTAAAGCATTTAGAACCATGCGTTGTACACAGTGAGTGTTCAGTTAAAGTTGGCTGTTATTGATTATGGATTTGTTGTGTTGTGGGTCTGCTGATCATCCTGACTTTTATCCTTAATGCATCCTCACAGACAAATAACTGTGGAATTCTACAATGAACCATGTATTTAACATTAGTTTGAGGATTGTATGACCTGCCCTAGTCCACAAGTTGCCAGGACATTGTGACATGCTCCCACCTCTCAAGCCAAGGAGCAGATGTGGGGTAGGAGGAAGGGAGAGGAATGGTATGTGTTGTTTTCTATTTGCATCACTCAATGGGCCACTGCTTTAAAAGCTTGGGAGTCTAGAATTCTTAATTAAAGTAGCCTCATTATTTGGGCGGCAAACTAGGTGCTGAAACACAAGCTAAGGAACTATAAATCTTCCTCATTATACATAGTGGAATCTGAGGCTGTTTGTTACCATGAATTTGTCTAGGATTTAAAATGCAGCAAATTTTATTTGGGGTACCCATGTTTGTATAGTTGGTTTAAATAAAAGGCTCACTTAGGATTTACATGACATTTGTACTACTGAGGGAAGCAGCATATAACTGCATTTAAAAGCTGCTTCTCTTTCTAAATCGTGCTTTTAAATGTTCCAGGGGCCAGGCCCCAGTAAGGAATCATCTTTGCTATGCACAGGATAACTAGAGATGGTAATGCGCTGAGCAAGGAACTCTGTGGGGAAGGGGAGGGTGGCTATTTGAAAGAACCAGTCACTTGGTTCCTTAATAAGTTTTTGAATTGGAAGACAATGATCACTAGAATGACTGCTTTGGGGGAAACTCTTGAGGATTTCAGACATCATCTTGGTTTTTCTATTTCTCATGCAGAAAGAGAAAGAGTATGGAATCACCACAGACAACACAATCTGTATAAACAGATAGCCATTTTCTCTATGCACATGAGACCATTTAGTGAGAACTGGTATTAAACTTTGCCACCAGGAAGATGCACCATGTTTTATAATGAGGAAACTGCAAATCGCTAGGAGGGAAGTCCTCACCTAAGCCAAGGTTTTTTTTTTGTTTTTTTTTTTTTTTCCTTTTTTGAGAAAATAAAAATTTTCGTGAGCCAAGGTTTAATTAAGTGGTGATGAAAACAAAATTTAGTGACAAAGAATACTAGTTTTACCTAATAATATTGCCTTTTAATATTTTATCAATATACTTATTTTCACTGTGTTACCTTAGACTTGATCTCTTTGTGCCTAAGTTTCCTAATATGTAAGATGAGATTAATAATAATATATATTGGCTGGGTGTGGTGGCTTATGCCTGTAATCCCAGCACTTTGGGAGGCCGAGGCGGGTGGATCACCTGAGGTCAGGAGTTCGAGACCAGCCTGGCCAACATGTTGAAACCCTGTCTCTACTAAAAATACAAAAGTTTAGCTGGGCATGGTGGTAGATCACCTGAGGTCAGGAGTTCGAGACCAGCCTGACCAACGTGGTGAAACCCTGTCTCTACTAAAACCACAAAAAATTAGCCAGGCATGGTGGCGGGCACCTGTAATTCCAGCGACTTGGGAGGCTGAGGCAGGAGAATCACTTGAACCCAGGAGGAGGTGGAGGTTGTAGTGAGCTGAGATCGTGCCATTGCACTCCAGCCTGGGCAACAAGAGTGAAACTTCATCTCAAATAATAATAATAATAATAATAATAATAATAATAATAATATGTTGCATGGGGCTTTTGTAATAATTACATTAATTAATACATGTAAAAAGCTTAGAATAGTACCTGCTCACTCACAGTAAATAGCCCAGAAGTATTTGTTTTTATTGCTATTATATATTTATATTTACATATTTAGATGATCAAATACATTGTTATTCTAGTAGTTCAGTTGAAGAGAAAAATCATCAAGAAGTAAGGAAGTACACTTTATCTCATTTTCCTCAGTTACCTGCACCAAGTGGGGATCTGTTTTGTCTGGTCCACACCCCCACGACAGACTGAGGCTTTTGAAGAAAGGAGCAGTCTAAGTAGGGTTTATCTTTAATTTTTTAAGTGATCAAACAATGGCAAATATCTCTCACATACAAAATAAACTCTAACTGAATCATTTGTTTTATTTATCAGTATCATTTAGCCCCATCAGATATTTTAGAAAATATCTCCAGGCTGCTATGTATACTGTTTGGGATTTTAGATGTAGACCTTAACTCTAGAAATTCAGTAGCCCAATAAGGATCTATGAAAAGTGTGCTTCTCCTGTATTTATAATAACACTCTACTTATTGTCCTGGAGAGACACACAGGTTGCACTGTTTTTATCACATCTATTTTGAAAGAATGGTTGGCAGATTAAAGTGGTAAAATAGCCAAAAAATAGCCAGGGTGTATTCTGATTAAGCAAACTGGTGAGCCCTATTTTATTTAATGGAAACAGAAGGGAGAAGGCTATATTTTCCTTATAGTAAAAATTTATGTAAAGTGACCAAACATCCTTGTTTTCATCTTCTTGTCTCACCTGCTTTGAGATTTGAGCTCCTACCAAGAACAGCATAATACGAGGAGAGCAAGTCCTGTTTTTATCAGGAGAATGATGAATAAAAAAATAAGATGTTGAGTTATGCAGTCAATAGACATCCATGGTATTGGAAACACCCAGTATTCCTCAATCTCTTCTTCACTTGATATTCTGGCTGTCCCTAGATTAGGTTCTATGCTGCCAGATAACAGACTTTATATAGGGCTTCTAGGTCCGTTTCCCTTCCCCCAGTCTTTTGAATTCCTTGACATTGACTGTCCTCATGGCCAACTGAGAAAAATTTAAAAGCAGAATTGCTGCTCTAAGAAAGTACCAGAAGTAAGAAACTACTGCTGCGCAGAGCTTCATAATGATGTAGTAGAAAGGCTGACAGAGAGGCTTTTGACTTACAGAGGGAAGAACTATTATCTACTAGTGGTGCATTAAAATAAGAAAGTTACAGTATAGATTCCTGCCACCAATACGAATTAAACTGGTCAAGATTAAACAAAATAGAGGAAAGTGAAAGAAATCAGCCAAGAGTGCAATAATCTACAGTTACTCAGTACAAATGCATTTATAGAGTATGGAAGGTTTGCCAAATAGCCATGGGGGATACTCAGCCTTTCTCAAGTCACTTCCTTTTCTGAATCATAGAACACAGAAACTGATTTGGGTGACTATTTTGTCAATTTTTCTATGGATGATACAGAACACTCTATACGCATATGAAAGTTAATTTATAACATACAATAGATGGCTTAGGGAATTAGAGGTTAATTCTTCCAGGGTAGGAGAAGGTTCTCACTGTGTTTGTACTGCATGTTTCAGTGATGGGGGTAGTGATATAGCTCACAGTTGGCAATGCTTGTTTGGTAAGGGAATAGGGTATGTTCTCCTCCCTCTTCTGACTTCCTACTCAGGGCAGTTTTTGATCTTCATATAAACTGTAAATTTGCATCAGTTCACTCTAAACATATCTGTTAATCTCTTGTCCTATTCTAGGCACTGTGCCAAGAGCAGGACATAAAATGGTGAATAAGAAACAAATAAAAACAAATAAGTGATGATCAGTGATGATCAGGGCATAGCACTCTATGTTGAGGAAAAACTCTAGAACACCAGAAGAGAAAAAAAAATAATGAGTTTGGGAGTATGGATGGGGAGAGTGTTCAGAAATAGGCAACTTCCCAAAAAGGGAAGTTACTAAGAGGAATGTTCTTACAGCGATGTTACCAAGCACATACAAACATTGCCTCGGCTTGGCTGATGCACCGGTCTGGCATGTAGTGATACCCATTCAGGCAACATTATGCATTTATGCAAAGAAAAAATGTCATCTCTCTGCCTCACAGTTGTTCTATAAACACAACCAATTCCTTCTGGGAGTTACTGCCTCGATGCTGGGAATCACTGCGTTGCCAGTACACAGAAGAGAGCTACTAGAGACATTGCTGGCATGCAGTCATGTTGAATAACAACATTAATGAACAAATGAAAGAAACTTTTAGAATAACGGGATGTTAAATATGTGGTAGTCATAAAATAAATAAGGTCCACATTTTCTTTATTTATTGTTGAATTTTGGGGAATAATTAAATACTTTCATATTTTCTGACCTTATTTACTGAAACCAAAGCAATGTCAGACGATGTAAACTTCTGAAAAAGTTGCATTTCTTTTTCCTATAAAAGGAAGAAAAAAAACAAGAAATAAACACTGCACTCTGGCAAAGCATGTATTGTTATGTGTGTTGAGCTTAGCTGTGTTACTTCAATTCCAGTCACATGCTTTTTTGGTGATATAATCCTGGACATCTGACCTTAGAATGCTTTCAAATTCTGATTTACTCCTACATTGATACAGAATGCCCTCACAATATTTTACAGCTTTTATCTTTAAACAAAGCTAAAACTTATCTGTGACATAATCTCCACATTTATTTCTAAATGGTCTATGCTATGTGTTTAAAGCAACCATCTTGAAATTTCTAGAATTTATTTTGGAATAAGAAAAATTATTTATAAGTCTGGTAGAATGATATGTAAATAATTTGTGGATGATATAATGGACTTTAGCAACTTGGGGAGAAGGGTTGGGGGTTGGGGAGGTAAAGAATAAAAAACGACACATTTGGTACAATGTACACTGCTTGGGTGATGCGTGCACCAAAGTCTCAGAAATCACCACTAAATAACTTATCCATGTAGCCAAAAACTAACTGTACCCCCAAAACTATTGAAATAAAAATAAATAAAACGATGAAAAAAGAATTAATTTCCGGAAGCTCAGTGATTTGGGAAATTAATAGGACTATGTGATGTTCAAATTTCATGCATTAATTTGGCTAGGCTGTGGTGCACAGTTGTCTGGTCAAATACTAGTCTAGGTGTTGCTGCGAAGCCATTTTGTAGACATGACTAACATTTGCAGTTATAGCTGACTTTAAGTAAAACAGACGATAATATGTGTGAGCTTTATCCAATCAGCTGAAGGTCTTAAGAACAGAAACTGAGGTTTCTGAGAAAACAAGAAATTCTACCTCAAGCCCATAACATAGACATCCTACCTGAGTTTCCAGCCTGCTGGCCTGCCCAGCAGATTTTGGATTCAAGACCGAAACATCAGTTCTTGCCTGAGTTCCTAGCCTGTTGGTTTGCCTTAGGAATTTTGGGCTTGCCTGCCCGCAACAATCTCAAGAGTTGATTTCTTATACAAATCTCTTTATTTATTTAAAATAAGACAGCCCATTCTATTAGTGCACACAGACACACAGACACACACACACACACACACACACACACCCACACAGCCTGTTATGGATGTGTACAGTTGATCCTTGAACAACGTGGGTTTGAACTGCATGGGTCTACTTATATGCGGGTTTTCTTCTCCCTCTGGCACCCCTGAGACAGCAAGACCAACACTTCCTCCTCTGCTCCTCCTCCTCAGCCTTCTTGTCATGAAGATCATGAGGATGAAGACCTTTACTATTCATTACGTGGATCTACTTCCACTTAATGAATAGTAAATATATTTTTCTCTTATGATTTTCTCAGTAACATTGTATTTTCTGTAGCTTATTTTATTGTAAGAATATAGTGTGTAATGCATAAAACATACAAAATATGTGTTAATTGACTATGTTATCAGTAAGGCTTCCAGTCAAAGTAGGCTATCAGTAGTTAAGTTTTTGGGAAGTCAAAAGTTATACCTTGATTTTCAATGGTGCAACGGTATTGGCATCCCTAACTCCCACATGGTTCGAGGGCCAAGTGTATATTCAATTTCTATATATTCATATATATGTGGTTTTGCATCTCTGAAAATTCTGACTGATACAGACCATTTAGTTCTTCTCTCCTGCAATTGTGCCTTCATATGGACCAGGGGAATAATGGTAACAGTTTCTAGATTTCTACTGCTCTGATGGGATACCAGATATTTGAAAGGAAGCTAAGACAGTGTCCTACGTGTGAAACTCTCTCCCCTGACCCCGCAAAAGAAAAAGAGCTTGAAGTTGGGGAAAGGAACACCGAGCATACCAATTCATTTGGGTCATTGGTTCTATATTTGGCAAAGTAGAAAAATATGGGTAAGATTTTGAAACTACATAAACTCCCTAGATTCCTTCTGTTAATACCAAATATTATTTTATACTGAAGCATATTCTCATATTTATGAAAATCAGATTATGCTTTTAACATTAGTTAGGAGCCTATACAAGAAACTATTTAGAGAAGTGGATTTCAGGGCAGTACTTTTTTTTTAAACAATACTTAACCTTATGCCAGAGGTGGATGGAAACTGAATTATCTCCAGAAGAGTAGGAAAGATAGTAAATCTCAACTGATTCCCTAACAAATGACATTCATAGGAGACAAAGTTCATACATTTGAGGCCCAGTTTCACAAAAAGTTTTACAAGTGATACCATTGTCTCATACTACACTACATAACAAGAATGCTTGCAATGAGGTTCTGGTAAGTGAAATGAACAGTCCAGGACTAACTTACCCCATTATTGTGGAACCACTGAAATGAAGCCTTCTACAATTATGGGGTTAAGAAGACCATCTCTATATGAAACGAAGTGCTTTACATTAGTAATTAGAGCTCATAATAGTTTTGATCATGGATGTTTTGGGATTTTTTTTAAAAATAGATGTACATAAAAGTTATTTTCTTTTACTCAAATATTCCATTAAAGCACAATAAATAATATTTCTCTATCTTATGGAGAGTATTCATTATAAACATATTAACTTGGTAAAATTCTTGCTTGTTAAAATACTAATCAAGGGTGTATTCTTACCACTTCTGCACAGCACAGTAAAATGGTGGGGGCATGTGATTGTTGATTGGGTTCGGGCTCTGAAGATTATCAATCCAAATAAATGCCCAATCCCTCCTACAATGTATTTGTAATAAGTCCCTACTCCATAGCTTCAATTATAAAAATGTATGGTACCATCAAATGAAAGCTTGTGTAACTTGGACAGGTCATAACACAAATTATAAACAGACCCACAAGTGCCATAGACATCACACTTTTTTTTTTTTTGAGATGGAGTTTTGCTCGTGTCACCCAGGCTGGAGTGCAATGGCTCGATCTCAGCTCACTGCAACCTCCACCTCCCGGGTTCAAGCAATTCTCCTGCCTCAGCCTTCTGAGTAGCTGGGACTAGAGGCACCTGCCACCATGCCCGGCTAATTTTTGTATTTTCAGTAGAGACAGAGTTTTAACATATTGGCCAAGCTGATCTCAAACTCCTGACCTCAGGTGATCCGCCCACCTCAGCCTCCCAAGGTGGTGGGATTACAGGTGGACATCACACTTTTAATAGTAAAATATAGCAGGTTTTGAATAGATTATTCCTTCTTTCACCCTCTGCCAACAAACTTTATTCAGATATAATTTACAAAAGTGTTTTTGACTGAATTAAGCTTTTGCTTCACTCTTCAAATTAATTTACACATATGCAGTGCATAGACCCAGGAAATGGAAGGAACTTTGACACTGTGGAGGCATGCTGTGTTGCAGGTTGCAGGTTTCATATTTAGCTGCTTTTGGGAGCCATCAAAAGTTGATTCTCTTTCAAGTCTTTTTAAAGGGGAATTTGTCATCACTCCTGTCCACATTAAAATCTTCTAAGGGGGTCCTTTGGTTGTCATCCGGTCTGGTGGGTATCCTGTGAACATGTCCTGGAGGGGGTGTTAGTGCTTCACAAGGTCTCTCTGCCAGTCCTTCTCTCCAAGATGAGCTCAGGGAACATTGCCACTGCCAACATCCCTCTCATGACACTATTTTTTTTGTTGTCTCCAATAAATGAAGTGAAAGAATGTAAAGGGGAAAACCTAGAAAAGATACAACAGATATAGTTCTAGAGTCACAGATTCAAATATTTTGTAGCCAAGATTCACTTTTGAGATTTTTCTTGACATTGGGATGACTCTTGTTGGTACTGGATTGTTGGTACCTGAGGTGACTTCGTTCTGTTGCTCCAGCCCATATCTATAACAGAATCAGATGAACTTCCCAAGATTTCAAAGGTTAATACCCAGTGTGTTGGATTTCACTGTGGTGGATATAACTTGTCGCCACTGCCCACCACTCCACTCGCTAGTGGGAACACAATGGCTCCTAAATATAAACAAGATGTGGAAGCAGGTTTGCTCCCACTCCTGGCTCCTCCATCCTGCAGCAGCTTTCTTTCTTTCTTTCCTTTCCCACGTTCTGCCAATGTGGACAGGCAGGGTTAGATCTAAGCTCTTCTTTTCTTAGGATCTTCTTTCTATTCCCCTTTGCCTAAGACCAAGTTTATTTCCACATTTCTAACATACATATTACCTACATCTCATGTACTTTCTTAAAAAATTATGCAAGATCTAAAGGGACCATTGCAATCTTGACCACTAAAAGGTTTTGGGGTAGGGTACTGTAACTCAGATCATGGGTTTTGATTCCAATTTTAGAGAAGATAAATGAGGTTTACTGTCTTTTTCTAGGACACACAATTCCTACCGCTTAAATGTGTACCTAGTCACTACTCTCTTCCTTGATCGTTGACATCAGCACAAAGAGTGTCTACATTTTATTATTCTGGTGTATGGAAGATTGTTTGATTTGTCTCTCCTAAATCCTTGGGAGTAAGCTGATTTGTAGATGAAATAAATAATAAAACTGGAATGGATCTCAAGATATTTAATTGCCCTAAATGCTTTCAGGTAGTTTCTAGACCAGCGATGGCAAAAAAGTTTTATCTCACATAAACTCTCTAATTGCAGGTGACTGTCAGAATGCGTATGTTAATAAAAATTCTATATATCAAATCTTGGCTGTAGATTTGCCATAATGAATTAGTGATATCTGCCATATAAGAGAGATAGAAAAGTTCTGACAGTCATGACATATAGTCCATTCTTGGATAAAACCAACAGAGATAGATAATTATTTTGTCAGTTTAAAATGATTTCAAATACTGGGGAAGAGTTCCAGGTAAGAACCAGTAGAAGAAAAGAAAATTCATCTTGCTATACAGAGGCAAGAGGATGTTGACAAATAGGCACATTTTTGAGTACAATAACTTTTTGAAAATGTGCTAAAATACAATGGTATTCTTGAGATAATTATGCAGACCATAGTAGAAACTTTAGAAGCTAACAGAGTGTCATTGCTTATTTTCTTAGCTCAAAAGAATAAAAGACTGAGAGTGAAAAATGTGAAGTGGATGAAAATTGGCTTCTTTACAACTGAATGAAGGTGCTCTTTCCATAGCAGCAACATTTCTGAATTGGACTTTCAGTGCCCTACACTTAAACATAAGTTTTAAAAAAGATATTATTTTGCTTAACTCTATGAAACAAGGCATTTGCCATTTAATGGAAAACCCATATCCTCATAACAGAACTTGATGTTCTTGGTTCAGATATCTTCAGAAAAATTTTTGTTGTTGTCGTTTTGCTTTAAAAATGTGGGTACCCTATATTTAGTTTAGAAATAAAACAGAAACCACAATAAGTTTCTTTCAGAGGTGTTAACTTGGAAATAAGATCATATGTGGCTAGGATGCATCAAAATGTCTGAAAGGCTAATGCAGTCTTCGCAAATGCAAGCAAATGGCTTATAACTGTCCGTAAAATGTGAGTAGTGACATCAGTGGAATCATTAATAATACAACCATTTATTGTCTAGTGAGTGACTGTTCATTAATATATGCCTGTTTGCTTCCTGATTTCCTTTTCCCTTCCCTCCTCTTTTTGTTTCCACAAATATTGACTTCCTACTATGTTCCAAGAACTACACAAGGCTCATGATACAATGGGATTGGTGATCCAGATAGACAAGCATTCTGACTTCACAGAGTTTATAATCTAGTGGGGGAAAGCCACATGTTTATCAAGTTATTAATAATGTGTTGTGTCAGGATGGACTGAAGTGTCTAGCAGTGTCCTTTTTTGGTGGACAAAGGACAAATTTGGGGACAAGAAAAAAGTGATTTCAATGATGCAACTATTTACTGCTTGTTAATATGAGGAAGGGAGACAACAAATATATTTTGATCATAAAATGTCCTACGTATTATTTTGTAAAGAATTGGGCCAAATTAGTATTAACAGGATACATTAAACTTTGTTTTTTGAGACAGAATCTTGCTCTGTCACCCAGGCTGGAGTGCAGTGGCACGATCTAGTCTCACTGCAACTTTCAACTCCTAGGTTCAAGCAATTCTCCTGCCTTAGCCTCCTGAGGGTTGGGCTGTAGCTGGGACTACAGGTGTGCACCACCATGCCCAGCTAATTTTTGTGTCTTTAGTAGAGAAGGGGTTTCGCCATGTTGGCTAGGCTGGTCTTGAACTCCTGGCCTCAAGCGATCCACCCGCTTTGGCCTCCCAAAGTGCTGGTATTACAGGTGTGAACCACTGCGCCTGGTCGATAAATTAAACTTTTTAGTACAGAATAGATATATGATCTTTAGAAAGAAATTCAGCTTTATAGTGACAAATTGTGTCCTGTCACCTGGGTTTGATTCTGCAGTACCATGGTAGTTGCCAACAAATGGTTCCAGGCCCACTCAGCTTCTCTCTAAACTTTACATATACATCTGTCCTGACCTCAGGAGGGTGTTGAATGCTACTGCACTATTGACTGTTAATTATTAAATATTTTAATTAAGCAAATTAGTTTCTCACGAATCTAGCTATGGCTTAAATGGTTTTAATCAAAAAAGCTATTTTCCTGGTTTTCAAAGCTATAGCTAGTAAAAAACTTCACAAAGAATGATTATTACAAAATTGAAGATGAACAATCAATTTAGTTTCTTTAAAAAGAAAAAGGTTGTTATCCACAATGAAATAATAATTTTTGTTTAATCCAATTTAAGAATATCAAAATATCTCAAGATGTAAAATCTATATGCTTCTAGCTTTTGCCCCCATGGACTTGTGAGAACTAGGATTTGAAAAATGATGTCGTAGTAAAAACAAAATGTAAGAATAATCTTGGTACTGCACCAGAATCAGAAATATACTTAATATTCAGAGGATATGTGATAAATAATAAAATTCACTTCTTACATTAAAATATTTTATAACCCAAATTTAAAACAAAAATATAAGATTAAATATATCATTTTGATCTTATTAAGATTATTTAAATTCTCTAACAGTTTCTGTTATTTTATAAGGGAAAGCTGAGCATTTCTAGCATCATTTGAAACATCTGAGTGATTTACTTTTTTTCTGACTACATTAATTCAACCAAAGATTGTAGCTCATGAGTACTTAACCACATGTGTTCAATGAGCTTTCCTTTTTATGAATACCATGGTCAAATGAATGGGGCTGGAGGGATGCTGCTTTAGAACGACACTTACTTCTAGTTTCATAACTATGCCAGGGTGGGATTAGAATCAGTTTACAGAAAGTAAACAATTAGATATTGGAATAATACAGTTATTTGACTGAGCAACAACTTAATGGAGTGAAACCAGCTCTCTGATGGGGCCCATTGGTGGAGAGATGTAATTAATCAAGCAGCGCACACCTGTATTTGGTCTGCTAATTCTCTCCTGTGACTAATAAATCACCAGAAAGTTGGAGTGCACTCCGTATAGAGAGTTACAGAGAAAGACTGTGTAGCTAAGTAGGCCAGGGGCACTAGAGTCAGTGCCCTGGAAAAAGGTAATGTTGGAGCTCATGCTTCCCATGCTCTCAACCTGCCTCTCTCCATCTGGAGCTGGAGTCAGCAAGGATGACCTATTAATTATTTTATTCTATATTTTCCTTTGGAGCAACACAAGTCTTTGAAAATAAACCTTTAAAAACAATTTTATTAATAAGATTAAAATTATTTCAAAATTTCCTTACCTACATGTTTTTATATGTGCATATATACATAATCTTACAAAAATGTGTGTGGGTGTGATTTTTTGCATTTGAATTTTGCCTGGCTTCTCCTTCCTGTTGTTCTCCATTGACTCGGTTCTCTGCCACATGGTAATCTAAAATGATGCCTTGTATATATCTTTCCATGCTTAAGTATCTATCTGTCTATCTACCTTACATTTTTTTTTTTTGTTTTTGGAAAATGAGATATTATATCCACTTTAGTGAATTTTGACTTTTATCCGTCAGTGATTTCTATTAGCATATGTCAGGAATAACATAGTACTTTTTTTTCTTTTTCAATGTTTATATTAATTATTTTATTTGTTTGTGATCTAACAGAACTGCTAGAGCCTCCATGGTAATAAAAAATGTTGGTACTGCATATTATTATACCTGTAATATTGATTTGGTTAGGTTTTGCGTTCCCACCCAAATCTCATCTTGAAATGTAATCCCGATAATCCCCAGGTGTTAAGGGAGGAACCAGGTGGAGGTAATTGAATCATGGGGGTGGTTTCCCTCATGCTGATAGTGAGTGAGTTGTCACGAGATCTGACGGTTTTATAAGCTTCTGGCATTTCCCCTGCTGGCAGTCTCTCTCCTGCTGCCTTGTGAACAAGGTGCCTGCTTTTGCTTCGCCTTCTGCTTTGATTGTAAGTTCCCTGAGGCCTCCCCAGCCATGCAGAACTGTGAGTCAGTTGAACCTCTTTTCTTTATAAATTACCCAGTCTTGGGTATTTATTAGCAGCATGAGAACAGAGTAATTCAACTATCTAATTTTAATTAAATTACTATATGACAGGAGATCGAGTGTCTTTTCAGCATCAGTTGACATGATATAAATATTTCGATGTGTTGTCAGATTCTATTTGCTAAAATTTATTTTTAGTTTTGGCATCTATATTTATGAGGAGAACTGACCTATTACTAATTCAAAAGATGTTTGTTGAGTACCTGCTTTATGTCATGTACTAACGTGGGTGCTAAGGATATGGTATTGAATCATAAACATTCCTGTTCTTATGCTGCTTAAATCTAGGAAAAGGATTTCTTTTTCTTTCTATAGGAAGATTTTTTTGGTAATATTAGAATCATTTTTATCAAGTTTGTATTAGAATGATTTTATCTTTCAAAAGTTAACTGAAGGCATTTTCCACTTCTTCCTTGGAAAGAAATAGATTAAATTAATCTTCTGTTCTTTGAAAGATGGGTCAAACATGGTGATGACCCTATTTGGTCGTGATGCCTTTTTGAATGGTGGACTTTTAGTTGCTTTTCCAAATTTTATGGTGATTGGTGTATTTGAGTTTTCCATTTCTTTTAGGTTACTTTAAAAAAATTGTGTTTTTCAGGGAAGGCATTAATTTTTACAGCATTTCAAATGT
The DNA here is from genome assembly GCF_000001405.40 of Homo sapiens. Taxonomy (NCBI): domain Eukaryota; kingdom Metazoa; phylum Chordata; class Mammalia; order Primates; family Hominidae; genus Homo; species Homo sapiens. The sequence continues at coordinate 90,665,654 of NC_000010.11, read as the reverse complement.
GTTTCCTTACATTTTCATGCAGCATTCTCTTGTAATTCTTTTAATTGCTCCTGCATCTGTGCTTCTATTTCTCTCAACTCTAATATTGCTCTATTTTTGCTCTGTTGTTTTGTCTTGTTCATGATCCTGCTGAAAAAGTTTACCTATTTTTTTCTCTAAAGAACCAGATTGCATAGTTATTTGTCTTTCTTTATCCTTTCTATTCGTTGTTTTCTATTAGTTTCAGCTATTATTGTAATTAGTTTCTTCTTCATTGATACTTATTTCATCTTGTGGTTCTTTAATTGGTTATTTTTTTCCTTTTGTTTTTAGTAGATATGTAATAACTGTACATGTTCAAGGGATACAAAGTGATATTTCAATACATGTATATAATATGTAATGATCAAATCAGGGTAACTATCATGTCAATCATCTTGGATATTTATTATTCTTTAATGTTGTAAACATTCAAAATCCTCTCTTCTAGCTCTTCGGAAGTGTACAGTAAATTACTATTAACTATATTCATTCTACAGGGCTACAGAACACGAGAACTAATTTCATCGAGGTGTAACTTGGTATCCATTAACTAAACTCTCTCTCTCCTCTCCTGGCTACCCTCCCTACCCTCTCATAATTATGATTCTACTTTCTACTTCTATGAACTCATTTTTTTTTTTTTTTAGTTTCCACAGGAGTGAGAACATGCAGTATTTATCTTTCTGTGCCTGAATTATTTCACATAACATAACGTCCCCCAGGCTCATCCATGTTGCCATAAATGACAGGATTTCATTTTTAAATGGATGAATAGTATTCCATTGTTTATATATACACCACATTTTTTATCCATTCATTTGTTGATGGACATTTATGTTGAGTTCGTATCTTAGCTATTGTAAACACAGCTGCAAGAAACATGAGTGTGTGAGTGTCTCTTCAATATACTGATTTTCTTTCCTTTGGATACATACCCAGTAATAGTATTACTGAATCTTATGGTAGGTAGTTCTATTTTTAGTCACTTGAGAAACCTCCATACTGTTTTTTTTTAATAACTATACTAATTTACATTCTCATCAACAGTTTGTGAGAGTTTCCTTTTCTCTGTATCCTATGCAGAATTTGTTGTTTTTTTTTTTTTGGTCTCGTTGATGATAGCCACTCTAACTGGCATAAAATAGCTCCTTGTGGTTTTGATTTGCATGTTTCTCATGATTAGTGACATTGTGTGTGATGTGCATTTTTCCATGTATTTGTTGTGCATTTGTATGTCTTTTGAGAAATGTTTATTCAGACCTTTTTGTCATTTTTAAATTATTATTTTTTTGCTATTGAGTTATTTAAGCTCCTTAAATATTCTAATTATTAATCTCTTATGAGATGAATAGTTTGCAAATATTTCCTTCCATTCTATGGGCTGTCCCTTTACTTTTTTGCTCGTTTTCTTTGCTGTGCAGAAGGTTTTTAACTTGATTTAATCCCATGTGTTTATTTTTGCTTTGATTGCCTGTATTTTAGAAGTCTTACCCAAAACGTATTTGCCCAGACCAATTTTCTAGAGCTTTTCTCTAATGTTTTACTATAGGTGTTTCATAGTTTCAGGTCTCACATCTGAGTCTTTAATCCATTTTGATTTGATTTTTGCATATGGTTGGAGATAGAGGTCTAATTTCATTCTTCTGCATATGGTTATCTGGTTTTACCAGCACCATATGTTGAAGAGACTTTCATTTCTCACTTGATGACTTTGTCAAAAATGAGTTGGCTGGAAATGTGTGGATTTATATTTGTATTCTCTAGTCTGTCCCGTTGGTCTATGTCTCTGTTTTTATGCCAGTATCATGCTGATTTGATTACTATAGCTTTGTAGTATATTTGAAGTTAGGTAGTGTGATACCTTCAGTTTTGTTCTTTTGTTCAGGATTGCTTTAGCTATTCAGGGCCTTTTGTAGTTTTATATAAATTCTGGGATTTTTTGGTCTGTTTTTTAGAAGAATGTGATTGGTATTTTAATACGGATTGCATTGAATCTGTAAATTGTTTCAGAGAGTATTGTTATTTTAACAATATTAATTCTTCCAATCCATAAGTACGGAATATGTTTTCATTATTTTGTGTCCTCTTTAATTTCTTTTAATACTGTTTTATAGTTATTTACTTTTTTGGCTAAATTGATTCCTAGATACTTTATAGACTTTGTAACTATTGCAAATGGGATTAATATCTTGATTTTTTTTTCAGATTGTTCACTCTTGTCATATATAAATGCTACTGACTTTTTCATGTTGATTTTAGATCTTATAATCTTACTGAATTAATGTATAATGTATAAGTTTTGGTGGAGTCTTTAGCTTTTTCTAAGTATACGATTATGTTATCTGCAAACAAGGCTAATTTGATTTCTTCCTTTCCAGTTTGGATGCCCTTTATTTTTTGTCTTGTCTAATTTCTTTGGATAGGACTTCCAGTGTTATGTAGATTAAAGTGGTGAAAGTGGGTATCATTGTCTTGTTCTAGATCTCCTGGGTTCTCTATTCTGTTCCATTGGTCTATATGTCTGCTTTTATGCCAGAACCATGGTGTTTTGGTTACTATACCTCTGTAGTGTAATTTGAAGTCAGGTAATATAATTATTCCAGTTTTGGTCTTTTTGCTTAGGATACCTTTGGCTATTCTGGGTCTTTTGTGGTTCCATATAAATTTTAGGATACTTTTTTATATTTCTGTGAAGAATGTCACTTTATAGGGATTGCATCAAATCTATGGTTTGCTTTGAGTAGTACAAACATTTTTAACACTATTGATTCTTCCAATCCATAAACATGGAATATTTTTCCATTTTTTGGTATCTTCTTCATTTTCCTCTATCAGTGTGTTATAGTTATCATTACAGAGATCTTTCACTTCTTTGGTGAAGTTAATTCCTAGGCATTTAATTTTATGTGTGGCTGTTGTGAGATTACTTTTTGATTTCCTTTTCTGATTATTCACTTTTGACATATAGAAATGCTACTGATTTTTGTTGTTGATTTTGTATCCTGCAACTTTACTGAATTTGTTGATCAGTTCTAATAGTTTTCCTGTGTAGTCTTTAGGTTTTTCCAAATATAAGATCATATTATCCACACACAAGGATGATTTGACTTCTTTCTTTCCAATGTGGATGTTCTTTATATCTTTCTCTTGTCTTACTGCTCTAGCTAGGACCTCCAGTACTACGTGGAATAACAGTGTTGACAGTGGGCATCATTGTCATGTTCCAGGTCTTAGAGGAAAGGCTTTTAGTTTTTCACCATTCAGCATGATACTAGCTAAGAATATGTGGCATATGGCTTTTATTATGTTGAGGTAAGTTTCTTCTATCCCCAGTTTTTTAAGGATTTTTATCCTGAAAATGTTGAATTTTATCAAATGCTTTTTCAGCATCAACTTAAATGATCATATGGCTTTTAGCCTTCATTCTGTTGATATGATGTATCATATTGATTGATTTGTATATGTTGAACCATTCTTATATGCTAGGGATAAATCCCACTTGGTCATGATAAATGATATATTTAATGTATTGTTGAATTCAGTTTGCTAGCATTTTGAGGATTTTTTGCATCAACATTCATCAGAGATATCAGCCTACAGTTTTCTTTTTATTTTTTTTTACTGTGTCTTTTTTTGTTTTTGGCATCAGGCTGATACCAGCCAGGTAGAATGCATTTGGGAGTATTCCCTCCTCTTCTATTTTCAGGAACAGTTTGAGTAGAATTGGTACTCAATCAATTTAATGTTTGGTAAAATTCAACAGCGAGCCATTGGTTCCTGGGATTTTCTTTACCAGGAGACTTTTTATTATGGCATTGATCTTGTTACTTGTTATTGGTCTGTTCAGGCTTTGGACTTCTTTCTGGTTCAATCTTGGTAGGTGTATGTGATATGTTTTAGATTTGTGTCCCCACCCAAATCTCATGTCAAATTGTAATTTCCAATGTTGGGGGAGGGTCCTGATGGGAGGTGATTGGATCATGGGGGTGGATTTCTCCCTTGTTGTTCTAGTGATAGTGAGAGAGTTCTCATGAGATCAAGTTGTTTAAAAGTGTGTAGCACCTCCCCATTCTCTCTTTTCTTCCTGCTTCATCCAGGTAAGATGTGCTTGCTTTTCCTTCTGCTATGATTGAAAGTTTCCTTAGGCCTCCCTAGACATGCTTCCTATACAGCCTGTGGAGCCATGAGCCAATTAATTCTCATTTCTTTATAAATTACCCAGTCTCAGTTATTTCTTTATAGCAGTGTGAGAATGGACTAATACATATATGTCTAGGAATTTGTCTATTTCTTCTCTTTATTCCAGTTTATCGGCAAATAGTTGGTTACAGAAGCCACTAACAATCCTTTGAATTTCTGTAGTATCAGTTGTAATGTCTCCTTTTTCATTTCTGATTTTATATGTCTCTTCTCTTTTTTTTTTTTTTTTTTTGATCTGGCTAAAGGTTTGTCAGTTTTAACTTTTCAAGAAACCCACTTTTTGTTTCATTGATCTTTTGTATTTTTTTATTTCAATTTCATTTATTTCTGCTCTGATCTTTAGTACTTATTTTCTTTTAATTTTGGGTTTGGTTCTTGCTGTCTTGGTTTTTTAAGTTGAATCATTAGATTGTTTATTTGAAGTTTTTTTTTCCCTTTTTTGATGTTGGCATTTATAGCTATATTCTTCCCTCTTAGTACTACTTTTGCTGTATTCCATAGGTTTTGTTATGCAGTGTTCCCATTATCATTTGTTTCAAGAAATTTTTCAATTTCCTTCTTAATTTCTTCATTGACCTATTGGCCATTCAGGAGCATGTTGTTTAATTTTCATGTATTTGTATAGTTTCCAAAATTCCTCTTTTATTAATTTCTAGTTTTATTCCATTGTAGTCAGAGAACATGCTTGACATTATTTCAATTTTTTGAAAGTTTTAAGACTTCTTTAGTGACCTAATATATAGTCTATCCTTGAGAGTAATCCACGGGCTGAGGAAAAGAATGTGTATTCCGCAGCTGCTGGATGAAATGTTCTGTAAATAAGTATTATATCCATTTGGTCTAACAAATTATTTTAAAGATATGACAACTTATCTTAGATCACAAAGGAAAGAATAAAAACAAACAAAGTGTAGAATTTTTCTTTTGTTTTTAAACTTCATTCCCTCCACATCTTGACTTTATGTTGTTTCAATTTACAAATTTTTATATTGCTTATTTCTTAACAAGTTGCACTAGCTATTGTTGTTTTTGATAAATTTGTCTTTTTTGGCTTCATGGAGTTATTAGTGGATTGCACATCACAATTATGGTATTAGAATGTCTTGGGCTTTTCATGTACTTAATTTACTGGTGGGTTTTCTACCTTCAAATGTTTTCCTTGTGCATGGTAGTGACTGTTACTTTTAGATTGAAGAACTGTCTTTATCATTTCTTGTAAGATAGATCTGGTGGTGGTAAATTCTCTCAGCTTTTGTTTGTCTGAGAAAGATTTTATTTTTTCTTCATAGTTAAAAAATAACTTGCTGGATATAGTATTCCTGAATGGCAGTTTTTTTTTTCTTTCAGTACTTTGAAAATGTCATTCTATTTTCTCCAGGCCTGTATCATTTCCATTGAGCAGTCTGTTGCCAGAAAAATTGGAGCTCCTTTACATGATGCTTGGTTCTTTTCTTTTCTTTTTGCTTTTAGAACCTTCTCTTTGTCCTTGACCTTTGAGAATTTAATTATTATATGCCTTGGGATAGCCTTATTTGGGTTGAATCTGTTTGGTGTTCTCACCTTTCTGTACCTGGATATTTATCTCTTTCTCAAGTTTTGAAAAGTTTTCTATTGTTATTTCTTTGAATAATCTTTCTACCCTTGCTCTTGCTCTATTTCCTCTTGAACGCCAATAATTAAATTTCTTTTTTTGAGGTAATTTTCTATATCTAATAGGCGATCTTCATTTCTTTTCATTCTGTTTTCTGTTTTTCTCCTCTGACTATGTGTTTTTAAATAGCTTGTCTTTGAGCTCACTGATTCTTTCCTCTGTGATTCCTCTTTCACTGATCCATTCTGTTACTGGTCTACCTATAATAACTTCTGTAGTTTAGCTAATGTATTTCTCAGTTATGAGATTTCTGTTTCATTTAAAAAATTATTTCAATCTCTGTTAAATTTCTCTGACAATAAATTTCTGAATTACTTTTCTGTCTTACCTTTGAGATTACTAAATTTCCATAAAATTGCTATTTTGAATTATTGGTCCAAGAGTTCACATATCCCATCTCATTAGGGTCAGTCACTGGTTCCTTGCTTTGTTTGTTTGGTCAATGGCTCCCATTTTTGCTGTTGTTCCCTGTGGATGTACATGTATAACATTGCATGGAAGGATTAACTATTTATTTCAGTCTTCTCTGTCTGGCTCTTTTTGGTTTTTATTGGATGTGTTTGCTTAGAGATTCTTCGTAATTTAGCTGTTGATTTTTTTCCCCTTCTAGGTCACTGCCCCCTTTTTAGCACTAAATGATGCCTTAAACCCTGGTTTGCCTTGGTTCTAGTAAGCAATCAGAGTGGTGCCCATCCTGAATGGGGAATATCCCACAGGGGATATCCTGGTAGTGAGGGAACACTGGCTAAGGGTTTGTGCCCAGGGGGATTGTGGAGTGAACCACCCACAGGTGGTGCTCCTGAGCAGCCACTGTGATATGGCATCTCCTTTGGCTGTTACAGAGCAGAGATTCCAGAGCTGGGAATGGTTGTTTCAGATTCCAGAACTGGGAATGGTAATTTCACCTCCACCCTTTGTCTTTGGCTGTCCTCAGAGATATTTCTCCCTTCAGGCCCTCCTGATCCGTCTTGCAGTTTGAGACAGAGACAGATATCCTGCCAGGGATCCCAAGATGGTGGGCAAGCTAGTTGTCCTCCTTGATCTCACTTTTTCCAGTGTAGAAAATGTGAGTCAGAGAGAAATTTTCTGGGCATTTGGTGCTAGGCAGATTGGGGAGAGGGGCATTGCAGATATGAAAGGCTCATTCTCTTACAGTCTGCTCAGAATTTTTTTCAGTTCACTGTGGTCTGATACCTGTCTCTGGCTCATATTTGAGTTCTGAAATATCACTGGTGATAATCGTAGTATATTTGTTTTTTGTCCTCTGAGGTAGGGGAGAGAAGCCAGCTTGTATCTACACCACAATTTTGGAACCAACTATCAAATGCCTTTTACTCCATCCCTGTTTAGAAGGCTTGCTAGAAGCAGTTTTCTTTCAGCTGGCAGGGCCAGTAATATACCTTCACTTTCCTACTTCAGGAGTATATTAACTCTCCAGCACTATGTCATAATTTAGTTTGTAGGGACCTTGATCACCTTTCCCTTTTACAGCATATCACACTGGTCCATTACATTGACAATATTATGCTAATTAGGCTTGGTGAGTGAGAAATAACAACAACTTTAGATTTATTGGGAAGATATTTGCATGTCAGGCCATGAAAAATCTGACTAAAATTCAGGGGCCTGTTCTCTCCATAAAATTTCTAGGGGTCCAGTGGTGTGGATCATGTCAAAATATCCCTTTTAAGGTGAAGGACAGTTGTTGCATCTGGCCTCTTTTACAACCAAGAAAGAGACACAACACCTAGTGAACCAATTTGGATTTGAGCGGCAACACATTGCTCATTTGGGTGCACTACTCTGGCCCACTTACCAATTGACCTAAAAAGCTGCTAATTTTGAGTGGGGCCCAGAACAAGGGGAGGCTCTGCAGCAGGTTTAGGTTACTGTGGCTTCTCTGCCACTTGAACCATGTCATTCATGAGATCCAGTGGTGCTTGAAGTGTCAGAGGCAGGTAGGGATGCAGTTGACAGGCCCCCATAGGTGGATAACACTGTGGGTCTTTAGGAGTTTGAAGCAATGTCCTGCCTTTATCCATAGATAACTATTTTCCTTTTGAGAGATAGCTCTTGGTCTGCTACTGGGCCTTAGTAGAAACTGAACACTTGACCATGGGCCACCAAGTTACCCTATGACCTGAGCTGCCCATCATGAATTTGGTGTTCTGTGACTCATCAAGTCATAAAGTTGGACATGCACAGCAGCACCATCGTCAAATGGAAGTAGTATGTACATGATCCAGCCTGAAGAGGTCATGAAGTTACAAGTAAGTTAAATAAGGAAGTGGCCCCAAATGCTGATGGTTTGTTCTGCTACAAGACCTTCTCTCTCCTAGCCTACACCTGTGGCCTCATGGAGAGTACCTTATGATAAGTTGAGAGAGGAAGAGAAGACTAGGGCCTGGTTTACAGATGATTCTGCACGATATGCAGGTACAATCCAAAAGCGGACAGCTGCAGCACTATCCCCTCCTTTCTGGGACATCCCTGAAAGACAGTGGTGAAGGGAAATCTTCCCAGTGGGCAGATCTTTGGTAAGTCCACCAGCTTTTGCACTTTGTTGGAAGGAAAAATGGCCACATACGTTATTATATTCTCATTTATGGACTGTAGCCAATGGTTTGGCATGATAGTCAGAGATTTGGAAGGAACATAATTGGAAAATTGGTGACAAAGAAATATGTGAAAGATGTATGTGGATATACCTCTCCGAATAGGTAAAGCATATGAAGATATTTCTGTCTTAGATGAATGCTCCCCAAAGGGTAGCTTCAGAAGAGGAGGACTTTAATAATCCAGTAGATAGAATGACCCATTTTGTCAATACCAGTCAGCCTCCTTCCCCATCTACTCTCCATTATTGCCCAGTGAGCTCATGAACAAAGTGGCCATGGTGGCAGAGACTGAAGCTTTTAATGAGCTCAGCAAGGTGGACTTCCACCACAAAGGCTGGCCTGGCTCTAGCAACTTCTGAGTACCCAATCTGCCGGCAGCTGAGATCAACATTGAGCCCCCACTATGAAACCATTCCCCAGGGTGATAACATGGCTACCTGGTTGCAGCTTGATTACATTGAACTACCTCCATCATAGAAAGGGCTGTGTTTTTCTTTATTAGAATAGACACTCTGGATACGCCTTCTATGCATGCAATGCTTCTACCAAAACTACCATTCATGAACTTACAAAATACCATTCATGAACTTACAGAACTATCATTAATGAACTTAAACATACCTTGTTCAGCATCATGGTACTCCACAGAGCAGCATCACTTCTGACCTGGAAACTCACTTCACAGGCAAAGAAGCATGGCAATGGGTTCGTGCTCATGGAATTCCCTGATCTTAGCAAGTTTTCCATTATCCTAAAGTAGCTGGTTTAATAAGACAATGGGATGGTTTTTTGAAGACTGTTACAGTGCCAGCTTGATGATAATACTTTGCTGAGCTGGGGCAATGTTGTTCAGAGGCTGTAAAAACTCTGAATCAGTGTCTAATATATGATACTGTTTCTCCTATAGCCAGGATTCATGGGTCCAGGAATCACGGGGTGGAAATGGGAGTGGCATCAGTCACCATTACCCCTAGTGACCCCCTAGCAACATTTTTGATTCCTGTTTCAGTAAGTATGCTCTGCTGGACTAGAGGTCTTAATTCTAGAGGAAGTAGAACTTCCACTGGGAGACACAATGATTCCGTTGAATTGGCAGTTAAGATTGCCACCTGGCTATATTGGGCTTCTGATGCCTCTGAGTCAACAGGATATGGAGGGGAGTTATGGTGTTGGCTGGGGTAATTGATCCAGAATACCAAGAGGGAATTGGACTACTACTCCATAATGGAGGTAAGGAAGAGTATGTCTGCAATACAAGAGATCCCTTAGGGTTTCTCTTAGTATTACCATCCCCTGTGACTACGGTCAATGAAACCACGATAACCCAATCTAAATAGGTCTATGAATGACCCACACCTTTCAGGAATGAAGGTTTGGGTAACTCTGCCATATAAAAAGCACCAGCTGAGGTGCTTGCTGAAGGCAAAGGGAATATAGAATCAGTAGTAGAAGGTAGTTATAAATACAAGTAGTGACCACATGAGCAATTAAAAAAACAGGCTATAATTGCCATGAGTATTTCCTCCTTATTCTGTTAAAATATGTTTGTGCCTATATATACATATATCAAGCAAATATCTTTGATTTTGTTCCTTTCTTATTCTTTTATCATGTAACATAAGATGTAATGAGTTCATATCAGTATTTAAGTATTATTAATTTTGCATCACAGTACTTAAGTTATGGGATATTAGGAGAAGAGTAAACATCACTCAGGGACTTCACTTCCTCTTCTGGAGAAGGGATAAGTGCATTTTTCGTAGTATACAGGTTAGTTGTATCTTGTTAGATTGAACTATGACCTTGTTATTATCTTTATTTGGAGACTCAATGTGGTTTAAGAAGATGCAAATGGGTGGCAAGTTGACTGGGTTTGGCATTGTGGTGGTTAATTTTAGGTGTCAGTTTGACTGGATTAAGAGAGACCCAGATATCTGGTAAAGCATTATTTCTGGATGTATCTGTGAGTGTGTTTCTGGAAGAGACTGGCATTTGAATCAATGGACTAAGTAAGGAAAAGCCACTTCACTCAATATGGGTGGGGACCATCTAATCAGCCAGGGTTCCACGTAGAACAAAAAGGCAGTGGAAAGGTGAATTTGCACTCTCTTTCTCTTCTGGAACTGAGACACCCTTCTTTTGCCATCCTAGGATATCAGAACTCCAGGTTCTTTGGCCTTTGGACTCTGGGACTTACACCAGTGGCTCCCAGGTTCTTGGGCCTTGAGCCTCAGACTGAGGGTTACACCATGGGCTTCCCTTGTTCTTATGCCTTTGGACTTGATGGGGCCATATTACTAGCTTCCCTGGTTCTCTAGCTTGTAGATGGTCTATCATGGGACTTCTTAGCCTCCATAATTTTGAGAGCCAATTCCCCTAATAAATCACCTCTCCTATATCTACCTTCTATATATTCTATTGGTTCTCTTTTTAGAGAACCCTAATACACTAATATAGAATTAAAGTTTGTGAGGAAAACTGTAAGGCTTTTTGTCCTAGCTTTAGTCATGTTTTATGTATTTTTTGTGGCTTTTATAGAAAAAGCTTTTAAATTTTGCTGATAAATCATAATGCCTTACATTTATATAATACTTGACAGTTTATCTGCAGCATTGTGATTGAAAACAGGTAATAGCATAACAACGCTGCTGCTGATTTAAATGATTATCTGACGTTTTCTTGGCTAATAAGTGGTACAGACTGAAATCAAATTCTCTCGTCTGAATATCATTTCTGTTTTTTTTTTCTTTTTATTGAGATGGAGTCTCACTCTGTCACCCAGGCTGGAGTGCAGTGGTGCGATCTCAGCTCACTGCAATCTCTGCCTCCCAGGTTCAAGCGATTCTCTGCCTTAGCCTCCCGAGTAGTTGGGACTACATGCGTCCACCACCAGGCCCGACTAATTTTTGTATTTTTAGTAGAGATGAGGTTTCACCATGTTGGCCAGGCTGGTCTCGAACTCCTTACCTCAGGTGATCTGCCTCCCAAAGTGTTGGGATTACAGGAGTGAGCCACTGTGCCTGGCCTTAAATAACTTACTTTATTGAGGGTTAACACAACAAACATCAATACCTGCATTTTAAAAATATAATCTCCAAATAATTTCTGGGTGAATTATATTCATTATGTTTTCAATGAATATATGTAAGTGTGTTTATATATGTGTGTATATATATGTATATATGTGTGTATATATGTATACATATGTGTGTGTATATATGTATGTGTATATATGTATATATGCACACATATACATATATGTCACCCTATTATGTGCCATGCATTGTTCTGAGTGCCACCCATAAAATGGCAAACAAAAACATAGTTTCTGCTCTCATTCAGTTTATAATGTAGTGAGAAAGCTATCCATTAGTAAAAAAAATCACATATACACATGTAATGTAAAAACCAAGAAGTACATATGATAAGAGGATTTTACATTGTTAGCAAGATTAGAAAAGTCTTCCCAAGGAAATGGTGATAAGGTGAGATCAGAAAGAAGAGTTTCTATTAGCCAAGCAAAGGAGAATTAAGTTGGGAGAGGAGCCTTTAAAACAGAGAAACTAGCATATGGCAAGCCCCTGTGTCAGAAGGAATTCTTCAGATTAACAGACTGAAATCAGATTAGTGTTGCCAGAGCTCAGAAAATAAGGGAGAGTGTGTGAGGGGAAGCTGCAAGGCAAGTGGAGACTCGATGACACAGGACTCTGAGAGACACTTAAAGATTTTGGTCTTTACTTTAGAGTTACAGGAAGCCAACTAAGAGTGTTAAGAGGGGTGTGCGTGTGTGTGTGTGTGTGTGTGTGTGTGTGTGTGTTGATGGCATTGTGTTCACTTAACAAACATCTCTCTGGCTGAGGTGGAAAGAATGGATTGGAAGAAGGCCAGAGTGGATGTAGGTAAACCAGTTGAAGAGACAATGGTGGTTGAATTAGGTTGGTGGCAGCAGAGAGAGAGAGAAGGAGCATATTTGTGAGGTATTTAGAAGGTTGAAGTAATAGGACATGATTAATTATATAGACAGGCTGAGGGAGAGGAACTTTTAAGGATGAACTCTAAATTTCTAGTTTGAATAGCTGGGTTTATGGTAGATTCACTTATAGATTTAAGGAACACCAGAAGAAACACAGTTTAGGGGGATTAAGATTATAAATTTAGCAGAATATACTCAATTTGGGGTGTCTTTTAGACACCATAAAGGAAATGTGAAGTAGTATTTGGCTGCATATGCTCAAGGAGTCACCTGGACTGGAGATAAAACATGGTGAGTCATCTACCTACAGATGGCCATTGAAATCATGGGTGTAGTTTTCTGATCATCATGGCTGAAGATAGTCTCTCTTGTGCTTTCCTGGGCATTTATTTCCTGAACTCTTTTGACCACTATATCTAGAAGATTTAGGAGCAAACATCAACATTAGCTGGATCTCTGCAGACACCAGTAGAGGGTGCCTAAGAGCTTGCCTGTACCAACTGCACTTGCATTCTAGAAATGTGAGGTAAGAAAAACAGGTAGACTGGATAGTCTAGCCCTACTAAGGCAAGGATGTGTGTTAATTTCTCCTCTATTCAGATACTATCCTGTAAATAAGAAGGGAATGTAGAGAATTTTGAAACTGGGGAAAATGGGCAAAACTTCTCTTGAGGAGTTAGAACTTTGAATTGACTATTCAAAATATTTTGTTACATTGAAAGAGGCTTTTTATTTATTTAGGTTTTAGACAGCAACTTATATTGAAGTGGTAGTGTACAGCAGTAGCAGTGGTACTGCTCCTTTTCGAGCAGGGCTACCATACAGGCAGTGTGTCCAGAGTGGCAGCTCAGAAGCAGTTCTGCTGACATATTTATACCCACTTTTAATTATATGCAAATTAAAGGGCAGTTCATGCAGAAATTTCTAGGATACAAGTGGAAACTTCCAGGCCATGGGATAGTTGCCATGGAAAGGGATGGTAACTTCTTGGTGTTGCTATGGCAATGGTGAACCAACACAGCACACTGGTGGGCGTGTCTAATGTAGAACTGCTTCTACCCTGGTCCTGTATTAGCTAGTCCTCAATCTGGTCCAGTATTCGAATTCCCACCTCTGGAGTCAAGTCCCCCCTTCTACCTCACTGTCTTCACTGACTGACACACGGAGCCATTTCTAGCCCACTAGGCCCACGCATCCTTACATCTGTCTTAGCAAAATGCTGCAGTCCTCTCACGTCCCTTAAATCATGATCTTCTTTCTTCTCTGTAGATAGACCACTCTTATTCATGGGGGTGTCACAATCATCTCTTTGTCTGAAGGAAGCTTTTAAAAATCTGAGACTTACTTACCTTAAATTGTCAAATTTAAGTATTTTTTCCAACACTGGTAGAAATGGGAGCCTCATAAAGATGAAATCAGACCTGGGAAAAGTAGATCTGATTTGTTTGTTGTTATTGCAAATCTCAGTTGTATTGCAGCATTGTGCAAATCAATGCCCTGCTACACCATAATTTAAAAATCTAGGTTTTTCTGATCCTTTAGCTTATTAAAAACCTTACTGTGTCTTACAGAGTTCATAGAGTTAATTAGTAGCAGAACTGAAGAACCAAGTTCTTGCTACCATGTTTTAAGAACTATCATAAGATAAAACTTGTGCTCTTTCTAAATGTGTTTTCCTGGATATTTTATATTCATTTTATGTTAATCATGTAATAAAGAATATTTGGTTTGATATACAAATAGTTAACTTTTGTGTACTTTTGTATATAAACAACTAGTGGTTGTGCATATATAAATTAAATACAGTCATGTGCTGCATAATGACATTTTGGTCAATGACAAACTGCATATTATGGTGATCCTATAAGATTACAATGGAGCTGAAAAATTCCTATTGATTAGTATATACTGTGCTATACTTATCATTATTATAGTTAACTGTAAAATAGCCTCAAGTAGTTCCTTCAAGAGGTATTCCAAAACAAGGCATTGCTATCATGATTGTGCAACTGCGCTCCAGCCTGAGTGTCACAGCAAAACCCTGTCTCAAAAAAAATTAAATAATTAAAAATTAGAAGGCTTTCCAGCATGATAACACAGGAGATGACAGCTCCATTTCTATTACTGTCCCTGGAGACCTTCCAGTAGGAAAAGATGCAGAAGTAGAAGACAGTGATACTAATAATCTTGACTCTGTGTAGGCCTTACCATGAACGGAGCTTGCAGGACTGGAAATTGCTCTGGGTGAGTGAATGAGTGAGTGGTGAGTGAATGTGAAGGCCTAGCACATTACTGTACACTACTGTAGACTTTATAAACACTGTACACTTAGATACACTAAAATTGTATAAAATATTTTTCTTTCTTCAATAATAAATTAACCTTAGCTTACTGTACCTTTTTTCTTTATAAACTTTTAATTTTTAAAAAACTTTTTGACTTCTTATAATAGCACAGCTTAAAACAAAAACATATTGTACAGCTGTGCAAAAATATTTTCTTTCTTTTTATCCTTATTTTTTAAGCTTATCCTATTTTTATTTTTTTTTCTTTTTAAACTTTTTTTTGTGAAAAACTAACACACAAACACAGTAGCTTAGCATCATTATTTGCAATAGCTAAAATATAGAAGCAACCCAATCGTCCATCAACGGATGAATAGAAAAGCAAAATGTTGTATATAATACAATGGATTATCATTTTGTCTTATAAATATAGGAAGACAATTCCGACACATGTTACAACATGGATGAACTGTTAGGATTTTATGCTAAGTGAAATAAGCCAGTCACAAAAAGATAAATATGGTATGATACTACCCATATGACATACGTAGAGAACTCAAAATTATAGAGACAGAAAGTAGAATGGTAGTTGCCATGGGCTGGGAGGAGAGTAGAATGAGAGGCTATCATTTAATTAGTATAAAGTTTCAATTTTGTAAGATAAAAAGAGATCTAAAGATGGATAGTGGTAACGGTTGCCCAACAATATGAATGTGCTTAATGCCACTGAACTGTGTACTTAAAAATGGTTAAGATATAATCTGGTACCAGCCACTGCAAAAACATGCCAAATTGTAAAGACCATCGATGCTATGAAGAAACTGTATCAATTAACAGGCAAAATAACCAGCTAACATCATAATGACAGGATCAAATTCGCACATAACAATATTAACTTTAAATGTAAATGGGCTAAATGGCCCAATTAAAAGACACAGACTGGCAAATTGGATAAGAGTCAAGACCCATCAGTGTGCTGTATTCAGGAGACCCATCTCACATGCAGAGACACACATAGGCTCAAAATAAAGGGATGGAGGAAGATCTACCAAGCAAATGGAAAGCAAAAAAAAGCAGGGTTTACAATCCTAGTCTCTGATAAAACATACTTTAAACCAACAAAGATCAAAAGAGAAGTCAGTGTGGTGATTCCTCAGGGATCTAGAACTAGAAATACCATTTGACCCAGCCATTCCATTACTGGGTATATACCCAAAGGACTATAAATCATGCTGCTATAAAGACACATGCACACGTATGTTTATTGCGGCATTATTCACAATAGCAAAGACTTGGAACCAACCCAAATGTCCAACAATGATAGACTGGATTAAGAAAATGTGGCACATATACACCATGGAATACTATGCAGCCATAAAAAATGATGAGTTCATGTCCTTTGTAGGGACATGGATGAAACTGGAAATCATCATTCTCAGTAGACTATCGCAAGACCAAAAAACCAAACACCGCATATTCTCACTCATAGGTGGGAATTGAACAATGAGAACACATGGACACAGGAAGGGGAACATCACACTCTGGGGACTGTTGTGGGGTGGGGGGAGGGGGGAGGGATAGCATTGGGAGATATACCTAATGCTAGATGACGAGTTAGTGGGTGCAGCACACCAGCATGGCACATGTATACATATGTAACTAACCTGCACATTGTGCACATGTACCCAAAACTCAAAGTATAATAATAATAAATAAAAAAAAAGAGAGACAAAGAAAGTCATTACATAATGGTAAAGGGATAAATTCAACAAAAAGAACTAACTATTCTAAATATACATGCACCCAATACAGGAACACCCAGATTCATAAAGCAAGTCCTTGGAGATCTACAAAGAGACTTAGACTCCTACACAATAATAATGGGAGACTTTAACACCCCACTGTCAATATTAGACAGATCAACGAGACAGAAGGTTAACAAGGATATCCAGGACTTGAGTTCAGCTCTGCACCAAGCAGACCTAATATACATCTACAGAACTCTCCACCCCAAATTGACAGATCATACATTCTTCTCAGCACCACGTCGCACTTATTCTAAAATTGACCACATAATTGGAAGTAAAGCACTCCTCAGCAAATGTAAAAGAACAGAAATCACAACAAACTGTCTCTCATACCACAGTACAATCAAATTAGAACTCAGTATTAAGAAAATCACTCAAAACCACACAACTACATGGAAACTGAACAACCTGCTCCTGAATGGCTACTGGGTAAATAATGAAATGAAGGCAGAAATGAAGATGTTCTTTGAAACCAATGAGAACAAAGATACAACATACCAGAATCTCTGGGACATATTTAAACCAGTGTGTAGAGGGAAATTTATAGCACTAAATGCCCACAAGAGAAAGCAGGAAAGGTCTAAAATCGACAGCCTAACATCACAATTAAAAGAACTAGAGAAGCAAGAGCAAACACATTCAAAAGCTAGCAGAAGGCAAGAAATAACTAAGATCAGAGCAGAAATGAAAGAGATAGAGACACAAAAAACCCTTCAAAGAATCAATGAATCCAGGAGCTGTTTTTTTGAAAAGATCAACAAAATTGATAGACCACTAGCAAGACTAATAAAGAAGAAAAGAGACAACAATCAAATAGACAATAAAAAATGATAAAGAGGATATCACCACGAATCCCACAGAAATACAAACTACCATCAGAGAATACTATAAACACCTCTATGCAACTAAACTAGAAAATCTAGAAGAAATAAATGAATTCCTGGACACATACACCCTCCCAAGACTAAACCAGGAAGAAGCTGAATCTCTGAATAGACCAATAACAGGTTCTGAAATTGAGGCAATAATTAATAGCTTACCAACCAAAAAAAGTCCACGACCAGACGGATTCACAGGCGAATTTTACCAGAGGTACAAAAAGGAGCTGGTACCATTCCTTCCAAAACTATTCCAATCAATAGAAAAAGAGGGAATCCTCCCTAACTCATTTTATGAGGCCAGCATCATCCTGATACCAAAGCCTGGCAGAGACACAACAAAAAAGGAGAATTTTAGGCCAATATCCCTGATGAACATTGATGCAAAAATCCTCAATAAAATACTGGCAGACTGAATCCAGCAGCACATCAAAGAGCTTATCCACCACGATCAAGTCAGCTTCATCCCTGGGATGCAAGGCTGGTTCAACATACGCAAATCGATAAACGTAATCCATCATATAAACAGAACCAACGACAAAAACCACATGATTATCTCAATAGATGCAGAAAAGGCCTTCAACAAAATTCAACAGTCCTTCATGCTAAAAAGTCTCAATAAATTAGGTATTGATGGAATGTATCTCAAAATAATAAGAGCTATTTATGACAAACCCACAGCCAATATCATACTTAATGGGCAAAAACTGGAAGCATTCCCTTTGAAAACTGGCACAAGACAAGAATGCCCTCTCTCACCACTCCTATTCAACGTACTATTGGAAGTTCTGGCCAGGGCAATCAGGCAAGAGAAAGAAATAAAGGGTATTCAATTAGGAAAAGAGGAAGTTAAATTGTCCTTGTTTGCAGATGACATGATTGTATATTTAGAAAACCCCATCATCTTAGCCCCAAATCTCCTTAAGCTGATAAGCAACTTCAGCAAAGTCTCAGGATACAAAATCAGTGGGCAAAAATCACAAGCATTTCTACACACCAATAACAGAAAAACAGCCAAATCGTGAGTGAACTCCCATTCACAATTGCTACAAAGAGAAAAAATACCTAGGAATCCAACTTACAAGGGATGTGAAGGACCTCTTCAAAGTGAACTACAAACCACTGCTCAATGAAATAAAAGAGGATACAAACAAATGGAAGAACATTCCATGCTCATGGATAGGAAGAATCAATATCGTGAAAATGGCCATACTGCCCAAGGTAATTTATAGATTCAATGCCATCCCCATCAAGCTACCAATGAATTTCTTCACAGAATTGGAAAAAACTATTTTAAAGTTCATATGGAACCAAAAAGAGCCCACATTGCCAAGACAATCCTAAGGAAAAAGAACAAAGCTGGAGGCATCATGCTACCTGACTTCAAACTATACTACAAGGCTACAGTAACCAAAACATCATGGTACTGGGACCAAAACAGAGATATAGACAGACGGAACAGAACAGAGGCCACAGAAATAACACCATACATCTGCAACCATCTAATCTTTGACAAACCTGACAAAAACAAGAAATGGGGTAAGGATTCCCTATTTAATAAATGGTGCTGGGAAAACTGGCTAGCCATATGTAGAAAGCTGAAACTGGATCCCTTCTTTACAACTTATACAAAAATTAGTTCAAGATGGATTAAAGACTTAAATGTTAGACCTAAAACCGTAAAAACCCTAGAAGAAAACCTAGGCAATACCATTCAGGACATAGGCATGGCCAAGGACTTCATGACTGAAACACCAAAAGCAATGGCAACAAAAGCCAAAATTGACAAATGGGATCTAGTTAAACTAAAGAGCTCCTGCACAGCAAAAGAAACTATCATCAGAGTGAACAGGCAACCTACAGAATAGGAGAAAATTTTTGCAATCTACTCATCTGACAAAGGGCTAATATCCAGAATCTACACAGACCTCAACAAATTTACAAGAAAAAAAACAACTCCATCAAAAAGTGGGCAAAGGATATGAACAGACACTTCTCAAAAGAAGACATCTATGCAGCCAGCAGACACATGAAAAAATGCTCGTCATCACTGATCATCAGAGAAATGCAAATCAAAACCACAATGAGATACCATCTCATACCAGTTAGAATGGCGATCATTAAAATGTCAGGAAACAACAGATGCTGGAAAGGATGTGGAGAAACAGGAATGCTTTTACACTGTTGGTGGAAGTGTAAATTAGTTCAATCATTGTGGAAGACAGTGTGGCGATTCCTCAAGGATCTAGAACTAGAAATACCATTTGACCCAGCAATTCCATTACTGGGTATATACCCAAAGGTTTATAAATCATGC
This sequence comes from Homo sapiens, assembly GCF_000001405.40. Classification (NCBI taxonomy): domain Eukaryota; kingdom Metazoa; phylum Chordata; class Mammalia; order Primates; family Hominidae; genus Homo; species Homo sapiens. The sequence continues at coordinate 90,645,903 of NC_000010.11, read as the reverse complement.
TACTATAAAGACACATGCACACGTATGTTTATTGCAGCACTATTCACAATAGCGAAGACTTGGAACCAACCCAAATGTCCATCAATGATAGACTGAATTAAGAAAGTGTGGCACATATACACCATGGAATCCTATGCAGCCATAAAAATGGATGAGTTCATGTCCTTTGCAGGGACGTGGATGAAGATGGAAACCATCATTTTCAGCAAACTATCACAAAGACAGAAAACCAAATACCACATGTTCTCACTCATAGGTGGGAATTGAACAATGAGAACACTTGGACACAGGGTGGAGAACATCACACACCAGGGCCTGTCAGTGGGTGAGGGGCTGGGGGAGGGATAGCATTAGGAGAAATACCTAATGTAAATGACGAGTTGATGGGTGCAGCAAACCAACATGGCACAAGTACACCTATGTATCAAAATTGCACACTGTGCACATGTACCCTAGAACTTAAAGTATAATAAAAAATGGTTAATATAGTAAATTTTTATGTTATGTGTATTTTATTACAATAAAAAATTAGGGGGGAAAAAGGCACATGGAATGCAAGACAATTGTTTGTTGGATAGGGCTGTCCCAGGCATTGTGGGACATCTAACAACCCTGTCTGTCCGCATCATTCTGATAACTAAAAGTGTTGATTGGACAAATTCTTATCTGCATTTATTTTATTAACTGGTATTTCAATCTGCACAATCAAATCCTTGACCCACCCTACTGATCTTAATGTGATAGTATGCTTGTATTTCTGCATGATGGAAGAGAATTGTATTCTTAATAGCCTTTCTGGGTGGCTGGTTTGTGTTCAGTTTGGAGCCCAATTCCCAGGGCATTTCTGTCAATTCTAGCTGATTGTAAAAGTGCATTTACAGCCCGTTCCCCTAGCCGAATGTCCGCCACTTCTCCACCCTCAGTGACTTGGTGCTGATTCACATGGACTGCACAGTTATGTGAATGGCACACATGGTCATCCAGGCCAAGTCTAAAGGACTGGGTCCTTTTGATATTTGTTCTGTCCATTCCGGGAGATTCCTTCTGACTAATGTTAAGTTTTTTTCTCCAGTTATAAATCTTTCCCTAGCAAGAGCCTATTACCCAGCAATAGATTGAGCCCAATGGCATTAGCAGACATATGGAATCAAAAGTAGGTCAGGTCCAGTATGTTCCAGCTGTCATTTATGGCAGTGAGGAATGACAGGCATTTTAATTTAAAGGGAATGATATTCCTGTTAGCAGTGTTTCCTGCTGCTTAGCTCTTCCAGATCTCTGTTTGAAAATAGCTTTGAAAGGCTCAACTTCCTTCTGTCTAAGAGGGGTCCAGTCCTTGGTCTAGCTACAGGTCAGGTCCTTTCTGATCTGATTCATCACTCCTCTTTAGTCTCCTATCTTGCCATTTCATTCCCTAACACGTAGTGCCCTGACAACACCAAACAGTTCAATAATTTCCAAGTCTTTACCTAGGCATCCCTTCAGTTTGGGAGGCTTGCCTTCCCTTCCTCTTGATTCATTCCTAAAAACTGCAGCTCAGGCAATGCCTCTCTCATAAAGCCTTGTTTTACCACCCACAACAACAGTGTTAATCCCTCTGTGTTCTTTGTAGGCTCTGTACATTTTACATGTTTCCGTTGTTACATACACTGCACTGCATTACAATTTATAATTTAATTACTTGTTCATCTTCCACATTACATTGGGAGTTCCTCGTGAGCCAAGCTCTTCTCTTTTTTTTTCTTTCTAAAATAAACTTTACTTTTTGGAGCTATTTTAGATGTACAGAAAAATTACAAATATACCATAAGTGAGTTCCCATATATCCTGCACCCAGCTCATCTTATTATTAATATCTTACATTAGTATGGTACATTTGCTACAATCAATGAACCAATACTGATATATTATTATTAACTAAAATCCATATTTTTTCCATGTTTCTTTAGTTTTTACCTTATGTCTTTTTTTTTTGTGGTGGTTGTTCCAGAATCTACCATATAGCATTTAGTTGTCATATCTTCTTTGGCTTCTCTTTGCTGTGATAATTTCTCAGGCTTTTTTTGATTTTGATGCCTTGACAGTTTCGAGGATTGGGGATTTGTCTGTTTTCCTCATGAGTTGACTGGGGTTTGAGTTTATACAGTTAACATGATTTCATACTGTTGGTGGTGACCTCAGACAGCTAGCTAAGTTACTGTTTGTCAGATTTCTTCATTGTATTTACTTGCTCCCCACCCACTTCCATACTGTATTCTTTGGAAGGAAATCACTTTATACAGTTTATATTCAAGCAGTAAGGAGATGTGTTCTACCTCCCTGAAGGCAAAGTATCTACCTAAATTATTTGGAATTATTCTGCATGGGGGATTTGTCTCTTGTTCACATTTATACATATGTTTTTATGTCCTTGAATAGTGAGTGCTTAGCATAGTATGGGTAAATTGTAGGCACTTAATGTGTTTTAGTAGTTATTTTCCAAACATCCATTGTCTACTTCTCTCAATGTGGACATAATATTAATAACAGCCTCAATAACAAGAATATATAAATAGAAAATGCTACTTTGGAAGCAGTATTGTTAGTGTTTTAGTTCATTTAATCCTCAGTAATCCTATGAAGATGACATTATTTTTACCACCAAAGAGGATTATGACTTATCTAAGATCACACAGCTAATAAGTTGTAGAGATAAGACTCAAACCCATGCTTTCTGACTCCAGAGTCCACACTGTTAAGGCTATAGAGGCTGGAGTGCCTCTTTGGTCTACTTCAATTACCTTGCCTTGTTCCCTTGAACTTTATTCTCTATGAGAACAGGTTTTAATATGGAGAGTCCCCAGCTGAGTCTTCAAGGAGAGTCTTTTTGTTTCCATGAATTCTACTTTAAATCTATGACGCGTCCAAAGAACATTAGGGAAGAAATTTTTAAGAAATCTTAAGAGGCCTCTCTTCTGAGGCTTTCTTTGGAACACCCATCAAGTTCTTCAAGTTATAGAATCCAGACTCAAACTTTGAGCTCTGAGAATGAGCAGAACATACTCAGAAGTTAGAAACAAGAGGAGCTTGCTAGTCTCACGGTCTTGTTATTTTTCACTCCTTAAATGAGGGCACATGGCTCATCTTATAAGATAACTTAATAATGTAACAAGAATGCTCAGCTATCAGAGTTTCTAGAATAACTTGACGTTTGAGCTAAGAATAGGCCAGACATTTTAACATTGGAACTGTGATAGGAAATCTGAGATATATTGCCAATATACTAATTAGGTATGAGTTGGGGAAAGGTGTATCAATCCCAAACATTTTCTCTACTTTCTATGATGCATAAAATTTGACCTTCACAGGAAAATTCCTTTGGGTCTTGAATATCTTGCGGCAAGGTTTGAATAAAATGGATAGATTAATTCATAGTTTTTATAGTCTGTCCCATGTCTGGATTCCACAGTCAAATCAGCCATTATAGATAAGGAAAAGAGAAACTAAAGATAGGGGGGAAACTGAAATTTTTGCAGCAACCAGCTGCTATTCTTGAGCAGCAAGGAATTATGAAATCTTGTACAGTTTATCTTGGTACAGCTTGTTTACATACTGAGTAATAATATCCCAAAATAGAATATACTCTAAGCCCGGAGTTTAACAGAGCTCTTAACAGTTTATTTTAAACTCCATTTAAAAACACAGCAAACAATATCTCCTAAAGCATGATCTTGTATTTTGATTTACAGCTACAGGAACCTAAGAATAAACTCCTTTAGTCACGGAGTTCCTTTTAACCAAAAGTTGCGAAGATTACAAATCACGCACTGAGCCTTTCAGATTCCCTTATTTCCCAGGCCAATCTGTTTGTCATCAAAGAAATGTTCCAAGCTCCCATATGGGCATGCAGGTAGAATTGGCTCAGATGCAAAAAAATTATTTATGCGAAATTACTTGTGAATTTTCAGTCATCCTTAAGAGATGATTTATTGGGAAGGGAATGCTTAGCAGGCTACAGATGGTGATAATACATAACCCAGAGCTCTATTATAACACTCTTGGTAGCTAACGTTGCTACATAATGAGAGAGTTAGGGATTTTTCCTCTTTTCTTCAGCATTTTGCATTGAGATTCATAATCATTTTCTTATCTGCATGTTTTCAGGATGAAGTTAGGCCACCTGAAGGGGATTTCACTTAGTCTTTCTTTTTGGCTTAACGGCAGGGACTCTTCTGAGTATTTTAGGTGGATTAACTCATTTTATCCTTATAACACCCCTGTGAAGTAGATACTATTATTTCTTCCTTTTTATAGATGAAGCACCTGAAACATGAAGAGGTTAAGCAACATGTTCAAGACTGTACAGCTTATAAAGAATAGAGCTGGAATTTGAACCCAGGTGATTGAATTTCAAAGCTCATATTCTTAACCAATATACTATGCCATCCTGGAGAGTTTGTAGTGATATATGAAGTCACAAACAATTAGGACACCTTTACATGACATACCACAAAATCTTCCACTGTCTATTTTGTGTGCCGACAAAACAAATTTGGTGAAAACTCCAACTATTTTAGTTATTAAGTTCTGTGTCGAAACAACCTCTTATAAAAGTCTGTGAAGTTTATTCTGCCTAGGAAAAAAGAGTGGGGCTGCACATAAACATCAAAACATATTTCAGAGGGCTTGTCTATTGTAAAAATCATCAGAAATGTGGAGTAAGCCTAATGTAAAAGAAGGTTTGTCACAGTGTAATTTAAAAGGGCAAAAAAGAGGAACAGTTAAATGTTTTCTTGTCTCTAGTTAAGGAATCAATTTAATTATTTAATTGGAGAATATAGATATAATATTTACCATGTGGTAGGCACTGTTGTAAATATTAACATATTAAAATCTCATCAAACCCTGTGCAGTGAATATTGTTATGTCCAATTTACATATAAAGTAACCGAGGCATAGGGAGGTTAGGCAACTTGCCCAGTGTGTTGGAGCCAGGAATTTAACACAGGCATACTGGCTCCAGAGTATGGGTTTTAGCCACTGTATGCCTATAATTGTGTTTTTTGAGAAATTTTTGTTTTCTATTTGTTCTTTTTCATTTTTTGGTTTTTTTTTTTTTTGCCTTCCTGTGTGTTCCATTCAGTTTTGATTTACCTATAGTGTTCTTGAGCGCATCTTTTTTATAGTTGTTTCAGCTATTGCTCTAGCTATTGCATATATTGTGTACATATATAGACACACATTGTGTGTCTATATATACATTGTGTATATATACATTGTGTGTATATATATATACATTTGTGTATATGTACACATTTATATAGTGTGTGTGTATATATACACACACACACACACACACATATATATATATATATATATGCATACACGTCTATCAGTCCGCTGGTGTCAACACTTGTCAGTTAGAGGGAAGTATAGAAATCTTACTCTCCTTTACATCCCTTTATTCTCCCCGACTAAAAATTTGTCTCATTTATCTCCTCTGCATAACCACATCAGGAATTGTTACAATTTTTACTTCAATCCTCAAACATAATTTAGAAAACTTAAGAGGAGAAGCTTTACTGTATTTATTCATATTTTTTATCTTTCTATGCTCTTTCTTCCTTCATGATGTTTCAAGATTCCTTCTTTTATCATTTCTTTCTGTTTACAGAACTTCCTTTTGCCATTCTTTTACAGTAGGTCTGCTGGTGACAAGTTCTTTTAGTTGGTTTTCATCTGAGAATATCTTAATTTTCCTTTCATTCCTGAAGTATGCTTTTTCTGGTTATAGAATTCTGGATTGACAGTTCATGCCTTTCAGGACTTGAAAAATGCTGTACCACTTTTTTTCTTGCCATCGTGGATTTTGATGAGAAATCTGCCTCATTCAAAATGTTTTCCCCTTTAGGTAAATAGGGAAAACATCATTTCTCTCTGGCTGATTTCAAGAGGTTTTTTTTCTTTTTCTTTCTTTTTTTTTTTTTTTGTTGTTGTTGTTTTGTTTTGTCTTTAGTTTTCAGAAGTTTAACCATGGTATGTCTTGATGAAGGTTTCTTTTTATCCTGTTTGGCTTCCTCTCAGTTTCTTTTCTCTATAGATTGATGTCTTTTGGTAGTTTGGGGAAATTTTACATCATAATTTCTTTTACTATTTTTTCAGCCTTACAATCTTTTTCTTTTCTTCCTAAGCTTCAATGACACAAATGTCAGATCCTTTGTTACAGTCCCACATGTAGCTGAGGCTTTTTTTTTTACAGTCTGTTTTCTCTCTCTTTTCAGATTGGGTAATTTTCATGGTTTAATTGTTGACTTCGTTGATTCCTTTCTCTGCCCTCTTCATTCTGCTAATGGAGCCCATTCACTGCATTTCAAAATTTTGTTTATTTCATATTTTAGTTCTAAAATTTCCATTTGGTTCTTCTTTATATATTCTGTTTTTTTCCTGTGACTTTCAATATTTTCGTTGGTTCAAGCATGGTCATAATTGCTCATTGAAGCATTTATATGAGGGCTGCTTTAAAATATTTTCCAGATATTTCCAACTTTTTTTTGTTATCTTGGTGTTTGTGCCTGTTAATTTTCTTTTTTCATTTGATTTGAGATATTTTCTGTTCTCGATATGAGTGATTTTCAATAGAAATCTGTAATGGGAGATACCCCATACCTTCAATATAAACCTGCAGGAAAACCATGCCCTAATATCAGGAGAAATTCAGCCAGATATTGGGCGAAATTCACCCCTGATATTTCACGTAGGTTCTTTTCTATTTTCCCTAAGTGGTCTGAGAAATAAAGGAACAGAGTACAAAAGAGACAAATTTTAAAACTGGGTGTCCAGGGGAGACATCACATGTTGGCAGGTTCCATGATGCCCCCTGAGCCGTAAAACCAGCAAGTTTTTATTAGTGATTTTCAAAAGGGGAGGGAGTGTACGAATAGGGTGTGGGTCACAGAGATCACATGCTTCACAAGGTAATAGAATATCACAAGGCAAATGGAGTCAGGGCAAGATCACAGGACCACAGGACTGGGGCGAAATTAAAATTGCTAATGAAGTTTCAGGCACGCATTGTCATTGATAACATCTTATCAGGAGACAGGGTTTGAGAGCAGACAACCGGTCTGACCAAAATTTATTAGGCAGGAATTTCCTCATCCTAATAAGCCTGGGAGCGCTATGGGAGACTGGGGCTTATTTCATCCCTACAGCTGCAACTGTAAAAGACAGCCACCCCTGAAGCGGCCATTTCAGAGGGCTACCCTCAGGGATGCATTCTCTTTCTCAGGGATGTTCCTTGCTGAGAAAAAGAATTCAGTGATATTTCTCCCATTTGCTTTTGAAAGAAGAGAAATATGGCTCTGTTCCACCCAGCTCACTGGTGGTCAGAGTTTAAGGTTATCTCTCCTGTTCCCTGAACATTGCTGTTATCCTGTTCTTTTCTCAAGGTGCCCAGATTTCATATTGTTCAAACACACATGCTCTACAAACAATTTGTGCAGTTAACGCAATCATCACAGGGTCCTGAGGTGACATACATTCTCCTCAGTTTACGAAGATGACGGGATTAAGAGATTAAAGTAAAGACAGGCATAGGAAATTATAAAAGTATTAATTTGGGGAACTAATTAATGTCCATGAAATCTTCACAATTTATTTTCTTCTGCCATGGCTTCAGCGGGTCCCTCTGTTTGGGGTACCTGACTTCCCACAACAAACCTGGACTTGTGGGGTGTTATATTACTCTAGATTTTACTTAAATCTCTTATTTTTAACAGGCTTAAAAAAAAACCCATGGAGACTGAGGGTTTTAAGCAGACAAAAACAAAGGCTCCAAGTCCTCTCAAAGCCTAGCATCATTGTACGTGTTGCTTCTGCCACATTCTTTTGGCAAAGAAGACTGCAGTGTCAGATCAGACAATCAACTCCACCTCTGGGTGTGGAGAGTGACCATTGCAAAGGAGGCATGCAGGATGGGAGCAATGGCTGTGGCTATCTTTGGAAACAATCTTCCTACAATAATAATTATTTTACCCTATGGAATTATGGATCATTCTTATAAACTATTTTTTTAGATACTTCTAGTTTTCTATATTAAGGCTATGTTCCTTTTAACAAGAGAAAAATATATGTCAATAAATAAAAAAAAGGCAACATTTCACTATGTCAGGTGCCTTGCAAATGGAATTCAACAACTGTGACTTTTGCTCTTTAAAAAATTTTAAATGTTTAAAGGTAATGCCTGGAATGGTTTCAAACACTTAGAAATGATGCTCCATGTATGTTTCTTTTGTCTGATCTAGTTTAGAGCATGGAAAGGTATTCACTGCTACCTGCCATCCCTTTCGTTACACAGGTTTAGGCAAGGGAGAATGCTTACAGCCTTCTCACCTGAAGAAGTTGTTGGGAGTTGCAACATGCCAGGTTTTGCTGACAACCCCTCCCTTCTCATTCCTCTATATATCTTACCAGCACAAGTGGGACATAAACCTGGATCTCTGTTGCCATGTAACTACTGAGTCTATGAAAATAGCAGCAACTCGATTTTCCTGGATATGCTGTTAGGAAGGACAAGGAAATTTAGTGATAGATTCTCTAGCCTCTCCTTAGGAGTAAGTTGGGGCCCTGTATGGAGAGTAGAAGCTTCATAAGTGGGTAGTGGTTGATTACACATAAAGTGGGTATTAGAACATGCATATTCTATTGGATTTTAGATACTATGATGAAACTGCACAATTTCAACATGTGGAGGAAAGACTTGGGAAACATTGTTTCCCTTATCTTGAGTAATTATATAACTTTATTCTAATGTAGTGCTGTAGAGTTTTCAGAGCATTTTCATCTCACTTTTACTTCTCATCTGACCTTCAGTATCTGAATTATAAGATGGGAGTAATAATATCTACATGTCAGAATGTTGTGAGTTAGGTAATAATACCTATACTTTAGATAGATAATAATGGCTTTTTTGAGAATTAAATGTGATAACAAAGGTAAAAAAAAAATTTACAATTTTATGAGAATACTCAAATGTTAACTGTTGCTATTTTTATTCTTATTCCTTTTAGGCACAGCATGTACCATTTCCAAAAAAACTGGACATGAGGAAACCTAGATTCATAGAGGTTAAATCATTTGCCAACTAGTTAAATGGTTGCATTTGGCCTCAATCTACATCTTTTGTTTCCTAGTTCACTGATCTTCACAGTTTTATTATTATTCTAAACTATTTATGGCTTTGAAACATTTTCCAAACTCTCTTGGTAATAATAAACTCCTGCAGGACTTACATTTGTCTGTGAAGTGGGAGGGAGGATAAGGTTATACATTTCTAATCACAAAGACCATCACTTATATCAGGGGTCAGACAACTACAGCTTATGTCCCCACTACTGTTTTTGTAATAGAATGCAATCACACTCATTCATGTATGTATTTTATGTCTGCTTTCATACTACAGTAGCATTGTCGAATACTTGCAACAGAGACTCTAGGTCAGCATAGCCTAAAACATTTCTCATCTGATCCTTTACAGAAAAAGTTTGCTGATCCTTGACTTTTATCATCATCCCAAATGCTACATAACCAGTGCTCTCAAAGAATGATGCTACACAGTTCATGAGTAGCATCAGCAGGTGTCCTTTTCAGCTCCTCACCCCCAGCTGAATCAAGATGGGCAAATGGAGCCCTTTAATTTTCCTGTATTTCTCCTCAGGAGAAACTTGTGTTACCTGAACACTGGAAGCATTTATTCCTAGAAGTCCCTCTGACCCTAACTTCATTAAACCTCAAAACAGGAAGAAACAGTCTTTAGAAAATGTGATGTTCAGCATCTTCACTCAAGGGATGAGAAAACTGAGGCCCACAGAAGAAAAGCAATTCCCCTCAAGTTAGGCAGTGGTTGGCAGTTAGATCAGAATCCAAGAATCCCTACTTCTAGTGATTATGTTACACCGAAAACTGAATTAGACTGAATTATATTTTTCTACTTGTGGAATGCAGGTGTGACTTTTCATCCAGCTGTTTTGTACTGGGTAGAAAAAGGCCACAGAGAGATTAAAGGAATCAAAAGACATTGTCCAGAAAGTTCACATTAGGATATGAGATCTTGAGTCTAAATAAACAGACCCAGCATCCAAACATCCCCTTGTTTTGCTAAGAAACATTACAAATGAAAGTCCAGACTTCTCTGTTCATCTTAGTCTGTTTGGCCCTGATTCCCTTCCTTTTCTATTTCACTCATGGCTAAATATAGAGTTATTGTCTAATGTGATGTTGTGGAGGTCTCAGAAGACCAGGCCAAGCCTCTGTCAGCTGTTCAAATAGCATGAGTGAGCACACCAAGGCAGGGAGTGCACAGAGGGAGAGGCTGGCTTACAGCTTTGCTTCCTGAGTTTCTTTGTGTTGTCTCTGGGTGAAGATCTCCCTTTTTGCATTTATTGATTCATCAGTTGTGTAGAAATTGTATGGTTCTGTACGTGAGAAAAGCTAAAATCCTTGTGTTTGGGGTACCTAGGCTTACCCACTGAATAGATGATATTTTGTGCCCCAGTTCACCTGCATAAAGAGCCTCAGCCCCTAAGGTAATTAAGCTTGACAGGGCTCCCAGTGGTGAAGCGGGGCTGGAATCACAAAAGGCCCAACAGGCAGGCAGGTGGGTGGGTAGGAAAGGTCTGGGCAAGAATATGAGTGAGGAGGTAGTGCCATTGGCTAGAACTTTTAAAAAATGACTCTCTAGAAGGATTGATGACAACTTGCAGAACTTGCAGGACTGGGCATGGAATCTGTTTTTTTCTGCCAAGCATCCCCTCTCTTGTTCTAGTAATTGTGCCTCTTTCCTTTAGGGAGATCCATCCTTCTTAGTCTGTGTGGCTTCAGTGAGGTTTTAATCAGCAGACTTTTTCCCTCTGATTATAGATATAGTCATGTGGTCCAAGGTAGGGCATTGGATTATCCTGCTCAGTAATTTATTTCCTGAACACAGAAGGTAGATGGGGTAGGGAACCCTGGTAGGAATGCTTATCTACTGTGGGGAGGCCCGAAGCACCCCTGAGCCCAGTCATCCCAGAGCATGCTTACTTGCTCTTCAGTTTTTTGCACTCATCCAGTATTACTCCAATTTATAAATCTTTTTTTTTTTTTTTTTGAGATGGAGTCTCGCTGTGTCGCCCAGGCTGGATTGCAGTGGCGCGATCTCAGCTCACCACAACCTCCGCCTCCCAGGTTCAAGCGATTCTCCTGCCTCAGCCTCCTGGGTAGCTGGGGCGACAGGTGCACGCCACCATACCGGGCTAATTTTTTGTATTTTTTTTTTAGTAGAGATGGGGTTTCACCGTGTTAGCCAGGATGGTCTCCATCTCCTGACCTCGTGATCCACCAGCCTGAGCCTCCCAGAGTGCTGGGATTACAGGCGTGAGACACCCCCGCCATTCCTGGCCAAACTTTTCCTTAAGTTGGTAGTTTCTGTTTCTGTTGCCTACAAAATATTTAAATGATACCAAGGGGGCATGGAATGTATGGATCTGACACATTATATATTTAACAGAAACACCATGAGTTACATATTATTAGTTCTGTTGTACACAGGAGGAAATTGAAATTAAAGAGAGCCTAGAAAGTTGTCAATGTTTTTGCCAGTAACAAGGGAAAGAGCTAGGATTGGAGTTTAGGATTGTTATATTCTGGATCCATGAGAGCAGGGTGGAGCTGAGGCAGGTGCCAGAGGTGTGGGTCTAAAGAAGCACCCAGGAGAGGGCCAAGAAACCAGTTGCTCTCTAAGGAACAGGAGCCTTGCATCAATCCAGCCTCCCCCTGACTCTTTTTGTTTCCCGGAAGCAGTATCTCTTCATATAGAAAGGTTAAGGGACATTTTTTAGAGTCAAAAAACATTTTTCAGGTGAGAGTACTGAGCTCCAGAGATGTCAAATGTATTTGAAACATAGCAAAGTCAGAACTCTAGGTTTCATAGCAAGTTAGTGCCAAATCAGGGATCAGGATCAAGGGTTCCCAACACCCAGCCTAGCATCCTTTCTAGTATCCCTTGTAGCTCTTACAGCCTTGATTTCTTCTGGAAATGATGGCTTGTTACTTATTTGGCACTACAGAACAGTGTAGTATAGTTGTGCCAGATACACATTTAACTTTTGTAAATGTCAGTGTTTAAATAGTTGGCAATGATAGGAGGCATGGCAGAGAAAGAGAATTTTAATGTTGCAAGTGATTCTATCAGTCTGGCTTATGGGTGGAAGGGAAAATGAGATGGGAAAGGTGAGTATGATCAGTCAGTTGGTTTTAGCCCTCATATATCTCTTATAGTGTGATCATCTATCCAGCTAACCATATATCTCTTATAGTGTGGGCATCATATATATATATATGCACACACACGTATATATATCTCATCTCATCTATATGAGATATATATGATATATATGCTCTCATCTCATACATGTATACATCTCATATATGTATATCTCTTATACATATAAGAGATTCTTGTTTCTACTGGTTCTTGTTTCTACTGGTGGTGGTACAGGTGCTAGTGTTAGTCACTGATGAGGATGAAGGATCTACTGGCTCTGGAGTTCAAGAATAGAGACTGTGATTCTCTAATACTATGTTACAGAGTTCCTGAGGGCACTACGAATAGAAATAGAAATAATCATATTATTAATTGCTCATGGGAATAGAAAATGAATAGTTTGTAGCCAGCCATGTTCTTTTGTATTATGAATATGTTTATTGTATTATAATATTGTGATGGTTAATATTGAGTCACAACTTGACTGGACTGAAGGATGCAAAGTATTGCCCCTGGCTTTCTGTGAAAGTGTTGCCAAAGGAGAGTAACATTCGAATAAGTGGACTGGGAGAGGCAGACCAACCCCCAGTCTGGGTGGGCACCATCTAATCAGCTGCCAACGTTGCAAGGATAAAAGCAGGCAGTGGAACGTGGAAGGACTAGACTCGCTGAGTCTCCCAGCTGTCATCTTTCTCCCGTGCTGGATGCTCCCTGCCCTCGAACATTGGACTCCAAGTTCTTTAGCTTTTGGACTCTTGGACTTCCACCAACTGTTTGCCAGGGGCTCTCAGGCCTTTGACCACAGACTGAAGGCTGCACTGTTGGCTCTCCTACTTTTGATGTTTTGGGACTTGGACTGGCTTCCTGCTCCTCAGCTTACAGACAGCCTATTGTGGGACTTCACCTTGTGACTGTGTAAGTCAACACTCCTTAATAAACTCCTCTTCATATATACATCTATCCTATTAGTTCTGTCCCTCTACAGAACCCTGACTAATACAAATATTTATATAGAAATGTGCATAGGTCATTAATATTCAGCTTGATTTTTTTGGTATGAACACAACTATATGACCGGCACCTACATTAATAAGTACAAAACATTATCAGGTCTGTAGAAGCCCCTCTCATGCCCTTCCCGGTCACTACTGTTCCTCAAACATAACCACTGTATTGTTTCCTAGCAGCTTGGTTTTGCTAGTCTTTCTACTTTAATTAGATGGAATCATAGAGTGTATTCGTTCTCTCCTTTCTCACTCTCACTCTCTTTTGGCTTGGCTTATTTCACTCAACATAATGATTTTGAGATTCAAACAAATTGTTTCATCTATCAGTAGTTCTTTCCTTGTCATTGCTTACTAGTATTCCTTTCTATTGATAATTAATGATTTGTTTTCCCATTCATCTGTTGATTCACTTTTGAGTTGTTTCCATTTTTGTCTATTATAATTAAGCTACTATGAACATTTTGGGTACAAATCTGTGTGAGAACATATATACATTTTTTTTTGTGGATTAATCCTTATAAAAATGGCTGGGTTTTTTGGTTAGTATAGATGTAACATTTTGAGAAATGAGAGAACTGCTTTTTAAAGTGATTATGCTGTTTTATGTTCCTAAAAAGCATGTGTGAGAATTGTAGTTGCTCCACATCCTTGACAGTATTTAGTATGGTCAGTCATTCTAATTTTAGCCATTTTTATAGGTATGTATTATGTGTATGTTAAATTACACTTTTTTTTCTGATGGTTAATGATGTTGAGCACTGTATGTGTTTATTGGCCATTTGTGTATCTTTATTTTTGGTAAAGTGTTTAAATACATTATTAAATTAAAAAATATGTTTGAGTCCCTAGTTAACACTCATAAGTGAAATTAATGGATCATGTGTGATTCTATTTTTTTCACATGGTTAATTTTGTATTAGGTTGTTTTTATTGTTGAGCTGTAATAGTTCTCCATATTTTCTGGATATAAGTCTTTTGATATTTGTGTTTTCTCTCAGTCAATGGCTTGTTCTTATTTTCTTACTAGTGACTTTTAAAGAGAAAAAGTTTTTCATTTCCATGAATTCCAGTTCATCAATTTATAATTTTAATATTTCATGCTTTGTGTTTTCTTTTTCTTTTCTTTCTTTTTTTTTTTTTTTTTGAGACAGCATCTCACTCTGTCGCCCAGGCTGGAGTGCAGTGGCACCATCTCGGCTCACTGCAACCTCCGCCTCCCAGTTTCAAGCAAGTCTCCTGCTTCAGCCTCCTGAATAGCTGGAATTACAGACATGTGCCACAAGGTCTGGCTAATTTTTGTATTTTAAGTAGAGACGGAGTTTCACCATGTTGGCCAGGCCGGTCTCAAACTCCTGACCTCGAGTGATCCACTTGCCTTGGCCTCCCAAAGTGTTGGGATTGCAGGTGTGAACCACTGCACCCAGTCTTGTGTTTTCTATTTAAGAAACCTTTGTCTACTTCAAGGTCACAAAGATATTTTCTCTTTTTCCTACAGTATTAGAGTTTTAGATTTCACATTTAGGTCTATGATCCATTTTGAGTAAATTTTTGTTTATGGTGTGAGATAAGGATCAATTTCCTTTTTTTTTCCCACGTGGATATCCACTTTACTAGTAACACTTGTTGAAAAGACTTTCTCCTTTGAATTCACATAGAAATTTGTCAAAAATCAATTGATCAAATACTTATAGGTCTGCTTCTATACCCTCTGTTATATTCCATTAGTCGCATGTCTATCTTTCCACCAATACCAAACTATTTTGATTTCTATAGCTTTAAAATAAGTTCTGAGATCAGAACAAGTTCTCCAGTTTTGCTCTTTTCTTTTAAAATTGTTTTGATTCTCTGGAAACTTTTAAATTCCAAACATATTTTAGAATCAGCCTGTCAATTTCTACAAAAATCTGACTGCAATTTTAATTGGGATTGAGTTAAATCTGCAGAACAATTTGATGAGAATTGTTGACTTCACAATATGAGTCTTCCAATCTACAAACATGGTATATGTTTCTATTTATTTAGATCTTCCTTAATTTCTTTTACAATGTTTTATAGTTTTAAGTGTCAAGATCTTGGGTGTCTTTTGTTATATTTGTTCTTAGATATTTTATATTCTTTTAACATGACTATAAGTGGAATTTTAACAATTTCACTTTCCAATGTTTTGCTGCTCATATATGATAATATAATATACTTAAAATAGTAAACTTGTGTCCTGCATTCTTGATAAATATTTTTATTGGTGCTAGTAGTTGTTTTGTAGATTTGTTTGGATTTTCTGTGTGAAAAATCAAATCATCTGCAGACAGTGACAGTTTTCTTTTTCCTCCCTAATTTTTATACCTTTTCCTCTTTTTCTTACCTTACTTACAATGGCTAGGATTGCCAGAACAATATGGAGTAGAAGTGGTGAAAATGGGCATCATTTCTTTTTTCCTGATCTCTGGATAAAATAATTCATATATTCACCATTAAAGATGATGTCAATTGGTAGATTTTTCATAGATGCCCTTTATTATTTTGAAGTTGTTTGCTACAATTCCTAGTTCCTTCAGAGCTTTTATCATGAATAGTGCTAAATATTTTTAAATGTTTTTTACTGCACAGATTGAAATGATCATACTCTATTTCTGCTTTATTTTTTAATATAGTGAATTATGTTGATTGATATTTGAATACAACTAGCATTGCATTTCTGGTATAAATCTGATTTGGTCATGATCCATTATCTTTTTAAATATATCTTTTCATTTTATTTGCTAATATTTCCTTAAGAATTCTGCATCTATCTACATGAGAAATATTCATTGATAATTTTCTTTATTGGTAATGCCATTCTCAGATGTTGTTATCAGGGTTATGCTGGCCTCACAATATGAGTTCAGCTGTAATTCCTGCTTCTCTGTTTTTGAAAATTTTGGGTAATATTTGTATAATTGATTTCTGGAGTATTTGATTTGATTCAATATCATAGGTAGACTTGGGCTTGGAATTTTCTTTTGGGGAATGCTTTTGACATAAAATTTAGTTTTTTATGTATATATTTAGTTATTCATGTTTTCTGTTTCTTCTTGTGTCAATTTGGTAAATTGTGCTTTTCAAGATGTTCTTCATTTAATCTAAGTTGTTAAATTGTTAGCACAAATTTGTTTCTAATATTCTATTATTATCCTTTTAATGTATGCGGTGATAACCTCCTTTTCATTTATTGTATCGGTTGTTCATGTTCTCTCT
This sequence comes from Homo sapiens, assembly GCF_000001405.40. Taxonomy (NCBI): domain Eukaryota; kingdom Metazoa; phylum Chordata; class Mammalia; order Primates; family Hominidae; genus Homo; species Homo sapiens. Next base: position 90,629,385 of record NC_000010.11, on the reverse strand, counting down.
TATTTCTTGATTAGTCTAGCTAAAAGTTTTTCAATTTTATTGATATTCTAAAAATAGTTGTTGGCTTCAAAGTTTCTCTGTTGTCTGTCTATTTGCTATTTCATTGAATTCTACTTTTTTCTAACTTACTATTGGGGTGGAACACTATAATATTTTAGATATTTCTTATTTTTAATATAGGCATTTAAAGTTATAAATTCTCTTCTAATAACTACTTTAGTATATTATCTCCCAAATGTTGATGTGTTGTAGGTGACGGTTAATTTTATGCATCAACTTGGCTAGGCTATGGTGTCCAGTTGTTTAGCTAAACACTAGTCTAGGTGTTGCTGTAAAGGTATTTGTGGATGTAATTAACACTTACAGTCTGTAGACTTTAAACGAAGCATCTCCATAATGTGGGTGGGCTTCATCCAATCAGTTGAAAAGCCTTAGGAGCAAAAACTGAGATTTCCTTAAAAAGAGGGAACTCTGCCTCCAGACTACAAAATAAAATCTGAGTTTCCAGCCAGCTGCCTTGCCCTGTGGATTTCAGACTCAGGACTGCAACATCAACTCTTACCTTGAATTTCCAGACTGACCTACACCTTTTGAATTTGCTATCCTCCACAATCATGTGAGTCAATTTCTTAAAATCCCTTCTCTCCTTTTCCCTTATTTTCTCTGCTCTCTCTCAATGTGTATCCTATTGATGCTGTTTCTCTGGAGAACGCTAACACAATTGTATTTTTGTTGTTCTATTGAAAATATTTTCCAACTTCTTTTGTGTTTTATATTTTACCCACAAATTATTTAGAAATGTAGTGGTAAAATTCTATATACTTAGGTTTTTCTTAGATATATTTTCGCTGATTTTTAAATCAAATTCTATTGTAATGAGAGGATATGCTTTGTCTGATTTCAGTGCTTTAAAATGATTGTCACTTGATTTATGACTCAGCATATGCTCCATCTTGGTGAATGTACCATGTGAACTTGAAAAAATCTGTATTCTGCATTCCTTGGATGTTGTTTCCTGTGAATGCCAACTAGATTGAGGAATTTGAGGGTACTGTTCAGATGTCTATGTCCTTGCTGATATTTTTATGTCTAGCTTGTCTATCAATTATTGAAAAATAGGCTGGGTACAGTGGCTAACCCCTGTAATCCCAGAATTTTGGGAGGCTGAGTTAGGAGGATTGCTTGAGCCTAGGAGTTTTAAGGCAGCCTGAGCAACATAGCAAGATATTGTCTCTACAAATAACAATAATAAGAACATTAGCCAGGTGTGGTGGTGTGTGCCTGTGGCCCAACTACTTGGGAGGCTGAGGCAGGAAGATCACTTCAGCTCCTGGTAGTTGTAACTGCTGTGAGTTGTGATTGCACCGCTGCACTCCAGCTTGGGCAACAGAAAGACCCTATCTCAAAGAAAAGAACAAAAAAAGAAAAGACAAATGGATGTTAAAAATCTTCTACTCTAATTTTGCAGTGGTTTATCTATCCTTTTGATTCTCCAAGTTTTGATTCATGTGGTTTGAGGTTCTGTTATTAGGTGAACATACCTTTTAGTTGCTATTTCTTCTTGATGAATTGTCTCTTTTATCATTATGAAATATCCTTCTTCATCTCAGGTAGTACTCTGTCTTGAAATTTATTTCTTCAGATATTTGATGTCTTTTCTAGCTATTCCTGCTTTTTTATGCTTACTGTTTGCATAGTGTATATTCCCTGCCCCACATTGTTTTCAATCTGTCTTTGCCTTTACATGTAAAGCGTATCATTCTTAAGCAGCATATGGTAAGGTCTTGCTTTTTAAAAAAATCTACTCTATCAATTTCTACCTGTTAGTTGGAGTGTTTTCTTTAGATGATTAACTTTTTTTTTCTTTTGAGACAGAGTCTTACTCTGTCACCCAGGCTGGAGTACAGAGGCATGCTATTGGCTCACTACAACTTCTTCCTCCAAGGTTCAAGTGATTCTTGTGCCTCAGCCTAATGAGTAGCTCAGATTACAGGTGTGTGCCATCATACCTGGCTAATTTTTGTATTTTTAGTAGAGGTGAGGTTTCACCATGTTGGCCGGGCTGGTCTTGAACTCCTGGCCTCAAGTGATCTGTCCTCCTCCACCTCCCAAAGTGCTGGGAATACAAGTGTGAGCCACTGCACCTAGGCTAGATAATTAACATTTAGTGTAACTATTGAGATAGTTGGATTTAAGTCTGATACTTTATTTGTTAACCTGTGTTTTTTGTTCCCCTTCCTTTCCTGCCCTTTTTTGGATAATTTGAATATATTTTAGCATTCAATTTTAATTTATCAGCTCTTTTTCTATATGTATTTATAATTTTTTAGTGGTTGCCCTAAAGATTATACTACACATATCCAATTTCTTCCTGTTTTTAAAAGATATTTAATACTGTACCACTTCAAGTAAAATGTAAAATCATTGCACTTGTATGGGTACATTCATGTCCCTCACTAGCTTAACCTTTATGTTATAGTTGTCATATGAATTTCATCAGCATTTGTTAAAATCCCATAAAATGATGTTATCATTTATATTTTTAATGGTAATACATATTTTAAAGAACTCAAGAAGGAAAATACGTATTTACATTTGCACATATATTTACTATTTCTCTTTTTCTTCCTTCGTTCCAGAAGATTTAAGTTTTCTTCTAGCATCATTTTCCTTCAACCTAAAGAATATCCTTCATCTTCTGGCAATAATTTTAGAATAGGTCTATTTGGGACAAATTATCATAAGTTTTCCTTCAGCCAATAATGTTTAATTTAATTTTGCCTTTATTCTTGAAGGATATTTTCACTAGAAATAAAACTATGAGTTAATAGTCCTTTGCTTTCGGCACTTTACAGATGTACTTCTACTGTCTTCTGGTCTCTAATAAGAATTGTGCAGTCATTCAAATTGCTCTTCCCCTGTATTTAATGTGCTGTTTTTCTCTAACTAGTATGAGATATTTTTCTCTTTTTTGGTGGTTTTCTGAAGATTAATTGTGTTCAGTTGTAATTTTCTTTGAGTTTTTTCTCTAATGGGTTCACTAAACTTTAATATGTAAATTTATTTCATTCACCAAATCTGGGATATTTGAGCGTATTACTTATTCGAATATCTTTTCTACCTGAGTCTTTCTCTCCTCACTTTTTAGGACTCCAATGACATGTATGTTAGAACTTTACATATTGCCCCACAGGACTCTGAAGCTTCGTTATTTTTTTTCAATCTGTTTTTCTCTATTTTTCAGATTCAGTAGTTTCTATTTTTTTACACTCAAGCTTACTGATTCTTTTTTCTTTCATCTCCGTTTGGCTATTCGATGAGTGGTGAATTTTTAGTTAAGATATTATATTTTCCAACTCTAAAATTTTTCTTTGATTCTTTTTATATTTTCCATTTATCTGTTGAGAAATTTTGTCTTTTCCCTACTCTCCACTCATTTTAGCTAGTTATAAAAGCTCGCTTAAAATTGTCTGATATTTCAACCATCTGAGTTATCTTGGGATTGGCATTCACTGACTGTCTTTTCCAATGAGAATTAGTCAAGTTTTAATTGTTCTTTAGTTATTTAGCTGTGTTGGAACATTTGGATTCACAATTGAAGTTCTATCTTTCTTTCTGTTAGTGGTATTTCTAATTTCAGTTCATTTCTAAAATCTTTGCCATGGTGTTTCCATCTGTCCCACAAATGCATAGTTTAGAGGTGAGCCCAAGATTTGGACAGTTTCATATGCACAGTTAGAGAATCCCCCATCTCCAGCTCTCCCCTCTGCAGAACTTCCTCCATAGTCTGCAGCCTGCTAAGGCCTCTGTTTCTGGGTTCTCTGGCCTTAAAGACAGAGTTTCTATTACAGTTTTTGCCACGAATGCCACTGATCTACCAAGTTTCTCAGAGAATTGGCCCTGACAAGAGGGCAGATCAATGAGAAAGAGGAAAAAAAAAAGGGAAACTCATTTCTGCATGGGTAACTTCTAGTTTTCTTTTCTGTCTATAATGCATCTGCTTTTATTTGCTTTTTAGGTTCTTAGTTTTAGTTTTTTTTTTCAGATTTTTAGTTTTAATAACAAAGATAATTACACTATCATAGTGAAACCAAAATTCTAGAACGTTAATTTTGATTTCTTCCTTGACTCATGGATTATTATTTAGATGCATACTGTTTCAGTTTTAGGTATTTGGGGGGTTTTCTGCTTATCTCTTTTTGTTATTGATTGCTAGCTTGATTTCATATTGATCAGAGAATATATGCAGAATAATTTTAATTTTTTGAATTTTGTTGAAGCTTTTTTATGGGTTAGTAAATGAGTCAATTTTGACAAATGTTCCATGTTCATTTGGAAAACATGTAAATTGCCTTTGCTGAGTACATACACAGACACACACACACAAACACACATATACACGTGTATATATCTATTTAGTTTTCTTAATTTTATTTTCATATCTTATATACTATTTTTCCAACATTTATTGCAAGAGCTGTGTTGAAGTCTCAAATTGTAAATTTGTCAACTCATTATGTTTCTGTTGCATTTTGCTTTATATACGAATCTATACTAACAGGTGGATATCTATTGAATTAACCCCTTTATAATTATGGGATGTCCCTCTTTATTAATACATCCTGCCTAATAGTCTTACTTGATGTTAATATAAATATCACAGTTTTCATTAGGTTAAAGCCTATATGTTACGTCTTTTAGAGTTTAACCTAGGAATTACAATATACACCTTTGACTTAATATAATACAATATATTTCATTACTTTAAACACTCCCACAATACCAGTGAAACCTTATATTCTTGTAGCTCTATTTATCGTCTATTACCTTTTGTATTATTGTTGCCATGCCCTTTAATCTACATGTGTTTTAGAATGAATGAAGTCAGAATGTGATACCATGTGTTCTAGATTGGCTACTTACAAGTCTGTAGTAGAATGTATTACATTCCAAAATACTTGGCTCCCCTTTCCATAAGAGATGATTATATATTCATGTCCTTTAAAAAGTGAATTGCAATTCCTTTGTTGGTGAAGTATACTTTCTTCACATTGATGTTGGGCTTGGCCATGTGTCTTGCTTTAGCCAATGGGCTGTAAGCAGATATCATTTATGCCATGTTCAAGCAGAATTACGTGATGTGACTGATGGCTCTGTGTCTTTTACTTTGCCTCAAGAACCGCATGTTCCAGATAAAGTCTATTCCTTTAGCCTAGAACCCAGAAGGAAAAGAGAAAAAACAGGGCCTGGTTGACCTACAGCTGTGATTAGTGTTTATGGTTGTAAGCCACTGAGCTTTTACAGTTATTAAGTAATGCAGGGCATCTTGTGGAAAGGTATCATTTGTGGGCTTGGAGATTCCCCTTATCAGGGTCTAGATTTTAATTCCTGCAGGCTTCAGAAACCTGACAATAAGGGCATGCTGAAAGTAGATCCATTATTGAAGAGCAGACTTCCAAGTCCATAAGCCTGATATATAAGACCAGACCGTCACTTTATGAATTAGTTTGGATAAATATAATCTGTAGGAATTGAAAAACTTGAGCCATCATTGGTAGCTCCTTATGTCTCTATAGTAAAGCTACAGGGGAAACCAAGACTTCATTAGAAGGTTGCTTAGTAAGTATGGTGTGGTAGGCTAAATAATGCCCCCAAAACATGTCCAGATCCTCACTCCTAAACCTGTGTTATCTTATATATCAAAATGGACTTTTCAAATGTGATGAAGTTAACATCTTGATATTGGGGAGAGGGGTTATGTAATTGTCCAGGTGGGCCTGGTGTAATCACAAAGGTCCTTATAAGAAGGGGCAGGAGATCAGAGTAGAAGAAAGCAATGTGACAACAGAAGCAAAGATAGGAGTGGTATGGCCAGCAGACAAAGAATGCTGGCAGACAACAGAAGCTGGAGGAGGCAAAGAACAAATTTTCTTATGAAAGGAAAGAAACCAGCCCTGCTGCTAACATCTTGATTTTAGTTTCATTTCAAACTTATTATCTCCAGAACTGTAAAAGAATACATTTGTTTTAAATTACTCTGTTTGTCAAAATTTGTTACAACGACAATGGAGAACTAATACACATGGAGTCAAGAAGAAAATCAAAGGGGTAAATATTTAATGAGATTAGCCTAAGATAGTTTCATTCATCTACATAATAATAAGGATGAATAATTAGTCCCTTGGGTAGAACTTCATAAGGCATGGATGTGCCTTGCTTTCATGCAACTTTGTGAAGTCCTTTTAAATGTTATTGGCTGGCCTATTCATTTATCATTGTTACCATCTTACTTTGGTTATCTATTATATTCATCTAGGTCTCAGGTAAGTTGTGCTTTTATGAGACCAATTCTATCTTGTAGGTTTGATTTTTGCATAATTTTCCTTTGATCCATTCTCTCTTGATTTAAAATTTCACTCTCAAAGGTCACAATAATTCCCATTATTTCCAAATGATTCAATAGACCTCCTTCTGGACTCCAAACACTAAGGCTACTTGTCAAGAAAAATGTTTATATTCAAACAAATGAATCATTTCTTGAATTGTAAAGTTTCTTCTTCACCATGTAAGATAGATATCTTGGTACCCAATAGCTGTCTAGGTAATATTTATATAGATAAGGCAGCAGTAAATGCTTATTTGGATAAATCTATGGATACCCTCCCCTCTTACTTTTTGCTGTTATATAAGGTAATACATTTCACAATAAAGAAAAAACTAAAATTTCTTAATATTCCTTAGTTTTGCCTTTAAAATCAATTAATTACTGGAGATCTCTTTTTGTTTTGATTTTTAAATTTTGTGGCAATTTAACAAATATTGTATATATTTAAGGTGTACAACTTGATATTTTGATGTGCATTGTGAAATGATTACCACAGTCCAGCTAATTAACATATCTATTACCTCTACATAGTTACCATTTTATATCTGTACATGGAGAGAAATTAGAGCAAAAATCTTTAATATATAATGTCATGTATTTCAATTCACTAGTAATACTCAATTCTATAACCCTCCATTGTTGCACAATAGAGTATAAAAAATTAAGAAACACAAATTTCCAAGAAAATTTATAAGAATAGCTGACAAAATAATCAATGCCAAAGCTCTATAATGTATATTCATATATGAGTGTGCATTAACAATAAAAATCACTCTATTAATTTTAATGTTAAAATTCTTATATTTTATTGTACATTTTCTGAGGTATAATTGTGTTCTATTCAAAATAGCATTTTAAAAACCTTTTTTCAAAAAGGGTAAAAATGAAAGTCCCTTTAAGCAGAGGGCTCCTAAGACTGGTAAAACTTTGAGAATAAGAAGTATAATACATTTCTTGGTATGTCAAAAAGTATTCATGGGAAAGGAAGGTAAAATATTAATTGATTTACTGGAGATTCTTTTAAGTAATGACTTTTGATTAAAGGAAGAAGCAGTCTCAAAGTTGGGAGATTGGCATAGAAATCTTGAAATACAGAATCTTGGCCTCGTAAAGAAAAGTTACAATTGGATGAAGAATTTTTAAGAAGCTCAATTAGGGAGCATGCCAAGACAGGATGAGGAATAGAGGCAGGTGGAAGCCTGAAATCAGATTCTGAGGCCAGTACCATGGAGAGCACCTGGGAGTGGTTGAGGAGAAGCTCTGAACCAGACGCTATGGGCCATTTTCAGGGATAACTGCTGGAGCTAGATCAGAGGAATTAAAACAGTACCAAAACAATATTTAAAAGTAGTATGTTTCCATCACTGAAATGGATGGTATTTGCAAGACATAATAACTGAACCATGGATTCTTAGCCAGAGGTTCATGAACCTGTCAGAAATCCATGGATTGATTAGAAAACGTGCAATTTCCTGAAATTGTTTACAAAATGCATTCACGTGCATTTGTAGATTTTCCTGGGGGTAGATGTTTCACAGCTTATATGAAATTTTCACAGGGATCTTAGCCTCTAAAATGTTAACTGCCAACTCCAGGGTCAGAGGTAGCTTGTGTACCATAAAAAGGCAGCAATAGTTTGTTAAAAGGCATGTAATTAAAGCTAGTTTGATGCTTGGTCAAAGTTCAAGTAGCCTAGCACCTTTTAAAAAATAAATCCAATTCAAGCATTTACATAACCACATGTCTGAAGCAGGCATTTGAGTTGTAACCACTGTGCCAACTCAGTTCATTGAGTCAGTGTAAGGCAGGTAGCATAGAAATAACTTGAAAGGTGCTTGTTAAAATTATAGATTTGTGGGAAGGTCTGCGGTGGTACCTGGGGTTCTGTAATTTTACAAATTTCCCTATGACATGCTACTCCATGGGGAAAAATAGTGACATTGACATCACTTAAGAGTTTATAGGAAATACAGAATCTATGAGCTACCTCCATTCCCACGCCCAGAACTATTGAATCAAAATCTGTGTGTTATTAATAACATGATTCACAGGTACATTGTGCATTAAAGTCTCTGTGTGTGTCTGTGTGTGATTTATGTGTGTGTGTGTGTGCATGCACATTAAAGTTTGAGAGGTACTATAGCAAGTTTAGAACTACTAGCCCAGTGATTGATTCTCTGTCTCTGTGTCTCTCTTCTCACTAATATAAAGCAATTTGAATTGAGAATATTGTATTAGGTATTACTAGCTGTTTCAAAGCATATTATACATATTTTCATGTTTGAGTATATTTTTAAATAATATTATAGCATAAAATAAATGAAGATTATGTATTAGTTAATGCCTTTCTAGGAGATGAATATATACATTGACATGTTATTAGAAGCACGTCTGAAACAAAAGAGAAACATTTAGATAAGCATGAGTTTCCTAGTATTAGAACTGTGTTAATCTCTTTTCAAAAGTACTTTGAATGTCACTTGATTTTCTTAGAAGAAGCAGTTTGAACCTTCAAACACATAGCTCTATCTGTGTAGCAACAGTTGTAGAGTTCTTTTCTCATCAGGTTGAAACACCAGAAGACTGTACAACTCTCTCCCAGGGCATTAAGTGAGTGGATGTTCTCCAGTTATTAATTCAAGGAGAAAAAACAAAATAGTTTTTTGCATGTGCTTGCCCCACTAAGATTTTGCAGAAAGTTTTTTGTTTTTTGGGGGAATTTTTGTTATCCAACCCCATTCAAAAAGCCTCTTGGCAGTTTGATTCTCTTTTATTTTTCATGGCCAGAACAGAAAACCCACAGGAATATGAAGCACATGTTTATTCCTATATATTTTTCTAATCAGAATATGATTAACAGGTTTAATTATCATTCAAGAAGTTGCAGTTTTTTTCTCTCTCCTCCTCACTCATTTTTAGTGAACAGCTAATATTAAATGGATTGATTGAACCACCCTCTACGTCTTATAATCTCTATCTTCTTTCTGCAGCAAATTCAAGGCTGCTTCTTGCTAGAGACCCAGCCCTTTTATTTTTTGAACATTTGAAATAAACAGTTTTTAAATATAGCCTACCATAGTGGTTTCTGCACAGATGCTCATCCAAGCTGCTCTGTAACCCAGAGCAATACCAGTCACTACACCCACATGCTCCAGAAAGTTTCCAACAAGAAGAGAAAAATAATATCTTTCCCTTAAAGTAAGTCCTGAAAGACCACAAATTAATTGGAAATTGGACACAGGTGAGTACAATAGAGACTGGATTTTTTTTTTTTTTCTAATTAATTTTTTCCTTTTAACTTGAAAAATGTAAGTGTTGGTAATTGTAGTACATAAAATAATGCCTCCCTAAAGATGTCCAGGTCCTCACCCCCAAAACTTGTGAATAAAGTACATTGCATGGCAAAAGGGACTTTACTGATATGATTAAGAATGTTGAGATAGGGGAGATTACCCAGGGTTATCCAGGTGGGAAAAATGTAAACCCAAGGACCCTTATAAGAGCAGGGCAGGAGGACCCAAATAGTAGTAGCTGTTATGATGGAAACAAGAGGTTGGATTGATGTGAGGAGGGAGACACTAGCTGAGGAATGCAGGTGACCTTTACGGGCTGAAAAGGCAGAGAACTATTTTCTCTCAGAGCCTCCATAAGGAACCAACCCTGTTAACACCTTCAACTTTAGCTCAGTAAGATTGATTTTGAACTATGACTTCCAGAACTATAAGAGAATCAGTTGTGTTGTTTTAAGCCATTACCTTTGTGGTAACATTTTACAGCAGCAACAAAAAATGATTGCTGTTATAGAGGTGTTTTATTAGTTATTTATTCTATAACTTTAAATAATTATATTTTTATTTAAAATGCCTGTACTGTGGATATCTGTCAAAGTTATCAGTTTTTCTTCCCTAAAAATTAATTTTTGGTCTTTTATATCCTAAGTGACACCATCCTCTGCCTGGTGAGTGTTTAGAAGGAAATAACCAGTCTCTAAGGGATATGAATGATTATGATTTGGTCTGAGTGACTGTGCCTCACTTCTGCATCTGGATTGGAGCATTATATTTGCCTGGCAATTTCTCAGTAGCCTTCACGGCTAACCACTTGCATTTGGCAATCAAAAATACATATATGCAAATCCTGGTTCTGCCACTTCTTAATTTGTAACTTTAGATGTGACAACGTTTTTAAGCTTTGAATTTCTTTTCTTTTGTAAATTTCAGCTGAAGTTTTCTCAAATAGCTTAAAACAGAGCTACCATTCGATCCAGCAATCGAATGTACCCAAAGGAATATAGATTGTTACACCAGAGAGACACATGGACTTACATGTTCATTGCCATGCAATAGCGAAGACATGGAATCGACTTAGGTGCCCATCAATGGTGGATTGGGTAAATCTTTGAATTTCTTATCTGTTAAATAGGTATCACAGGGGTATTATGACAGTTATATGAACTAATGCATGCAAAGGGCTTAGCATAGTTTCTACCACAAAGCAACTACTACCCACTCAATAGATGGTATCCATGATTAGTTGGTTAAGATTGCAGTAGACTTGGACATGGTACAGGATGTTTGTTTATTACAATTACATGTAGACCACATCTGACATACTGCCACAGATAAACCTTGATAATTTAGGTAATAAGAAATCTCTGGTAATCAGCTAGCTGAAAAGAATAATCATAAGGGTAGAGAGAAAGGTATCTTAGGAACATTTATTATCATTTGAAAACCTAGTATTCTCCTGTGAATACAACATGTATCCAATTCTGTTCTACATGTGACAAAACCACTGCACGATGTGCTGAGGTGTGCTTAGTGTGTGGGAGGCAGGTGATTCTGTGAAAGTTGTCAGAATCAAAATGGATTCACTTACATTTTTTAAAAATCTGAAAAATAGAGCTGTGGAAGGCTATGAAGAGAGCCTTGTATGCCTGATAACAAAACTATCACAAAAATACTTGTGAAAAAATCACAGCCATGTACAAAGACTCTGAGAAAACCATAACATTGCATAAATGCCATTGCAACCTCACACAAAAAACACTTCTGCAAGGACATCTGCCACACAACAGCCTGTCCAACCTTGAACTGGTATCACTCTTGTTATTGATCCTTGCAGCCAAGGATGATTATCTCAAGACAATTATATAATCCCTCCTGCATTTTTCCTTTAAAAACCTTTGCATTCCCTTACCTTTCTGAATAAGCACATGGTTTATTATGGCACACATATTCCCACTGCAATGCTCTATTCACCAATAAATATCATTTTCTTGTAGAGAGTCCCTCTCTGTTACTGGCTGATATTGTGAAGTGCAAGATTCTTGGTGTTGCAAATAAAGAATTGGATGTGATACACACAAATAGCAATGCAGCAAAAGATTTATTAAGCACAGTAAGATCCAGAATGGTTTGGGCTGACCCGCAAGTGGTATCAGCACTGGTTTGTTAGATTTTATGGGTTTTGTTTCTCACTTGCTCTCATAAGCAAATTGTTCATCCTTGCCTTTCCCTTATTGCACCTTACTCTTATTCTATCTCTTGTAAGCTGATTGCTTATCCTTATCTTTCCCTTATTGCACTAAATTAACTGTTTACTTTTAAAAAAATCTCTATGTTCTGCTTTTTTTAAATCTTGCACGTTATGCTTAAGCTAGCTTACATCTAATGGATCCCCTTCGCTCCCGACTTCCTCTGCTCAGTTGTTCCAACTTACTGCTTACTTTTTTATTTACATACTGCTTACTCCCTTATCTCATATGTTCTGCTTCTGCTATCTTGCATGTTTTGCTTTTGCTATTGCTCAAGCTAGTCTACATCTAATGGGTCCCCTTCACCCCCGACTTCCTCTGCTATTCTCCTGCCTCATCTCTGTTATTTTGGTTGACAATTTTTTCTTATGATATATTAATCTCTTAGCAAAAATAGCATTCTGCCTGAGTTCTTCTTAGAAAACTGAATGTATATATCAATGCAAAAAAAAAGTATTGTGTAATGTTAGATACAATTGTGCTGTGCCAACTGAGGATCACTGCATAATTTCAAAGGCATCTTTTAGCTGGGCATGGTGGCTCATACCTGTAATGCTAGCGCTTTGGGAGGCTGAGGTAGGAGGATTGCTTGAGGCCAGGAGTTTAAAACCAACTGAGGCAACAAAGCAGGACTCCAACTCTACAAAAAATAAATAAATAAATTAGCTGGGAATCGTGGTGCATGCCTATAGTGCTAGCTACTCGGGAGGCTGAGATGGGTGGATCGCTTGCCCAGGAGTTCAAGGCTGCAGTGAGCCATGATTGTACCAGTTTACTTCAGACTGGGTGGTAGAGAAAGACCTGGTCTCAAAACAAAACTGTCTTTTATATTTTATCTCATATGTGAAATATAGAGGCAAAACATTCACTAGCCCATAAATAATTCACCTATTGCTTTTTCTATTTCTGAAATGTTGGCATATATGTTCACATATAACCTGGAAAGAATATTTACAGAAAAGCAGGAAGGTACTTTTAAAATGCTGCACTATAGGAGTCTCTCAATTTATGAAGTAGATGTAGTTCTGACCGGGAGGTTTCCGCGTGCTAAATCCGGTTATGTTACATTTTAATATTACAGTTAAAATGTAATAATTATGCAAATGTAAAAATGTATAATTAAAACATTTTAATGTTACAATAGTGGAATTATAAAACAGCATTGAATCGGGATGACTAGGCCCGGGTTTTACTCTCAGTTTCACCGTCACATGCTTCATGTCATATAATATGACAACTGTAACAGATGAGTGTGATCATTATCTCCTCTCTTCATTGGGAGGAAAATAAATCACAGAAGTTAAATAACTTGCCCAAAGTTACACAAAGTAGTAGGTGGCAATATTGGGATTCAAGCTCAAGTTGTTTTGCCTCTGTGGCCTGTGTTCTTAAACCATTCAGCTGTGTTACAAGTCCCGAGACTCCCAGAATTGACCTAATTGTTGTTCGGGAGAGGAAGGCTTTAGCTGTGGCTGCCTCCCACTGTAAAATGTCACTTTCTGGCCCCAGCTGGAGCGGATGTGCTGGTGTCCATTTCCATAGGGGCCAGAAAGTGTTTTGTCCCCCCACCCTTCATTTTTTGGTAGTTTATTTGGAGTAAGTCAGATTGCTTCCTCTTGTACCTGCTGTCTTGAGCATACACAGAGAACCTATTGCTTCCCACTGTGAAGAGTCTGCAGTGCTATCACAGTAAAGTAAGCAAGCTGCCAATGTTACCCATTACTTTGGAAAAGTTGTTGACAAACTCAGGGAAGAGAACCAAGCACTTGGAGCAGACAATGGTATTTGGTGTCATTGAGAAGTAACAGCAGCACTAAGACCAAAGAAAAACAGACCAAGAGGGAATAGCTCTAGTAAGAGGCCAACACAAATGCACAAGCCATTGAATATCAAACCAAAGCTAGTTGTCAATATTTCCATTGGGCTAATTTTCCCACTAACCAACTGGACTTATTTTTTTTTCTTTTTTTGAGACGGAGTCTCACTCTGTAGCCCAGGCTGGAAGTGCAGTGGTGCTATCTCAGCTCTCTGAGATCGCAGGTCCTGGTTCAGGAAATTCTCTTGCCTCAGCCTCCTGAGTAGCTGGGATTACAGGCATGCACCACCATACTCAGCTAATTTTTGTATTTTTAGTAGAGATGGGGTTTCACCATGTTAGCCAGGCTGGTCTTGAACCCCTGACCTCGTGATCCACCTCCCTTGTCCTCCCAAAGTGCTGGGATTACAGGCATGAGCCACCATGCCTGGCACCAGCTGGACATCTTAATAGAACCAGGTGTTTACCGAGAGAACTGGTTTTCATCCTTGCCATATTTCTTTCCCAGCAGCAAAGCATAGTAGTGTATATATTAGTGCAGACAGGTGAGCAGCTAAGTAACTGTAACCACAAGCCTAAACTGCATATGAAGAGCAGGACTGTGTAAATCAGTAATTCTCAACCCTGGCTACACATTAGAATCACTTTGGGAGCTTTTAAAAACTATAAGTGCCTTGGTTCTACCCCAAGATGTTTGGATTTAATTGGGGCCCAGGCATAAGTAGGTTTTTAAAGCTTCCCAGATGATTTAAAAAGTACAGCTAAGTTTGAGAACCTTTGTATGAATCATCCCAAGCTGTGTTTTTGTTTGATTTCTCCAGGGGAAAGAGTTTTTCCCTAGCAGCATTGCCTAGAAATAAAAATCTGATTGGGGAGTCCTGCTTGCTGGTTGGGCTGGGGCATTTTTATTCTGGTCATTTCCAGATTGTGCCTGTGCAGCCCCAACTCGCTCTTCCCTTCTACCACACAGGCACCACCACCTTGGCAGGGAGCAGGGAGAGCCCCTGTGAGAGAAAAGAGATGAAGGCAACAGAATCCCATAGTTCCTGGTACATAGTTGGTCTTATTACATGTATGTAGATGGATCCAAGAAGAGAAAAGATAGTCTATTTACTTTGGACTTTCATGCCTGTGAAAAAACAAAAGCTTGTCTTATTGTTTTCATATCAGTGCTAACTTCTGTAATTACTAGTGGCTATTGCATTTTCCTTAACCTTTTCTAAAATGAACCTCATAATGTAAATATATTCAATCCAACAAATGTTTATTGAGGACCTACTATGTATCAGACAAAATAGTAGATGAACATGACAGTATCTATGCTTCCTTTCCAAAGGCTCATTGTCTTATACATAGAGACAAGTAATATTCATAAAGAAGTACCACAGGTTATGAGTATTTTAATAGAAATATATGCACATTACAACTGGGGTAAAAGGAGGAGAGGAATACTTCATTATGAGCGACATGAGGGAGCCATCATTGTGCAAGGTGAAACTTCAGTGTCAAGTTCTATCTTTTCTTCATGCTTCCTTGTGTGACTCAAGGGAGCAGCTACTTCAGAAGCAGCCATATCACTGAGTAGAGTATTCGAGGCTATAATGCTAGATACATGTCTGTTCTTGGAAAAAAGACTATAAGGACTCACATTGCTGTTTTCTCAGCGAGCACCAAAAACCACACTTGTCCTCCAGCTTCAAGAGGCCTGGAAAGATGATGGATATTGGGCAATTTGGTGACCTTTCAGTCTACAGGGCAGCTGACAGTAGAGTTGAGGAAAGAGGAGCTTCTAATATAAGAAGTTAGAATCTGAAGGCCACTTAGTTAAGCAACTGAATTTGAAAATCCAAGCTTCTGTGGGAGTAAGCAGTGTGATAGTCTCCATCCCTGTAGTCCTCTCTACCAAACAGAGTCACCAGATGATAAGTGACATTCATTTGGCTGATAAGTGTTGATATATAGGTAGGAGCTGTTTAATTGCTTATATTTGTCTGATCTGATTTGCTACAAGTACCAAGATGCTTAGAAAGCTCAGATGCTTTTGAGGTACCAGATAGTGCCAGGTAGCGAGTGTATACAAGGAAAATACGGAAGAAAGGAAACATATTAGTGGGAGGCTGACTTCTTCCACCTCTCTTAGCAGTGCCTCCTCCACCTCCTGTCATGTGAAAAGGGGTTAATAACTTGGAAAGGGGCATAATTGTGAGGGAATAAGTAGCAAAATCTTGTTCTAGGAGGAGTTTTCTCCTTGCATTTCCTTTGTGTCAGCTTGAGAACATCTGCTTTTGTCCTAAGCTGGAGATGCTCATGACTATGCTTTCATGTCTTGTCAGAAATCACAAGGTCCAGAAATTTCCTAACATTCTGTCATCCAAAAGGTTTCTGTCCCTTCTTGGTAATTGAGGCTCTAACGTCTCTAATGGCTTATTACTGAGCGCATAGGCACTTAGTAAAAGTCAATTCCTTTTTCCTTGACTTAGTTGTCTATGTACCCAGGCAAAAATCTTAGGGCTCCTAGTATCTTCTCTTCACTGCTTCCTGGTCTCTGTCATCATCATCAGCAATAGCAGCATTATTTTCACTATTACAACAATAGCTAACACTTATATAGCTTACTATATGCCAGATACATTCTAAATAATTTATATATTTATATTAATTCATTTATTTACCCAGAAACTCGAAGAAGAGGTATTATTTTTATCTTACACTGATGATCCTAAATGGCAAAGATGTTTAATAACCCGTCAAAGACAAAAGACCACACAGCTTGTAAGTGGCAGACTTCAAGTTTGAAATCAGGTAATCTCACCTGAAAAGATAAGCACTTAACCATTATCCTATTTTGACTTTATTCACATTAGAAAGAGTATGTCAAGTTTAGTCACATTGATGTTTGTGACTTAATTTCTTATCTTTGCCAGTGGTCTTGTTCATTGTGATAGAAACATTAGCATAACTTGATACAACAAATTTCTAATGGTGCAACTTGAGGCTGGAGATTTTACACGTGCATGCACGTGCACACACACACACACACACACACTTGTTTTCTGAGAGGAACCACTTAGCTTGTGTCTCACTTTGTGTAAAACAAGCTGTGAGCTCTGATCATTCAAATCATTTTGTTCTAAGAATAAAGTGGTCATAATTTCATGTAGGGCTGTCTGCTTTCACAGTTACAGCAAGAAGTTGCCTTGGTAACAGGATTTGGAAAGGATAAAGGACCCAGGAACTTTTGTCAAGACCCATTAAAGTATGCGGAGAGGCTCTGCTTCAGCTGTGCCTCTGCTCACCACTTCACCTGCTGCTATTGCTTCTTCTGTGGCCATCTCAGAGGCTGAGCTGGGCAGAAGCTGGTGAATTGGAGCCAAGGTTGAGCCAGTTTTGGAGAATATGCAAATTAGAAGGGATCTTAGGGGACAATTGCTTCAAGGAAGCTCTCCTGTGAGATTCTAAAGAGGTGGAAGCTTACTGGTGAACAGGAAGTCTCTTATGTTTTGGTTGGGTCTGATGGTTAGGATCCTTTCGTGAACTGCAGAAGGCATTCTTACTATGAGATGACAGTTCTGTAAGATCAGCTTCCTTTGAGACTTCTCCTCCCTAATCTTTGCTTTACATTTTAGAGTAACACAGTGCATTCCTGGTCTCTCTTTTATAATAATACAGACTTTTGGGGACAAGAGACATCCTTCTGAGGCATCTCTTTTTCTTCTTTAGTTCCCCCTTTATTCATTATAATTGGCATGGTTCAAAGGCTACTCAGTACCTTCAGTGGTACCATTTAGTAGTTCAGTACCTTCAGCTCCCCTCTGGATTTTTTGTTTTTCTATGTCTGTCTTAAAATTTGATTTCCATGACATATTACTCATGTGGTCTGACCAGTGCAGGATATAGTATAATCATCACTTACCTCAATTTAGATATTATTATCCTAAATGTTGCTCAGGAATTAATCAACTTTTTCATAGGCACATTGCATAGCTCTACCAGAATAGTGGAACAGATTGAACTATTTCATTCATTTATGATCAGAGAGTCATATTTTCTACATCATTGGAAAGAGATGGGCAGATTATTTTGTATGAAATATAAGTTAAAATGACATTGATGCTTCTATTATCAGTGTACATTGTATGGAATACTTCAATATACATACTAAAAGGTAGGTATGATTGTTAATACTGGGTGTCAACTTGATTGGATTGAAGGATACAAAGCATTGATCCTGGGTGTGTCTGTGAGGGTATTGCCAAAAGAGATTTACATTTGAGTCAGTGAGCTGGGGAAGGTAAACCCACCCTTAATCTGGTGGGCACCATATAATCAGCCACCAGAAAATATAAAGCAGGCAGAAAAATGTGAAAAGGTTAGACTGGCTTAGCCTCCCGGCCTCCATCCTTCTCCTGTGCTAGATGCTTCCTGCCCTCAAACATCAGACTCCAAGTTCTTCAGTTTTGGGACTCAGACTGGCTCTCCTAGCTCCTCAGCTTGCAGATAGCCTATTGTGGGACCTTGTGATCATGTAAGTTAATACTTAATACACTCCCCTTTATATATATCTTATTAGTTCTGTCCCTCTAGAGAACGCTATTACAGATTTTGGTGCCAGGAGTGGTTCTAGAAAAATAGAATATTAAGGATGGAGTTTTTTCGTTGGTTTTGGGGTTTCTGGAGTTGGCTGCTTAATATGATTAGACCCCAAAATGCTAAGGACTCTACTTTTATTAGTATGGAGAACACTGATAGTTCTTGGCGTGAACTGTTTAGGGAGTTATGTAAAATAAATGCATTTGACACTCCTGATTCACTGCTTGTGAGAGGCAAGGAGTTTAGTGACTCTATACATAATACCTTTGACCATATGTGGAGAACCAAGGAACATAATGAAGCTGGTTGGTTGCTCCTAAGTTCACTGGACAAAGTGATGAAATAAAATGATGAACTCAGGGATTCTGTCTCCTGGCTTCAGAAGCAGATACTGAGCCTCAGATCTGCTAAGATTGCCCTGAGTGAGAGTCTTATTTCCTGTAGAGAAAGAGCTGAAACTGTGAAGAAACAGACACAAGCTCTTATTATGCGAGTGGCTGACCTGCAATGAAAGGTGCATGCACGGTCTTGCCAGGTGTCTGCTGTTAAAGTGAGGGCATTGATTGGAAAAGAATGGGACCCTGCAACATGGCATGGGGACTTGTGGGAGGACCCTGATGAAGCTGGGGACACTGAGTTTGTTAACCCTGGTGAACCTTTTTTGCCAGAATAAATAGCTTCCCCATCCCCAGTAGTGGCAATGTCCCCTCCCTGACCCATGCTGCCATCAGCCTTTCCATCTTTGTCTGGGGAGATAAATCCCGTGCTGCCTGAGGTGACAGTGATGGCCTCCCCTGAGGCAGTTGCCAAGCAAAATAATGTTGATTCTTCTCAGGAGCCACCCTCAACACCCCTGTTTGCTCCTAGACCAATAACTGAAGCCTCGGGGGGACCCTAGAGGTGAGGTTGAGAGTGTGACCCATGACAAGGTGCACTACACTCGAAAAGAACTACGTGAGTTCTCTAATGTATATAAACATAAATCTGGAGAACAGGCATGGGAATGGATATTAAGGGTATGGGATAATGGTGAAAGGAACATAGATTTGCATCAGGCCGATTTATTGATTTGAGCCCACTAAGTAGAGACTCTGCTTCTAATGTTGCAGCTTGAGGAGTTAAAAAAGGTTCTAATAGTTTATTTGCTTGATTAGCAGAAATATGGATTAAAAGATGGCCCACTGTGAGTGAGCTAGAAATGTCTAATGTCCCTTGGTTTAATGTAGAGGAAGGGATCCAAAGGTTTAGGGAGAGTGGGATGGTGGAGAGGATTAGTCAACTTAGATCTACTCATCCCAGGTAGGAGGGTCCAGAAGATATACCCTTGACCAATGCCTTGTGAAATAGATTTGTGATGGCAGCACCTGCATCTTTGAGAAGCCCTGTAGTTGCTCTTCTCTATATGTCAGATCTAACAGTGGGAACCTCAGTCACTCAAGTAAAAATGTAAATACAATGGGAATAATTAGATCCTGAGGTGTCAGGGGCCACATGGTGGCACTTAATCATCAAAGGCAAGGTGGGTGTAGCTACTGTAATGGACAGCAGAGACAAAGCAGCAATCAGAATAGTCTGATTGGTGTAGAGCTCTGGCATTGACTAATTAATCACAGTGTTCCTAGAAGTGAAATTGATTGGAAGCCTACTGCATTTCTACTTAATTTATATAAGCAGAAAACTTCTAAGTTGAACGGACAAAAGACTAATTTGAATTATAAAAACAGAGAATCAAGTCTCCTCAATCAATATCCAGACTTGAGCCAGTTTATAGACCCAGAACCCTTTGAATGAAGGGGAGGCAAGTCACCTTAAGGAAGGACCCCACTATATTACCAAGAATTCATGCAGTGAATCTTTCTCCTGTCCTTCTCCAAGGAGACCTCCTGCCTTTTACCAGGGTAACTGTGCACTGGGGAAAGGGAAATGATCAGACATTTTGGAGACTACTGGACACTGGCTCTGAACTGACATTGATTCTAGGAAACCCAAAACATCATACTGGTCCTCCAGTTAAAGTAAGGGTTTATGGAGATCCAGTGATTTATGGAGTTTTAGCTCAGGTCTGACTTACAGTGGGTCCGGTGGGTCCCTGGACTCATCCTGTGGTCATTTTCCCAGTGCCAGAATGCATAATTGGCATAGATACACTTGGCAGCTGGCAGAACCCCCGCATTGGCTCCCTGACTGATAGGGTGAGGCCTATTATGGAGGGAAAGGCCAAATGGAAGCCATTACAGCTTTCTTTACCTAGGAAAATAGTAAATCAAGAACCTGTCATGTCCCTAGAGGGATTGCGGAAATTAGTGCCATCATCAAGGCCTTGAAAAGTACAGGGGTGGTGATTCCCACCACATCCCTTTTCAATTCTCCCATTTGGCTTGTGCAGAAGACAGATGGATCTTGGAGAATGACAGTGGATTATCGTAAGTGTAACCAAGTGGTGACTCCAATTACAGCTGCTGTACTAGATGTGGTTTCATTACTTGAGCAAATTGACGCATCTCCTGGTACCTGGTATGCAGCCATTGATTTGGCAAATGCCTTTACTCCATTCCTGTCCACAAGGCCCACCAGAAGCAATTTGTCTTCAGCTGGCAAGGCCAGCAATATACCTTTACTGTCCTACCTCAGGGGTGTGTAAACTCTCTGGCTTTGTGTTATAGTCTTCCTCGGAGAGACCTTGATTGCCTTTTGCTTCCGCAAGATATCACACTGGTCCATTACATTAATGACATTATGCTGATTGGATCCAGTGAGGAAGAAGTAGCAAACACACTGGACTTACTGGTGAGACATTTGTATGCCAGAGGATGGTAAATAAATCTGAATAAAATTCAGGGAACTTCTACCTCAGTAAAATTTCTGGGGGTCTTGTTGTGTGGGGCCTGTAGAGATATTCTTTCTAAGGTGAAGGATAAGTTGCTGCATTTGGCCCCTCCTACAACCAAGAAAGAGGCAGAACACCTAGTGGGCCTATTTGGATTTTGGAGGCAACATGTTCCTCATTTGGTTATGTTACTCTGGCACATTTATTGAGTGACCCGAAAGGCTGCCAGTTTTGAGTGTGGTTCACAACAGGAGAAGGCTTTGCAACAGGTCCAAGCCGCTATGCAAGCTGCTCTGCCACTGGGCCATATGACCCAGCAGATCCAATGGTGCTTGAGGCATTAGTGGCAGATAGGGATGCTGTTTAGAGACTTTGGCAGGCCCCCAT
Organism: Homo sapiens; assembly: GCF_000001405.40. Taxonomy (NCBI): domain Eukaryota; kingdom Metazoa; phylum Chordata; class Mammalia; order Primates; family Hominidae; genus Homo; species Homo sapiens. Next base: position 90,607,844 of record NC_000010.11, on the reverse strand, counting down.
AGGTGAATCATAGTGGAGGCCTCTAGGATTTTGGAGCAAGGCCCTGCCATCTTCTGCAGATAACTACTCTCCTTTTGAGAGACCGCCCTTGGCCTGTTACTGGGCTTTGGTGGAAACTGAACATTTAACTATGGGTCATCAAGTCACCATGTGACCTGAACTGCCTATCATGGACTGGGTGCTTTCTGTCCCATCTAGTCATAAAGTGGGTTGTGCACAGCAGCATTCCATCATGAAATGGAAGTGGTATGTATGTGATCAGTTTTGAGCAGGTCTTGAAGGCATAGGTAAGTTACATGAGGAAGTGGCCCAAATGCCTATGGTCTTTACTCCTGCAACCCTGCCTTCTCTCCAGCCTACACCAAATGGCCTCATGGGGAGTTCCCTACGATCTGTTGACAGAGGAAGAGAGGACTAGGCCCTGGTTCACAGATGGTTCTGCATGATATGTAGGCACCACCCAAAAGTGGACAGCTGTAGCACTACAGCCCCTTTCTAGGACATCTCTTAAGGAGAGCAGTGAAGGGAAATCTTTCCAGTGAGCAGAACTTCAAGCAGTGCAACTTGTTGTACACTTTGCGTGGAAGGAGAAATGGGCAGATGTGTGGTTATATACTGATTCATGGGCTGTAGCCAATGGTTTGGCTGGATGATCAGGGACTTGGAAGAAGCATGATTGGAAAATTGGTGATAAAGAAATTTGGGGAGGAGGTATGGACTCAGAGTATGGACTTCTCTGAGTAATCAAAAGCTGTGAAGATATTTGAGCATGTGAGTTCTCACCAACAGGTGACCTGACCCAAGGAGGATTTTAATAATTAAGTGGATAGGATGACCCATTCTGTGGACACCACTCAGCCTCTTTCCCCAGCCACCTCTGTTGTTGCCCAATGGGCCCATGAACAAAGTGGCCATGGTGGCAGGGATGGAGGTTATGCCTGGGCTCAGCAACATGGACTTCCACTCACCAAGGCATACTTGGGTACAGCCACTGCTGAGTGCCCATTTGCCAGCAGCAGAAACCAACAATGAGCCCTCAATATGGCACCATTCCTGAGGGTGATCAGCCAGCTATCTGGTGGCAGGTTGATTATATTGAACCTCTTCCATGATGGAAAGGGCAGAGGTTTGTCCTCACTGAAATATACACTTACTCCAGATATTGGTTTGCGTATCCTGCATGTGATGCTTCTGCCATGACTACTATCCGTGAACTCACGGAATGCCTTCTCCACCATCATGGTATTCCACACAGCATTGCCTCTGACCAAGGCACTCACTTAATGGCTAAAGAAATGCAGCAGTGGGCCCATGCTCATGGAATTTACTGTTCTTACCATGTTCCCCATCATCCGGAAGCAGCTGGATAGAATGGTGGAATCCCTTTTGAAGTCACCATTACAAAGCCAAATAGGTGACAATATTTTGCATGGCTGGGGCAAAATTCTCCAGCGAGCCATGTATGCTCTGAATCAGCATTCAATATATGGTACTCTTTCTCTCATAGCTATGATTTACGGGTCCAGGAATCAAGGGGTGGAAGTGGAAGTGGCACCACTCACCATCACCCCTAGTGATCCACTGGCAAAATTTTTGCCTCCTGTTCCTGCGGCATTATGTTCTGCTGGCCTAGGGGTCTTAGTTATAGAGGGATGAATGCTGTCCCCAGGAGACACACAATTCTATTAAACTGGAAGTTAAGATTGCCACCTGGACACTTTGGGCTCCTCCTACCTTTAAGTCAACAGGCTAAGAAGGGAGTTACAGTGTTGGCTGGGGCGATTGACCTGGACTAGTAAGATGAAATCAGTCTACTATTCCACAACGGAGGTAAGGAAGAGTATGTGTGGAATACAAGAGATCCATTAGGGCATCTCTTAGTATTACCATGCCCTATGATTCAGGTCAATGGGAAACTACAACAGCCCAATCCAGGCAAGACTACAAATAACCCAGACCCTTCAGGAATGAAGGTTTAGGTCATTCTACCAGGAAAAAAACACGACCTGCTGAGGTGCTTGCTGAAGGCAAAGGGAATACAGAATGGGTAGTAGAAGAAGGTAGTCATCAATACCAGCTATGTCCACATGACCAGCTGCAGAAACGAGGACTGTAATTGTCATGAGTATTTCCTCCTCCGTTTGTTAAAAACATGTTTGTGCATGTATACCCTTCTACTAAGAAAATATCTTCATTTTGTTTCATTTCTGCTATATCATGTGACATAAGATTTACTGACTTCACATCAACATGTAAGTATTGTTAACTTTATGTAATAGTATTTGGGTTGGGGATTGGTTCATTTCCAGTTGTACAAAAAATAGTTAATTTATGTTAGGCATAATTATGACCTTATTATTGTCTTTATTTGAAGATTATGTATGATCTCAGGAGATGTGTATGAATTCAAGTTGACAAGGGGTGGGCTTGTGATGGTTGATACTGAGTGTCAATTTGATTAGATTGAAGGATACAAAGTATTGATCCTGGGTGTGTCTCTGAGGGTGCCAAAGGAGATTAACATTTGAGTCAGTGGGCTGGGGAAGGCAGACTCACTCTTAATCTGGAGGGCACCACCTGATCAGCTCCCAGGCCTCCCAGCCTACATCTTTCTCCCATGCTGGATGCTTCCTGCCCTCGAATATTGAACTCCAACTTCTTCAGTTAGGAGAAGAGTTAAGAGTTAAACTCAGGAGTTAAACTGAGTTAAACCTGAGACTAGGACCAGCCCTCCTAGCTCCTCAAGCTTGCAGACAGCCTATTTTGGGACCCCATGATCATGTATGTTAATACTTAATAAACTCTATCTATCTATCTATCTATCTATCTATCTATCTATCTATCTATCTATCTATCTATCTCCTATTAGTTCTGTCTCTCTAGAGAGCCCTAACTAATACAGTATGCTTGATGGTTAAAACATGTTACTTAGCCTTGTGCCTCTGATTAAAAATAGGTATTCCATTGTTGACCACAGGAATCTGTCTGTGACTTATTAACAGCATGCCATTAAACTGTCACTGAGAGGAATGGGATGAGAGACAAGGCAGAGCAGTATTTGACTTCTAATTTCAGGCTCAGTAGGGGTGGCTTCCTTAGTGTACTCAGAAAGAAATGAAGGAAGAGAAACTGGAAGAGAGATAAGGTGTGATTTTCTCTCCACATCTAAGTTGGAGAGAAGGATGAATAAACTGAGCTACTCTTTTATTTGGGTCATGCCTTCATAATATGAAAGGTAGCATAATATGGAAAAGTGAAGTTCAAGAATTAGACACACCTGAGTCCGAATTCTGGCTCTGGCACATATGATGTTAGATGTCTTCAGTAGGAATACAACTGGCTTTTAAAATTTCCAATGAACTTATAATACACTGGGAAGATGATAAATTTTATTTAAAAAAAAGGTACCAGAAATGTACCAATGTATAGGAAGGAGATACTATGAGTAGTTTGCTTGAGAGGGTGTTCTTGAAGGAAGTTTTATCTAAGTTAATCCTTGAAGAGCCATAGGAGTTTGACTAGTAGAAATGACAGGGGAGACAGAATTCTAGGGAGAAGAAGAGGCAGGAGCATAAATGGAGTAGTGGTGATGGGATATTGGGGAACAAATGTTTGCTGAGCCTTTTGTACCTGTCAGACATATGTGTCCAGCAGTTATACATGTTGTGTTATTGAATCCTCACAACAGCTAGTTTTCTGAGCACTTCCTAGGTGCCAGACACATAGGAATACCTCAATAATATTCAAACCAGATGGCTTTACTTTTTCATCTCATTTTTTTTTTCTGTTTTTGATTAAGCCAATCTTGGTGAATTGAAGTCAAAGACTCTTTGCTCACTATTATTCTATGAAGTCTATTTTCTTCTCTGCCACTGTCAAATAAATTCTGAGAACATTCAAAGCTGAGAAATTTGGGAGCACAATCCCAGGAATAAGGAAGAAATTTGCTGCAGAAACTCACCTCGTACTGTATAGGCCTTGTCTTTTAGCCGTATGCAATTATGCATGAATCTGCTTCCTAGGAAGTAGAGAACATTTGAACAATGCTAGCTTGGCACTTTATGGATGGGGCTCTGAGCCAGAGCCTTATCTTTTAAGATTTCATCTAGCTGTAAATGCTAATTTTATGACATCCTAGCCTCATTTTATAAATAACAATTATTTGGGGGAAGTAATGGAATGGGGGTATTTTTTTTCTAGGATGGAAGATATATTCTGAAGTTATTAGCAGTAAAATATGTCATTGGAAATGCTGTTGCTTTGGGTCATTCATATTGCTTTATCTCTTGCACATTTGATTTTTTTGCCCCCAAACAAGGATATGTCCTTATATGAGATGAGGATGCCTCAGAATAGAATGTCAACATTAGTCTTTGGAATTAGTGACTGAGGCAACAGGCATTTTCTGTTGGAGGCAATTGACCACAGTCATCTACCCAGAGCACCAAAAAGAGTTAGCAGGAGACTGGAAAAGAAGTGAAATTCTCCTTTTCATTGCCTGTGGTAGGTAAATGCCGTATTGTCATCAGAAATAAATCAGAGTATTGCAAAGCAACAGATCTGTCTTTAACTCCAGGTGTCAGTTCTGTCAGATTGGGATATATGGATAGTGGCTGAGGGAGGATATCTCTGCCATCTGTTTCTCAGGAGACTTTAAGTAATAAATAGATTCCAATTGGAATTGGTGTGAGATGGTTTAAATTTGACCTTCACTGAGATCCATGCAGGTCTGATGAATAGACCACTTCCTATTTTGTAAGAACTGGGCTTTTGGCCAGGAACATTCTTGTGGATGTTCTAAATTGTGACATGAGTCTGTCCAGTCATGGTCCTCCATTGTCATGGCCATGGTGATGTGCCCAGAGATAGCCATACAACTAATTCAGTCCGTTTGCTGTGCTTAGGGAAATAGAGTTCTGTGGTTGGCAGTCCATGTCAAGAATGCATGATTTACATGAGAGAAGAATGTTATCTGAGGAAAATGATGGTGCTAGACAGACACAAAGGGTGGATACCCACTATAGGGAGAAGTGTGATAACAAAGTGTGAGCCAGGAAAGGGGAAGGGAAAGCAAGAGTCAAAAAGTAAAGGGTGCTAGTATGCAAGTTAAGAAATAGTTTACCTGGCTGTTAACAGTGCTTATCTTGTGGGGTGAAGGGTAACTTTTAGGAAATTATCAATTTTAAGCCATATAATCCTATGGTATTTTCTACATTTATATATTACTTTTGCAGTCAGAAAAACATCAATTTAAGGCATATTTATTATTAACTTATATATGTCTAATATTAGAAATATAAGATATACCCCCCAGGAAACTTACTGCAGAAGACTATATTAAAGGAAACTTTTATGGTGAGAACCCAGAGAGTTTTATGCTCCTCTGTAGAATATCTAAAGTGTGTGCAGTTTGGACTTAGGAGTTAAACTGTATAACTAACATATCTAGTAGAGTGTGCATATGTCCAAAAGAAGTTACACAATAAATGTTAGCTTCCTTTCCTTTTCCTAATTTTTTAAAAATTATCTGGACATTGGTCATTCCTGAATTTAAAAACAAGCAATGAACTACTAGGAAAATAATCTTTTGGAGTATCAATGACATTGCTCCTGTTCCTTAAGATATAATCAAATTCATTAAACACTCAAATGATTTATGTGCAAGTGGAGGGTATTTTCTTCCTCAAAAGCTCAAGGACTTACAAGATAACTTGAGAGGTTAAGGTTATCCTATATCCAGGTGAGAGAAAGAACCTGACACTGGAGGAAGCTGAATGTGGAATTTTTGTTGTGCGTTACTAATTTGGCAGCTTGTATGTAGACCGTATTAGTCTGTTTTCATACTGCTGATAAAGACATACCTGAGACTGGGCAATTTACAAAAGAAAGAGGTTTAATGGACTTACAGTTCCACGTGGCTGGAGAAGCCTCACAATCATGGTGGAAGGTGAAAGGCATGCCTCACATGGTGGCAGACAAGAGAAGATAGCTTGTGCAGGGGAACTCTCCTTTTTAAAACCATCAGAGCTTATGAGACTTACTCACTGTCACAAGGACAGCATGGGAAAGACCTGTCCCCATGATTCAATTACCTCCCAGCAGGTCCCTCCTACAACATATGGGAATTCAAGATGAGATTTTGGTAGGGAGACAGCCAAACAATATCATTCTGCCCCTGGCCCCTCCCCAATCTCATGCCCTCACATTTCAAAACCAATCATGCCTTCCCAACAATCCCCCAAAGTCTTAACTCATTTCAGCATTAACTCAAAGTCCACAGTATGAAGTCTCATCTGAGACAAGGCAAGCCCCTTTCACCTGTGAGCCTGTAAAATCAAAAGCAAGTTGGTTATTTCCTAGATACAATGGGGGTACAGGCATTGGGTAAATACAGTCATTCCAAATGGGAGAAATTGGCCAAAACAAAGGGGCTACAGGCCCCATGCAAGTCCAAAATCCAGTGGGGCAGTCAAATCTTAAAGCTCCAAAATGATCTCCTTTGACTCCATGTCTCATATCCAGGTCATGTGAGATGCAAGAGGTGGGCTCCCAGGGCCCTGGGCAGCTCCACCCCTATGGCTTTGCAGGCTACAGCCCCTATCCAGGCTGCTTTCATGGGCTGGTGTTGAGTGTGGCTTTTCCAGGTGCATGGTGCAAGCTGTTGATGGAGCTATCATTCTGGGATCTGGAGGACGGTGGCCCTCTTCTCACAGCTCCACTAGATAGTGCCCCAGTAGGGACTCTGTGTGGGGCCTCCGACCCCACATTTCCCTTCTGCACTGCCCTAGCAGAGGTTCTCCATGAGGGTCCTTCCCTGCAGCAAACTTCTGCCTGGGCATCTGGTGTTTCCATACATCCTCGGAAATCTAGGTGGAGATTCCCAAACCTCACTTCTTGACTTCTGTGCACTGGCAAGCTCAACACCACATGGAAGCTGCCAAAGCTTGGGCAATTTACAAAAGAAAGAGGTTTAAGGACTTACAGTTCCATGTGGCTGGAGAGGTCTCACAATCATGGTGGAAAGTAAAAGGCACATCTCACATGGCAGCAGACAAGAGAAGAGAGCTTGTGCAGGGAAACTCCCCTTTTTAAAACCATCAGATCTCATGAGACTTATTCGCTATCATGAGAATAGCATGGGAAACACCTGCCCCCATGATTCAATTACCTGCAACTGGGTCCCTCTCACAACATGTGGGAATTCAAAACGAGATTTGGGTGGGTGGGGACAAAGACAAACTATATCATAGATCATACCAAATTTCTCTATGTTAATAAAGTTGCTTTTGCACTGAAAATTATTATTGAAGGTGATTTCCAGAGAACTCATGCCTGAACAAAATCAAAGGATACAATTCTTCAAGATCATGTCTCACTTGCACTTCTGGACAAACTGATTAGAAAGATGTGGTCACTATTCATGAGAAGCACTAGGGCTAAACTCAACCAGGGCTAAACTTGACCAATGTGAGGCAGGTGCAGAACTATGGTGGAAATCACCACATGAGGCCAATCCAAGGTTAAAGAGAGGATAGAGATGAGAGTCAAGAGCATTCTGAGGTCTGTCTAGGAGTATGGCCAAGGCAGCTGGTGAAGTTCTAGGGGACATCACGGGCACCAGAAGATGCCTGGGGTGTGCTTTGAGAAGAGCATTCTCCAGGGGTTCAAAGCTGCACTAATTCAACATCTGGGAATGAAGAAGGCATTGAAAATGGGGAGAATAATTTTATTTTTATAAATAAATTTAGCAAGGTAATTTTTAAGAACCTGTATTTTTGTTTCGGAACAAAAGTCCTGGCTGCAATGTGGAAAATAGATTGGACTAGAGCAAGATCAAAAGTTTTTAAAGAAGTGGACCTCTCTTTTTCATACTCCTTATATGGAAGAAAATACAACCAGTTTTGCTCTGCCTTCCAGACTTGAGGACCACAAGACTTTCCCTTTAAGAGAGTTCCAATTATTTCATCATAAAATTTCTTTCAGTTGCCAGATTTTGGGATTCTTGTTTGAAGAATGCTGGGAAGAAGCGTGTTTGTTTTGTGAACCATGTATTCCCAAGTCCAGTCCAAGGACATGCCTAAACATTCCTGTATTTATTTCTAAAACAATGATTCTGTAATGGAAACATGTTTTGGCACCCAATTTATCATGCCACTATGACAAATGTACTGTAAAAAAACATGACCTTTTATAACCACTTTCTCTCAGAGATACTCTCTCATACCCCTAACTCTGCTTTGTGACAAGGATATATGCTCATGAAGATTAAATCATATATAGTATGAAGTATTTCACCTAGATCCTGACACATAGTAGATCAATGAATGCTAGTTATTAATGGTTATAATCACCAGCATCCAGAGCATTATCATCACCATTCTGGTTGCAAGTTTGGTATGCAAGTACCATGGCAGTGGGAGGGATATTTCTTGAACCCATCCTTTCTAAATGATAGAAAATATATGGAGGAGGGAGTACTCCCACTATAGGAGACTGCTTTATGAAAGTATGCTCATGGACTAGCAAGCTGAAAAACAGTGATAGCTCTGCTTTCAACTCTAGTCTTGGGATTCTTATGAAAGGTAGACTCTCTTTCATGCCAGAGACTAAACCAGAATGGTTTGTGGACTTTGAATAGTGGCTAGCTGTGGTTAGTACTTTTACAGTCTCATCTCAAACCACATTCTCCCTGCTCTACCCTGCTTCAGCCACACTGGCCTCCCTCGAGCTCCTTTAGTCCATACGCCCCTTATTTTCTAGGGATATCACCTGGGCTATGCCCTGTGTCTAAACTGTCCTTCTCTCAGTTCTCCACATGCCTGGGAGGCCCTTTACATCCATCAGGCAACAGTTTGTCTTTCCCTCATTAACCAATCATTCCTTGAAAATCTCATCCAAATTAAGCTCTACCAACTCCATGATACTTTTCTCTGTTCCAGGAGAGGAGCCCTTCCCATTATTGCTTTCTCTTTTTAGAGAGCAGCTTCCTCAATGTGGAGATAATAAGATTATTTAGCTAGCAGGCAGTCTGGATTTGAGTGTCAGCTGTTTAAAGGAGTTATGTGGAAAAGCCAGGTGATCAGTTCCTGAGGCACTTGAGGCCCCTGGGAAGTTAGAGCATCCTCTGTGGGAAAGGAAGCCCCTCGTTCCAAAAGAGATAAGTTCAGATACAACACCATCTGCTGGGGAAGCAAAATACCTTGTTTCAGTTGGTTCCCCAGGTCGCCGTTGGACAATTCTGCTCGTTGCATCAATGTAACATATGGTAGTGACTGGGATATAGTAGATGTTCATATTTTTTTTAATACATGAAAGAATGAATATATGAAACAATACAGAAGGCTGGAGAGTCTCTGGAAATTAGGATTTGGAAATATTCAGATTCCAAGAAGGTATTCTTCTGGGCTATCTACTAATAACTAAAGATCCGGATTTATATCTCTGGAGGGATTAATTTATGGCACATAGCTTGAAAATCCATGACATTTCATAGTTTTCTAGGAACTCATGGTGATCAGCTCTTTTCCCTGGGAAACTAGAGGCATCCTGGAAACCATGTCATAATATAGAAAACTTTCAGAGAGGGAGGGCCTTGAGAATCTGGCCAACCCCCGCCTCCCGCAAAACACAAAAAAAACCCCAGCACTTCCCAGAACACATGAAAAGGATGTATAGAAAGTATAATTTAGTCTCTGTATGTTGCCTTTTAGAAACGTACAATCCCTATGGCTTCCAGATCCTCTCAGGGATTGCGGAATTGGTAGGTAAGACATATTTTTGCCTAAGGGCACTTGAAAATTGTTTTTATTCTTCAGCTCAACTCACTAATAACTAAGATGCCTCAGAGTTCACTGGCAACTTGGAGATGAATAGATTCTTCTACCCTCAGCTTAGTCTCTTCATAATAATAAAATACCAGGGCTTTCCAGATCTAATGGCAGTACACTGCCAAGCCAGCATTTTTAGGGAATAGGAGGTGGGGAATCAGGGAACTAGAAAGATATGGGAGATAAAAGCATCCATAGTGAGGGAAGAGATTAGAAAGGAGAGAACAGGGGACTGCATTTAGTCGAGGGGAGTGATTTCAAGGAGGAAACGATTCTAGCCAACCTGAACAAAGAGATGACTTAGATATAAAGATATAGGGGCGTTTTATGGACAACAATGGACAGAAAATAGGAATTAGCAATTCAATTTGTACTCT